>NC_000002.12:110519921-110822951 GCF_000001405.40 Homo sapiens
TGTTGAGAAGTCTATTGTGAGGCAATGTGTCTTCTTTCTCTGGCTGCTTTTGAGATTTCTCTCTGTCTTTTTTAGGGGCAGTTTTACTCTTATGTGACTAGAAGTAGATTTCTTCTTTTTTTTTTTAATACTGCTTGAGATTTTATTGGGTTTTTGAATCTGTGGATAGATATCCTTCAACAGTTCTGAAAGATTTCCAGCCATTCTCTTCATATATTATCTGTGCTGTATTCTCGTCTCTCCTTTTAGAACTTCGATTAGTAAAAACATGTTTGATGTCTTTTCCCACTCTTGTTTTTTGTTTCTCCCATGCTGAATTCCGTGTAATTTCTTTTGAACCATCTTGTAGTTTACATTCTTTTTTTTTTTTTTTATTTTTTTTTTTTTTTTTTTTTTTTTTTGAGATAGGAGTTTTGCTCTTGTTGCTTGGGCTGGAGTGCAATGGCACCATCTCGGCTCACTGCAACCTCTGCCTCCTGGGTTCAAGCAGTTCTCCTACCTCAGCCTCCCAAGTTGCTGGGATTACAGGCATGCGCCACCACGCCCGGCTAATTTTTGTATTCTGAGTAGAGACGGGGTTTCACCATGTTGGCCAGGCTGGTCTCGAACTCCTGACCTCAGGTGATCTACCCTCCTCGGCCTGCCAAAGTGCTGGATTACAGGTGTGAGCCACCGCACCAGGCCTTACATTCTCTCTCTTAAAGAGAGAATGTAAGGTATCTAAATCTGCTGCTAAACCATCATTGTTTTTAATTGTAATAAGGTCTCTTTTATGTACTCACATTGATAAGAGACAAGTAGGAAATAATCTTTAAAGGGCAAACTAATGTAAATGTGTTTTCCTGTCTGTTTACAGGACTTAGCAAATGCACATCTTAGAGTTCTGGGTTTCTAATGTGTATCTCCTCTATGAAATTCTTTAAAAATATCTGTTATTGGTATCCCTTAGGTTAGTCTCTTTTAGAACTTCTAAATCAATGGACCCTTAACTTATAGGAGCCACCTGGACGTTAGCAACACCTACATTAAACATGCTGAGCTTTTAAAAGAGGCCTGTTAGACATGCTGAGTATTTTGAGATAGTATCATTGTTGTATTGAAAACTATTGAAAACTTTAATTTTAAAATGCAAACGTTCTTAAAGTCCTGGTTAATTTTATAACTATAAAATTAGTTATAATTTTGAGATTTCTGTCTTGTTTTTTATAAGGGCAGTTTTACTCTTAGGTGACTAGAAGTAGATTTCTTCTTTTTTATAACTATAAAATTAGGTTTACTTTTGTTAGAATAAATTAAAGACAGTGAATTTGTAATTTGAATAAGTATTAAAAATATACATGATGTATTCTTATTTGGGCCCTTGTGACAAAAATACTATTGTGGCTATAGAAACCTATCCTATAGTTTGAAGAACTGAGATTACTGTCAGTATTGAGAACATTCCTCCTTCATCATTAGAAAGATTATTAAAAACCAGATTCAAAGAAACTATCAATACTACTTATGAAGTATGTCTGTAAAAAAAATTAAGCCTGAATCTTATCAGGCCTCTAGACCGGGGGTTCTCAAGGTATGGGCCCCAGACCAGAAGCATCAGCAACAAATTGCTAAAAATGCAGAATCTTGGGTCAGAAATTGGGGACCAGCAATTGGAATTTTAGTAAGTATACCAGATGATTCAGATGCCTGCTCAATTTTGAGGATGACTCTTATCAGTTTAGTTATTAGGGTTTACAGGGGATGGGGAACATGTTAAAGAACACCAACTAGATAAGGTCAATCAGTCAAAAGTAAGTTGTCTGGACATTCTGGGCCTCCTCATGTCTTAGAAAGCACACAATACCATCTATGATGTATTTTTGTCCACCATCCCACCCAATTGCACCTGGATCTTCCTATTTATAGGCAATTGGAACAAGCTCAGTGTTACCCTGTAATGATTAAAACCCAAATATAGAACTGCTATAGCATAAATGACCACTTTCTTCAATTAATAAGTGGCACATTAAAAATATACTTATATATATAATTGTTATAGATAAAAAAACAACAAAATGGCTGGGTGTGGTGGCTCACACCTGTAATCCCAGCACTTTGGGAGGCCAAGGCGGGCAGATCACAAGGTCAGGAGATTGAGACCATCCTGGCCAACATGGTGAAACCTCGTCTCTACTAAAAATAGAAAAATTAGCTGGCGTGCGTCTGTAGTCCCAGCTACTTGGGAGGCTGAGGCAGGAGAATCACTTGAATCCGGGAGGCGGAGGTTGCAGTGAGCCATGATCGGACCACTGCACTCCAGCCAGGGTGACAGAGCAACACTACGTCTCAAACAAACAAAAACACAACAACAAAATAAAGCTTAAGGAATATCAACCAAATGCAATATATGAGCCCTATTTAGGATACTATAAAAAGACATTCACAATAACACAGGCAAAATGAACATAAACTAGGTATAGGTGACAGAGAAATCCAATAAACATTGAATTATTCACTGGGGAAAGAAATGATGTGTGGGATTTAAGTCTCTAACTCTCCCCTAGTTACGCCAAAAGATTGTCCATGAGTTGAAAACTGTTAGAGATGGGTGACAACTCAAGAGAGATTATAGCGTCTTCCTTGTGCTTGTAAATGTCAAAAATAAAAGTAATTTAAAACTAAAACAAAAACGAAACCATAATTCTTAAGATGCAGCTTGAATTCAGTTAACTATAGCAGTTGTATATGAAGCATTTCAAAGAAGTTAATGACATCACAGTATTAAATCCATCTGACATGGAAACCAACTCTAACTACATCATAGTTTTTTGTTTTTTTTTTTTGAGATGGAGTCTCGCTCTGCCATCAGGCTGGAGTACAGTGGCGTGACACATCACTGCAACCTCCGCCTCGTGAGTTCAAGCGACTCTGCTGCCTCAGCCTCCTGAGTAGCTGGGACTACAGGCGCATGCCACCACGTCCAGCTAATTTTTGTATTTTTAGTAGAGACGAGATTTCACCATGTTGGCCAGGATGGTCTCGGTATCTTGATCTTGTGATCCGCCTGCCTCGGCCTCCCAAAGTGGTGGGATTATAGGCGTGAACCACCGGCGCCTGGCCTATGGCACAGTTTTAAAACTGCATTTGCCTAGAAAGTGGACTGCTGTATATAGACCAAGTGTTGGGCTCTATGGCTCCATTGTCTTAGGCTATTTGGGGTTGGAGGAAGGAAGAGGCGTGAAGTAGAAAAGGAACAAGCTAATAAATGTTTTTTAAAAAGTAGAATTTAAAACAAAACCACGTTCAGCTGAACACCAGAACTCAACCCCAGGATAAAAATCCAATTTTCAAAGAGCTAGAAGATCAAGCTAAGCACTTATTGTATTTTGCTGAACGTTAAAATTATATAAATGTACTACAGTTGCCTCAAGATGTTAAAAAGTCAGCTTTTCAAATCTAGTCACGGCCTACTCATATGACAGACCCAATTCAAATGAGCAAAATTGAAAAGTTACACATACAGACAACTTCTCAACCACCAGGCTGTTTAGTTTAAGTTAGAAGTCAGAAGTTCTGAGACTCTCCTTTTACCCACCTTGAGCAACCGCAGCAAGTTTTCCCTTTTCTTCAGGGCTGAGCTGCAACATCGTATTTATAACAGGAAGAAGTCTCTCTCTTTCACTACCTGGCTTCAAGAAAATGAACTGCAGCAAGACGTTCTTCAAGTATTCCAGGTTAGCTGCAGACTTCTCTCGCTCTTGATTCCTTTCCAATCTTCTTATTTCACTTTTGAGAAGCTGGTGTTAGAGAAATGAGTTAAAAATGGGCTTTAGGAGCTTCTGATTAAATATGGCAGACTGAACTCATGTATTTTTCTTCTCTTCCCCCCAAATTTCCCCCTTCCCTCCATATGGCAATAAAGGAAGGAATTCAGTTAACTACAGCAGCTGCATGTGAAGCATTTCAAAGGAGTTTATGACATCACCGTATAAAATCCATTTGACATGAAAACCGGAACTCCAACTATGAGATAGTTTCAAAGCTGCATTTGCCTAGAAAGTGGATTGCTGCATATGAACCAAGTGTTGGGCTATAGGACTCCATTGTCCTAAGCTATTTGGGGTTGGAAGGAAGAGGGGCGAAGTAGAAAAGCAACAAGCTAATACAAGAGGAGAAAAAGTAGATGAGACACATCAAGAAATTCTCACGAGAAACAGATGAAGAGGTGGAAATGAGTCAGTCCAGCAGCTTACCAAGTATCACTGACAAGAGGAGAGGATGCATCCTGTGTAAATACTGGGGTTCTTGTCTCAGAAGCACAGGGTATCATGGAAATGGAGTTGAAAGCTGGGGAACTGATGGAACGTCTCCATGAGGAGCAACTAACTGGAGCCATGGGTTGGTACCAAGATGTTCCCTCTGCCTTCTACTTTCGATAGAAACTAAGCCAGTATGGCATGGGGCTCTGAAAATGGGCTGAGGGGAACATCGGCAGCCTCCACTAACCCCCTGCCCCTACCCTGTTCCTAAAGTCCCAGGCAGTTAAGACGTCCACAGTGAACGGCACTTAATCAAAACAAAAGTTCAGACACAGTGAAAATTCAGGAATATAAGACAATGTAAAACACTATCAGAGAAATGAGGCAAAGAACACTATAAAAAAGGTAATATCATGTTCAAGTCTTTGAGGAAGATTTCCAGGTTGAAACCAAGCCATAGCTTTTAGTATATTTTCATTTTAGGTTAGGCAAGAAAGTTAGCGAACTTTGTCCTCAAACCTAGGACCATTTAAAAAAGTGACAATAAAGAAGACGAAGAAATCATGAAGAGAGTACAAATTTATGAAAATATAACATTTGGCCAGGCGTGGTGGCTCATGCCTGTAATCCCAACACTTTGGGAGGCTGAGGCAGGCAGATCACGAGGTCAGGAGATTCAGACTGTCCTGGCCAACATGGTGAAACTGTGTCTCTAGTAAAATAAAAAAAATTAGCCGGGCATGGTGGTGCATGCCTGCAGTCCCAGCTACTCGGGAGGCTGAGGCAGGGGAATCGCTTGAACCTGGGAGGCGGAGATTGCAGTGAGCTGAGATTGCACCACTGCACTCCAAACCTGGTGACAGAGCGAGACTGTCTCAAAAAAAAAAAAAAAAAGAAAATATAACATTTAAATAAGTCATTTAGGTTTACTGGGCTAGTTAGTGATTTGTTAGCTATGATAATGTTTTTATTAGTGGGAAAATGTTATTTTATAGAGATGCATACTGAAGTATTTAATGGTGGAATGTCATGATATATACAATTTACTGAAAATAACTGAATTCGGCTTTAAAATAATCTGACAAGGATAGCTAGTGGCCTTGCACAGTGGCAGGACAGATCTATTAGGAGCAGCAAAGTACAGGGGAAAAGCATGTACTTTTCAGACAGCTATGAGTTTGAATTTTGTTCCACCATTTACCAGCTTCAATTTTTCTCTCAACCAGTGATGAGATTAAATAACGTATGTAAAGCCCAGGGCCTGGGTCATAAGAACTCCTCAACAAGCAGTATGACTATATTCTGAGGGGTGATTTATCAGTGAGCCAGGGTGGAAAAACCTCATTTGAGTAATCCTCAACTGTTCTGCAACATTCCTAGATGTTTCTGGTGTCTACTTTAAACAGGAAAAACTTCCCATGCCACTTTGCCATCTCCACCTGAAAACTGTTTAGTAGTTCAGTACTATAAATATCAGTTGAATAATTTAAATTCACTGGTTATCTTTAGAATTCAAAGACTCACACCCATTTTTTATTTAAGCATATGTGAACAATGATTTGTGAACATCTCTCTAGTTTCTAAATCTATTACGGTTTCTTAGGAAAAGTAGGAATTAAGAAATAATCTTTATGTAATAGGTGTAAAAGAAGTATTTTGGCTGGATGCGGTGGCTCACACCTGTAATACCCGCACTTTGGGAGGCCAAGGCAGGTGGATCACGAGGTCAGGAGATCGAGACCATCCTGGCTAACATGGTAAACCCTGTCTCTACTAAAAATGCAAAGAAATTAGCCAGGCATGTTGGCGGGCACCTGTAGTCCCAGCTACTCGGGAGGCTGAGGCAGGAGAATGGCGTGAACCTGGGAGGTGGAGCTTGCAGTGAGCTAAGATCGTGCCACTGCACTCCAGCCTGGGTGACAGAGCAAGACTGTCTCAAAAAAAAAAAAAAAAGGCAATATTTCTCACCATCAGGAATCTAATATAAAGATCAAGACGTTATAGATGCATCTGCAATGTGAATTTTTAAACTTGGGTGCATGTGTGTGGAGGGTCCAGAAAACCAAACTGGCGGTTTTCACGGTGGCCAGGTTTTCTGATCTCACCTTAATTTGCTCCATAAGGACTGCATTGGTTGCCTCTATTTCCCGAAGCAGGCCGTTTAAGTGATCTGCACTTTTTGTGGTGGAACGGAGCTTCTGAACCAATTCTTCTTTGGTAAATTCAGCATGCCATAATGGAGGCTCTGCAAGATGTTGTTCCAAGAATTAATTTTCAAAATCATACATTACAGATGAAGATTCTAAATAAGAAAAATCTAAATATAAATATCTTACTATGTGATATTTTATAGGTCTGCTTTCTTTGCCATTCATCTATTCAGCATACCTCAATCAACAGATTATATGTTGTAGGTGACACAAATAAAACAGTATCTCTGTTGTAAAGCATGTAATCTAACTGAATAAAGCCCTATGAATCCCAGTTCTGAAATTTGTCAGAATTGTGTTTATAGACAGTTTTATTACACATCTTCTTCCCATCTATTAATATTCCAAGATTTTATGTCATTTCACGTATAAGGAAAGCATTAACATTTACTGGTCACGTATCATGTTCCCTCATAAGAATCTTCTATCAGGCGGGGTAGGTATCATTATTCAAACTTTACAGATGATGAAACAGGCTCACAGTTGACAGGTAATTTTTTCAGAAATCACAAAGTCAAATTGGCTTCTGGAGTCTGCTGCTCTATCATGATGCCTCCGTGTCACCACTATTAACTTTGCCTGAAGGAACCATGACTTGCAGTTTCTACCCCACGTGGTCAGTGACCATGAATACAAATGACCCTTACTCCAGGTGATTCTGAAGTTTCAGGAAGATGACAGATTCCCCCTAAATTTTGAACAGTAATATTAATTACAAGTAATAAAATATACCAAAACATCACTACAAAAATTTAGCATTACTTCATCAAGAGGAATAAACTGAAACTGTCAGTTTCTTGGAAGGGTGAGAGGATAGTTTATCCTGCTTTCTAATACCCACCACCTATTTGTGACTATAAACTTCCCACCACTTATTTATGGTTCAAGCCTAGGGCAAGAGCTAGCATTTTATTTTAAAAAAGATTTGTTTAATAATTTTTCCATTTGGACAGTGTGATGGTTAATACTGGGTGTCAACCTGATTGGATTAAAGGATGCAAAGTATTAATCCGAGTGTTGTCTGTGAGGGTGTTGCCAAAGGGATTAACATTTGAGTCAGTGGGCTGGGGAAGGCAGACCCACCCTTAATCTGGTAGGTGCCATCTAATCAGCTGCCAGCGAATATAAAGCAGGCAGAAAAACCTGAAAAGGCGAGACTGGCCTAGCCTCCCAAGCTACATCTTTCTCCTGTGCTGGATGCTTCCTGCCCTTGAACATCAGACTCCTAGTTCTTCAGTTTTGGAACTTGGACTGGCTCTCATTGCTCCTCAGTCTGCAGATGGCCTAGTGATCGTGTAAGGTAATACTTAATAAGCATCCATCCATCCATCCCATCCATCCATCCAACCATCCAATTAGTTCTGTCCCTCTAGAGAACCCTAATACAAACAGGTAGTGGAATATTGAAAGAAATTTTATTGGAGCAGCCCAAAAAAGCATATGTACCTTAGAGTAATAGTAATTAAATAAGACAGTGAAATTAAAGAAGAAGAACATATTTAGACAGAGTAACAGACCAAGTTTAGTTTCGGGAGAATTAAGCAGCTGCTCTAAAGACTGTGTGTATGTGCTGGCGGAAGACACAGACTCCGTATCAGTTGTCTCCATGCCTTCTCCCTCTTCCTGGGTTACAGTGTGCATGTCTAGAAGCGGGAGGTCTGTGTTTCTCCTTTCTCGAAGGTTCTTCAAAGATTGTTGAGAGGAAACTGGGCCTATTAGATTTTTTTTAAAGGTTAAGTGTGAGATTGTTCAAAATCTATTGATTCGGCCTTACAGAGGTACACAATAAAATGAAAATATCAAATGATAAGAGTAGAGGAATTAAGTAACTATAAGTGAAAGGTGTATGAAGAATTGCTAAAACATTTCTTAAAATTTAGTCATCAAGGCCGGGCGTGGTGGCTCAAATCTGTAATCCTAGCAGTTTGGGAGGCTAAGGTGGGTGGATCACGAGGTCAGCAAGTTCAAGACCAGCCTGGCCAAGATGGTGAAACCCTATCTCTACTAAAAATACAAAAATTAGCCAGGCACAGTGGCAGGTGCCTGTAATCCCAGCTGCTGGGGAGGCTGAGGCAGAGAATTGCTGGAAACCAGGAGGCGGAGGTTGCAGTGAGCCAAGATCACGCCACCGCACTCCAGCCTGGCGACAGAGCGAGACGCCAGCTCAAAAAAAAAAAACAACAAAAAAAAACTTACTCATCAAACTTTTAACTACGTTAGTCATTTTAATAGCAGCTATAAATTAATTGCTACTAGCTAAGATAAACTGTTAGATAACACAGCTCATAATATAGTACTACTTATTTTTTATTAATTTAGAGTAGAGGGCCAAACTACTGCTAAATACTGGCCAAAATTAAAAGACTAGATTCTAGAAATTTTTCAGGATTAGGTATTTCAGATTGCTGCATACTTCTTGAAACACACTTGCTGAAATCTGCTTGGTAGACATCCTCAATCACTGCCCTTATACCTTTACCTCTGCAGCTTCTTAATTGTTGCTGCTCACACCTACAGTGCTCATACAGTTAAGAGCCCAGAATCCAGGGCACGGAACTAATCAATTACATTGCCTAGCAAGACTTTCCTGTTTGCTGATAAACTGTAAAGTGTTATTTTTTCTGAGACAGGGTCTCACTCTGTCACACAGGTTGGAGTGCAGTGGCACGATCTTGGCTCACAGCAACCTCTGCCTCCCAGGCTCAGGCCATCCTCCCACCTCAGCCCCACAAGTAGCTGGGACTTCCAGGTGCATGCCATCCCGCCCAGATAATTTTTGTACTTTTAATAGAGATGGGATTTCACCATGTTGTTCAGACTGGTCTCAAACTCCTGGCCTCATGTGATCCAACTGCTTTGGCTCCCAAAGTGCTCAGATTGCAGGGGTGAGACACCACGCCTGGTCTAAACTGTAAAGTTTACCAGGCCCTTTGACATGTATTGGTTTATTGACTCCCAAAAATCTGAAGTTCAGAGAAATTTAATGACTTTGCCCAAGGTCTCATAACTGAGTTAGAAACCAGAATTGTAATCTAGATTTTTATTTAAACTTCAGATTTCATTTATTTTGCATTTCATTAAATTGCCTTAGTCCTGACTGCCCTTTCTGAAGCATTTTCCTGGGTTTCTGGTAAGCTGACTGCTTATTCCACTGCTGATTGCTAGATTACAATCTCTTGTGCGACCTTTGCCCTGGCTGATTACTTCCTTTGTTGATTCTTTGGCATATATTAAATTCTTCTGAAGTTGCTTTTTTACCCTAATAAGTGACCGATAGCTGCTAATGCTCCAGTGACAATATTTCCCATGGGAAACCAAAACACCATCAACTTGCTACTAAAATACTGCATCATCATGGCTGACATTTTTCCATTTCTTCCTGGAAGCAGAATGGAAGATACTGGGTACGGCTGAACTAAAACTCCAACTAATTGTAAATGTGAAAGCAAAGAAGCTATATTGGTTATGCAATTCTACACATTCAGTGCCGCTTGAGTGTTTCTAAGTTCCTTGCTCTAGCTAATGTTTCTATTTAAAAAGTAGACAAATTTGATGACTAACAACGGAGAACACGAAACAAATCTGGTGAATACCAGAATTAAGACATGTGTCAGCCAGGCGCAGTGGCTCATGCCTGTAATCCCAGCACTTTGGGAGGCCGAGGCGGGTGGATCACGAGGTCAGGAGACCGAGACTATCTGAGGGAGAATCTTCAGGTTTTTTCTTCTCTTTTGCTGTAACACCAGTCAAAAAAGTTGACAAAGATAAGGTATTAAGTATTGACGTTAATACTCTACCTGAAAATAAAAACCATGGAACCTATCTATAGGTTAAAACAGCATACTGATAAAAAACACATATACTTTGATGCAGAGATGTACGATAATCATGAATTAGAATTAGCATCCTGATTTAGTGTTCTACCAAAAACCCTAAGTGAACACAGAATCTATTTAAAACCAAAGAAAACAAAAAAAATCTTGTGTTTACTTAATAGTCATTGAAAAGAATTACTACAAAATTTCTAGAATTTAAAAAGGTTAAAAATTTTAAAGTGTTGCCTAACTATACTTAGCATACAATAGTTTACCAAAATATCCACGCATTTGCAGCAATTGAAAAAAATCTTAAAACATAAGCAAGTATTAGTATACATATGAAACTAATCCAAAGCCAACTGTGATTAGTTCCTGTAAGGAAAGTTAACAATTGCCAAGAATGGAAGGTGACTAGAGTTGCATCTAGTTTGCCTGTGTTCAAGCATGATACTAGATAAAATTAAATAAAAACTGTGACTCTATGGGTAGCTAATACTATAAAATCTAAGACCATTCATATGGCTGAAAACAACCCATCCCCAGCCACCATCAATGCAAAGGGCAAAAAATTAGAAACAGAAAAAACTTCTATATGCAACCTGTTCTGATCTATTAATGTAAAGAAGAACTTCTGGCTAAAGGAGTTTAATAAAGTAAGCCAGTTATGAAGCATGCCATGTATACCAACTGGTGACAGGGAAACATTCTGAGAGCTATGGTGTCCAATATGGTAGCCTAGCCACATTCTATTAAAACCTCACAAGGTGGCTAGTCCAAATCAAGACATGCTAACAGTAAGTGTAAACACACACACTGGATTTTGAAGACTTGGTGAAAAACAATAATGTAAAATATCGTTAATTTTTATATTAATTAGAAGTTAAAATGATATTTTGGACATAATGAGTTAAATCAAATCTATCAATAAAGTTACTTTCATCTGTTTCCCTTTTTAACTGTTTCTTTTTATTCTTTTTAATATGGCTACTAGAAAATTTATTTATTTATGTATTTATTTGAGATGCGGTCTTCCTTTGTCACCTTTGTCACCCAGAGCTGGAGTGCAGTGATGTGATCATAGTTCACTGAAGCCTGGAACTTGTGGGCTCAAGTGATCCCTCTGCCTCAGCCTCCCAAGTAACTGGGATTATAGGCACCAGCCATTGCACCAAATGACAATTTTAAATTACATACACAGGTTATATTTTATTTCTATTGGATGACACTGCTCTGCAGAACCAGTGCCCTTCCTTTTACAATGTTAAATCTGTCCCTCTCCTTCATTATAAACAAAAACTTAGTATCATTTCCTAGCTAGGAGAAATAACAGTACACCATAAGATACAGATTCTTGTTCCACTTCTGCTATTACTCAGTAAAGACCCCTTGGGTAAATCAGATAGCCTCTCTTGGCCTCAGTTTACTCATGTCTAAAGTCTTCATTTCTAAGGTCCCTTGGGACAATGACATTATCAGATTCAAAACAGAATAAGGCTCTATGTTCTACAGTAGTGTATAGGCACATTCGTTCTTAGCTCAGGGATTCTTAACCTAGAGCTCACAGAAACTGTACGCAAGTATACATCCACTTTTAAGTTAACACTTTTCACATTTCTCAAAGACCGTATCTTTAAAATAAAAGATTAAGAGCTACCTTAGCTGGTAATAAAACTGGTATACTTAAAAAAAAATCAGAGATTGTTACTTTATCATTGTACTTGTTTGGCATGGCTAAGATGTGTTACTGGTCACTAAGGGTGAGATTTCACTTCCCTAACCTGTTCTTGAAGGCCTTCAACAGATCCCACTTCTTGTTCCACTCTAGTAGCCACACTTCTAAAAATGATCTGTGCAACATATATAATATGCAAGCTGTAGAATGCTGGCTGTTAAAAATGGGGTCCATTTTCAAATACAACATTTTTCTAAACCATGCACAAAAGAACAGCCCTACAGGGACACTCTTCCATACTGTATACATGCCGTTGCCACTACATGTGAATACTGGCAGACGTTAGTGGCTAAAGATAAACATTAGATAAAACATAGGTCTTCATTGAGCAGACCTGAAATAGCAGAGCAATGAAGTACATTACAAATCAGCATCCCACTACATTTTAAAAAACAAACCAACAAGGGTGTCATGCCACCAGTCAAAAGGTACTTTGCTTAAACTGGCATTCTTTAACATGCATGTTGTAGTGGTAAGTACTTCATTTCATACAGCCACAGTAATTAATACTTTGCTAAGGGCTACCCAGCTGCTAAAAACTGCTGTTATCTCATACTGAGAATGCTAGTTCTATACCTTTGCTCTCAGGCTGTGAGGAAGGGGTGCTAGTCCAAAAGGCCATGGGATTAGATTTAAAAAGGCTAAAATTAAATCCTAGAAAATAAAGAATATTTCATTTTTTAACATTTTAGGAAACAAAATGAATATGCTTTTAAAACATAAAAAGCCAGAATCCCTCAATTTATACCACCAATCTGACTGTCTTACATATTCATTTATCCCTGTAGTTTCATTCTTTGCTCATTTAATACATGAGCAAGACTGACATACAACACATAAAATGAGAACATCTCAATATCATGTTTTTTTTTGTTTTTTGTTTTTTGTTTTTTTTGGAGACAAAGTCTCACTCAGTCACTCAGTCAGGCTGGAGTGCAGTGGCATGATTTCAGCTCACTGCTACCTCCATCTCCTGTGCTCAAGCGATCCTCCTGCCTCAACCTCCTGAGTAGCTGCTAATTATAGGCACGCACCACCATGCCCGGCTCATTTTTGTATTTTCAGTAGAAACAGGGTTTCACCATGTTGGCCAGGCTGGTCTCGAACTCCTGAGCTCAAGTGATCTGCCCACCTCAACCTCCCAAAGTGCTGGCATTCTAGGAGTGAGCCACCGTGCCCAGCCTCAATATCATGTTTTCTGAGTGACAAAAGAAACAGAACAAATGAAAATGAACACTTTAAAAAAAGACTCACGTTAATGCGCATGATTCAAGCATGAGTCCGTACACTGTACCAAGTTCTTTTGCTCTGCCCTAGCATGATAGAAGTATCTTCCAGTTACTGAAATGTCTTTAACTAAGTTCTCTTGCTCTTTGAAACCTCACCGTGAACTTATTAAGGGAGAAAAAAAATTGCTCAAATATTTTGGGGGTGTTCACAAAGCATCGTTTATATCCCAACATTAGTATCCCACAAAGAGTCTGCATCAAGCTAAACATTAAAAGAAAGAAAAATTGTGCTTAACTTTAACAACAAAGTACCTACCCTTTTCTGGTGTTTTAAATGTGTAGTTGATTGAAGATTCTTCCGTTGGAAAGGAAGCAGAGAGATTTTTGACTTTGCTATCTGAAGACTGTTCGATATCAGAGTTCTTTGACAGTTCACATTTTTTAGGTTCCACTTTGCTTTCAGATCCACTCTGGGCTACTGAACTAGTTTCACTATTGTTACTTTTCAAAGGTGCATTAAAACTAAATCCAAACAAAGACCCAGTGGCAGAACTGTTGCCAAATACAAATGGTTTTGATTTTTCACTACTAAAAATTCTTTTAACAGACTCTGAAACAAATACAAACTTTGGAGGAGAAACCACTGCTTTTGTTGTTGTTTCAGATGTGCTAGACACTTCAACTTCTGAAGCTGCATCTGCTACATCATCACCCTGAATAACATCTGTCCTCTCTCTTGTGGTTTCTTCTAATATAGCTACAGCAATTTTGCCACATGGTGACTCTCTGGGAGTGCTTGACCGAGAAACATGAGGTGTTATCAAAGAATCTTTTTCCTGGGCTGTTTTTGCTTCATCAAAAATTTTCTTAAACGAGTCTGCAACATCCTGTAGTTTAAAACGAACAGCTAAATGCTCTACTTTTCTTTCTCCATCTGCAAAATCACATGCAGTCCACACCCATACTCTTTCTGTCCCTTTCATATTTTGCAAACTCATGTCTGGAGTTATTCTGTGATTGGCACAAAGTTTTAATACTTGGTCCCTTCTCATCACTATACGAACTTGCTTATTATCATAATTCTGTAAAATCTTTATATCACCAATGCCCCTTTCTTTCCATTGACCAACATCTTTATCATATCTGTAGATTTCTGCCCTGTGACTAAAAACAACTTGTTCATTTTCCTCACCACTGGATACTTCAACTAGATCAGGTAAAGGAACAACAGGTTCAAAGTACTGTCCATCTCTCTCTTCTTCTTGAGTAACAACAGATTCTTCATCAGTGCCAACTGAAGTCCCACTCTGATTCAACTTGGCAGGAGACTTAGATAGACTCAAAGCAGATTTAAAACTGAAGTTAGATCCTGTTGTTGACTCATCAAAGCGGAAAAGATTTTTTCTCACAGGGCTACTTGCCAATGGAGAAGCATGTACTGAGCTACTACTGACACTATCATCCAAAGCATCTTCCCTTAAGTCATAGTTATCCCATTCTAATGTGGGCCCAGTGTTTTCAGCATTGGGTTTTATTGTTGTGTCTGAGGCACCGGCCGCACCTGTACCTGAACCCTTATTTTCTTCCTCAGTGACTTTTGTTTGATCATTTGTCAAAAATGTTTTGAAATCTTTCAGTCCACTCTTCATTTCTTCAGCTCTCTGTATTAACTTGGCAGCTCTGCCAGTATCTACAAGTTTATGGGGAGTTTGAAGTGGTATGTCTAACAGAAGCCGCTGGCATTCCTCAAATTTCTGCTTGAATTCTTCAGCCAGCTCTGGTGTTTTAAATTTTGCTGCCAACCGCTCTAGTTTGGCATCACCGTCAGAGAAATCACTGGCTGACCACATCCATGCTCTATCTGATCCAGAGAGGGGCTTCAGGTTCATTGTAGTCGTTATCCAATGATTAGCACACACTTTTAGTACTTGTTCTCTTCGCATCAGCATTCTTAGTTTGCCATTGACCTCGTTTTTGAGAATTTTTAAGTTCCCCAAGCCCCTTTCTTTCCACTGCCTTACCTCAGCATCAAATCTAAATAGTTTTACCCCCTGTGAATACAGAACTTTTTCACCTTCTTCTCCTGTTACAAGTTCTACTTTTTCAGGCATTTGAACTACTGGTTCAAAATGGATGTCATCGCTGTCCTCAGTCTTATAGGCATCATCATCTTTCTCAAAGTCACCGGAAGTGTTTGCTTTATTGGCCATTTTACCGTATCGTGATGAGAATAATTTTTCTCCAGCACCTGAAAATCCCTTGAAATTGAGGTCTTTTTTGCCAAACTGAAATCCTTCTCCTGAAGTTGATTTTGCAACATCTGCAAATGTAAAAGTGCTACTTGTTTGGCCAAAAATCACACCACGGCCCTTCTTCCGGCCACTAATATCCTGAGCCTGGAAGCCAGTATCATTTTCAAGAGGCTTTTCCCTTTTCTTTTCTTGATTTCCTGGTTCCGAAATGCCAAATTTAAATCCATCAGCAGACACAGGGATGGAAAATCCTTCTTTGGTTGACTTAAATTCTGTATTAGAAGAACCCTGAAACATAAATGAAGGTGAATTTTCTTGATCCACATGCCCAAAATAGTCATGAAATAAATACCTTCTTCATTCCTAAACAATTTATCAAATGATGTTAACAATAATGATGATGATGATGATGATAACATTTATTGAGCATTCATTAATGTGCCAGCTGGGCACTGTTCTAAGCACTTTACATTATTATCTCATTTTAATATCCTCAAAAACCCTATGAATTAAGGTATTATTATTATCCTCATTTTACATATGAGGCAACTGATGCATTGAGAGGTTAAGAAACTTGCCTGTGGTCAAAATAAGCAGAAGAGCAAGGGTCTAAATGCACCCCAACACTCTGTCCTCAAAGCTGTCACATTCAACTACCACTGTAATATTGAGTCTTCAATCAATTGTTATATATATAGCTGTATCAGGCCTGAAAGTACTTACCACATAGTGGGTCAGCAAGGGCATTACAGTTCTATTTCTGTTAAAACAGAACGATGAAGGATCCACCACCACCACTCCCATTTTTAAAATATTCTAAATATTCACACTTACTAACACAAAAATAAGGTGACTAAGAAGGATAATTTCTGTATTTGGAGATAAATTTAAAATATCTACATTTTAAGGGACATAAAAGTTTTAATAGTGAACTGCTCTCTTGAATTTATTTGAAGGAACCCTAAACAATTTAAAAAGAAAATAATTATAAATGTATAAATTATTCCTTTGTTACCTTTGTGGGAGTAACATTAGCTGCTGGTCTGAGAAGATACTGGGAATTATATGCTGGTGACTGACTATAATATACTGAAGGGCCAGTAGTTGCAACTGAAAAAAAAAAAAGAAAAGAAAACACTGTTAAAGTCTATACTACAGTTAAGACTATCTAGGCAAGAGCTATAAATACAAAAGCAATAGAAGTTAAAGAAAGATTTAACTACATAAATTTTAAATTTCTGTACATCAAAATACACCAATCAAGATTATCAAATGACAAACTAGAAAAAAATTGCTAAATATGACATGAAGAATGAGAGAATAGCATCGCTGTGATCAACAAGAACTACCTCGCAAGCATTAAAAAAGGAATAAAGAAGATAGTAACTGTTGCCTTTTCTAAGAAAGATCAGTATGATGTGGAATTATGGACATTCAGTCACAGAAAGGACGTAAGGAACCAAGATGCCATCTGATAGTCAATGCATTTGAAGTGGGCCTAGAAAATCTGCAGAAAGACTAGGTTGTATTTTGTAAACTAAAGCTATTACTCAGAATGTTCAGCTCAAAAATCACCTGACAAATTCATGGAAAGGATGTCATAAATAACATAAAATGTGTTCCCTGGCTTAAAATAAAAAGCACATCAACACTCATACAGATGTACAAACTGTCTGCTCCCTCTGTTTGGTCTGTTTTACCAGGAAACAAAATGACTAGAAGGCACCCATGTTAATGACAAAACTACCAATAGTCATTTGCTTGAACTGTTTTATGATAGTTTTACCAGAAAACAACCAAAAGACCTTTTATGCCTGTACATGGAAGGAGAAACAGAAACTGTGCCAAGAGGTTCCAAACAATTGCCTCTGGAAAGCACTGAAAAATCAAGACCTAGAAAAGGCTAGCCAGAAGCCCAAGTTTGATTTCGGAAACCTTACAGAGGTGAGGATAGCTATTTTGAAATTACTATGGGGAGGAAGCAGGCACAGAACACAGAACAACCTGACAGAAATGGCCCAAGAATCTTAAAGTCTTGCAAGATGTCTGTCTGCATGAAAGCAAAAAGAAAAAATAAAATATTAAATAAAAAAAAATCTTAGTCTGAAGTTTAAGTAGGGACTTTAATTGACTACTGACTCTAAACTGTGCGGCTCTAATAAATCTACTAAAAGTAATCTAATTTTTTAAAGCACCATATGAATAGACAATTTAGGAAAGAAATGTTAATAGGCCTCAAGGAACATGTTTTTGAAGTGAGCCTTGAAAATCTGCAAAATGACGAGGTTGCATTGTGCAAATTGAAGCTATTATGAGAATGTTCAGGTCAAAAAAATTACCTGACAAATTCACGCACAGGATCTCACAAGGAACACAAATGTGTTCGTTGGCTTTAAAAAAATCACATTAACATTCATGTTGATATACAAAAACTCTTCTCCATCTGTTTTGTGTGAGTTTTACCAAGAAACCAAACAACTGGAAGGTACGTTGAAGATGGCAAAACTACCAACTGCCATTTGCATGAATTGTTGAGCATGACTAGTATTAAAAAAACTTAAAAATTGATATCACTTTTGTTCCTACAAATTGGCAAAGGATTTTATAAACTAGTAAGTCAGCATTAGCAAAAGTGCGAAAATGGCACTATCAGATACTAGCGGTAAGAGCATAAACTGAATATTTTGAATACCCTACAAAACTAGGACAGTGTCCTAGAATTTGTAATGGCATAAACCAGAAACAACATAAATAAAGGAACAGAATTTACAGTACTTCCATGTGATGGGATACCATGAACTCATTAATATTCAAAAAACATTTAAGTTTAAAAATGCTCAGAACTAAAGTAACATTTTAAAAACAGGCTAGCTCATCTACACACAACATAGTAACATGGTAACAATCTCATAAAAAATACTATATGTATAGAGAAAGAACCAGAAGGAAATGCTCTCAAATATAAGAAATGTTAATGAGGTGGTTAGCTTTTAGTTTTCTTCACCCTGTTCAGTACTTCTGAGTATCTCCTATGAGCTCATTAATCTTTAATTTTAATCATCTTATTTTAAAAAAACAAGGACCATCTTGATATATGTTTACTTTTATTAAGGAAAAAGAATCTATGAACACAGGAACAGAAATCAGGAGATCTTGGCTCTCGCCCTTTCAGTGCCACAAAGCTGTTTTGTGAACCTGTAAATAATCCATTTGGAGTCTCCATGTTTCTCAATTGTAAAATGACGATGTGCTGCTTCTACACATTTCACAGGGTCATTGCAAGAATAAAATGAGACAATGAGAATGTTGGATTTACATGCTTGTATAAGAACAGAAGACCTTTTATGCCTGTACACAGAAGAAATGGAAATCATGACCCACAAGGCACCAAATAACTGACTGCACACATCACTAAAAAAGCCCCAGGAAAGGCTAGCCGGTTTGTTTATCCTCTTACAAGGACCTATATGATGTGTAAGGTTTTAAGAAAACAAGGTTTGAACGTTAGACATTTCATATACTTATCTATGACTTACGACATTTAATAAGCTTGACTTCACAAAGATTTTCTGTTATTTTGCTTGTGTTGAGAAGATACTATCACAAAAGGCTAGTGGGGTTGCCTTAACTATAGGAACCATCACACAAATGTGCTCATCTAAACTAGATTTTTTTCTAAATCTTTCCTGGGCTAAAAAGAGAAAAAAAAAAAGGGCACTACTACTACCATTTCAGAAGTCTGTCGTACGTAAAAGGAACAATTTTGTTATTTCTGGCTGCCTGGGAGCAATGTATTATACTGGCAAGTGCTTTGGAGTTACACCACTGGAGTGTGAATCTCGGCTCTATCAATAACTAGCTGTATAATAATGAGTAAGTTACCTAACCTTTCTTTATCCATTTCCTTATTTATAAAAAAGGGATTAATAATGGTACCGGCCATTCTAAGTTACTGTAATTAAATCAAATTACATTCACACAGCACTTTTGCACACAGCCAACCCACAGTAAACACTATTAGTAACCTTAGTTCATTAACTGTTTACTGTATACTCTAATAAATGTCTGATACACACCCACGCCCACCTGCACATACACAAATGCTCATAGTAATTATGTAAGGCAAGTATTATCTCCACATTTCAGACAGGTTAACTTACACAGCTATTATAGTAAGTGATAGAGCAGAACTTAAAAACCCAGTATGATTCAGGTCCAAACTCCTTTTCTTTCTTTATATAACCATAATATTTCAAATTAAGTAAGATTTCCTATATAACGTCCTGCCTCTCATCATTATCATCAAAATAATTCCCCAGAGGTGTAGGTTCTTAATTAAGCATTTCTTAGTGCATAACTCTATTCAATAACATTTTGCAATTTAAGGAATAATCTCATCTCAGCTCATCTGAGGTGTGGATTAAGTGTTCTTTAAGCCTTTATATACACGTGATCACATACGGCTCGTTTTTTCTGCTTGGGATTATAAAAATCTCCGTAACACCTAATACAGCTTTTGAAGTCACATATAAACAGACGTTGACATGTATATTAACAAACATATATAAACAAGGTGATTTCACACGTTATCTACTTAAAAGAGGGAAGTAAAGTAGTTTTACTAAAATATGCGATTATCCACTTGCCAGCTCACCTGTTAGTGGAGCCCCATGAAATGTCTGTGACCCCTGATATCCATCAGGCACCGAGTCTGGTCCATAATTCTCTGTGGGCCAACGATGACGGGATGCTGACTTACTGCTATTTAGTTTCAACTCCTGCATTTCTTTCTATTGGAAGAAAAAAAAAATCAAATAATTTTAATCATTTAATTATATCATGCCAGAAACAGTGCTGGGGAAACTTACTCTTTTAAATTTAAATAACTGATTTTTTCTTTTTTTCTTTTTTGAGATGGTGTCTCGATCTGTCGTCCAGGCTGGAGTGCAATGGCACAATCTTGGCTCACCGCAACCTCCACCTCCTGGGCTCAAGCAATTCTCCCACCTCAGCCTCCCGAGTAGCTGGGATTACAGGCGTCAGCCAGCACGCCCGGCTAATTTTTGGTATAATAGTAGAGATGGGGTTTCACCATGTTTGCCAGGCTAGTCTTGAACTCCTGACCTCAAGTGATCCACCACCTCAGCCTCCCAAAGTGCTGGGATTATAGGTGTGACCCACCACGCCCGGACCTGATTATATCTTTTGAAAGTTTCTATTTGCCAAAGAGTTCTAGGTACCTGGTGCTGATTTTAAAATATGATTCTTAATTTGTTAAAAATTTATCTGCTCCCATTTTCATTCGTTAATACAAAACCTAATTCATTAACTCTCTCACCTAAACAAATAACCTCCTAAATGATCACACCTTCATTTCCATTCTACACTTGCCTACATTAACCTTTCTGACGTTCACCTCCAGCCAAGACAATTCCCTGCTCAAAAAAACAAGTACCTACAAACTAAACTTCTTTCCCCAACTTTCACAGTCCTCTAACATTACACTGACCATCCTTTCAGTGTGTTCTTTCTACACTGCAACCTGGACTACCTGACATTCCAAATCACCTCCCCAAATTAGCTTTTCACTTAACCCTGTGTTCAAACAAAATACAACTAATTCTCAAGGTGATGTTCAAATGCTCCACCAGGAAAGGGAAAAAAGTAGTAGCTGCAGAGAATTTATTATGTATATAATAATACGTCCAATGCACTTAAACTCTTAATTTTTACACCATCTACACTGTTAGGTAAACAATATTAGCTCCTATCTTAAAATGAGAGAAACGGATGCAGGGAATAACAGCTGGAATTTGAAACACATCTGACTCCAAAAATGTTTTCTTAACACAACTCTGCTGCCTTGACAAGATGGCAGATAGATCCAATGCCGTCTAGTGTAGCTATGTGGCTACTTGATCTCTGCTGAAGAAAACTAAATGACAGCACCATACCCAACACCCTAGAACCTACAAAATGTCCCCTTACAAAACAGACACTTAACAGGAAATTCTTTTTCCAAAGAAATTGTAGTGGTATCAGAAAACAGGTAAATTTTGAAAAGTTTCAAACTTCTCTGTATCAGCCCAGGAATCCGATCAGTTCTAACAAGTGAGGTCAGGGACAGATCTAGCATGTCTGCTTTCTGTTTCTACAAGTGTTTCAATTAAAAATTTCCCAGAAAGACCTAACCATGAGGTCCAAAACTATCTCAATTTTCAAGCTAAATAAAATTTCCCCCATTCATCCATCTACAGTGCCTAGTCCAGATGCTACACATACACATCCAAGAAATAAGAAACTAGTGGAATCACCTAGAAAACTTTATAGTCACTGTTGGTATCCGCACCAGAGCTTTGAATTTGCAATCACTGCTGTAACTGTAATTTTTAACATTCAGTGTGATGAGAACTGGCTTCAATAATTCTCTCATTTTAAAGATAAGAAGCCAAACAGTCACAAAGGAAGTGACTGGCCCAAGATCATTAATTAATGGCAGAGTCAGTACTAGTACCAAGCTTTTCAAGCTCATGGACTAGTGCTCCACTATACTTCCACAGAATACAATGTTGGGAGCCTGAAACCTGTATGTTAAGTCAAAATTGTATGTAATTGTCATAGGCCACGACTACACAGAATTAACATTCAAAATTTTTGTGCAAATTCAAAAATGTCTTCCCCACCAAATAGTATTCTCTTAATTTGCAAATGCTGCTGATCACACTGTAATAATCGCCACACATCAGCATATCCTTGATGTAACTTTAGCAGTATGAGTAATTTAGTTCTTGCTTGATAAACATGAAAGAACCTACTTTTATTTCCAATTCCAAAAAAGTCAAGCTCCTTTGAACCCTATTGTTAAAATAAGATATATATACATAACTATTTCCTTACATAATTAAGTCAAATTCATATGGAAGTATTAAAATATAGTAAGACTTTTTGAAGCTCAGACCACTTTTCGATTCCTAGCTATACATTTGAAACACATGTAATCCACAGCTAATCTGGGAATGAACTCATAGACCAGAGTATGATTAGTACATTGTAGCACTTCAATCACTCGGGAACCTTCTCTGTGTCAGGAACTCTTATATTTTAAATAAAACAGTTTCTACCTTTGAAGGTCTCAAATTTTGTGGAAGATGAGGAGAGAGACACATAAAGTACTTTCAAAAATATGGTAAAGGGCTGGGTGCGGTGGTTTACACCTGTAATCCCAGCACTTTGGGAGGCCAAGGTGGGCAGATCACCTGAGGTCAGAAGTTCAAAACCAGCCTGGCCAACATGGTGAAACTCTGTGTCTACTAAAAATACAAAAATTAGCTGGGCCTGGTGGCGGGTGCCTGTAATCCCAGCTACTCGGGAGGCTGAGGCAGGAGAGTCACTTGAACCTGGGAGGTGGAGGTTGCAGTGAGCCAAGATCACACCATTGCACTCCAGACTGGGCAACAGAGTGAGACTCCATCTCAAAACAAAACAAAACAAAATATGGTAAAGGGTCAAGACCGAGGTATGTAGGCTGGGCACAGTGGCTCACACCTGCAATCCCAGCACTTTGGGAGGCTGAAGCAGGAGGATTGTTTGAGCCAGGAGTTCAAGGCCACCCTGGGCAACATGGCAAAATCCCATCTCTACAAAAAATACAACAATTAGCTGGGCCTGGTGGCATGTGACTGTCTGTAGTCCTGGCTTCGTGGCAGGCTGAGCCAAGAGGCTCTCTTGAGCTAGGAGGTTGAAGCCGCAGTAAGCTGTGATCATACCACTGTACTCCAGCCTGCACAACAGAACAAGACCCTTGTCTTAAAAAAAAAAAAAAAAGACCAAAATGTCCCCTTGCCATACTATTTGGATGGCAAGGGGACATTCTGACCAGCTTCAGAAAAAAAGTGAGAGAGTAGCCAGGGAAGGAATCTTGGAATAAAAAGTACAGCTAGAGAAATTAAGTGACTTACCTTAATGGCCTCTACTTGTTGGCAAATCATATTCAGTAAAGAATTCCGATCTTCTGTCCATCGAGGTGGTGTTTCGGGAGAATACTGAAAAAAAAAATAAAAATAACAAAACAGCATTTAAAACACTTAGAACAGAAACAATTTCACAATGAAATGATTCCATTCTTTCCTGTTTACCTTGTAACTTTTACTTGGTGATAGTGAATATTTGGTAGGAGACGGTGTAGAATGTTTTATTTCTGAATCTGCATTTCGCAAAGAACCATTTTTATAGAGAGGACCTCCTTCACTATAGTCTTCGAGTTCCTGCATGACTGAATTAAGCATCTGTTTTACAGACTCCAGGGGCACAGGCAACTAAAAATAAAAGACATTAATTAAGGGCTTTCATTTGCAAAAAATTCCAAAAGTAAAAACTCTAAAATGATATATTTTATCTTATTTACATTTTTGTCACTTTAATAAGCACTTTACACTTTAAATAATAATACACGTGAAAGTGTTTTTTAATTATCTTTTTTCTTTGTTTTTCTGTTGTTTTGTATTATTATTTTTATTTTTTTGTCTTTATTCTATTTTTTTCTTCAGGAACACAGAAAAGTGTTGTACAGTCTAACATCTTCTGATTCTAAAGTCCATGCTCTTTCTATTACTTCTGTTAACCATGATAATTGTAGAGGAATGTTAACTTGGAAAGCTTTTCCAAGTGAACAAAATAAGTTACTGATGTTTTCTAACTGATTTTCAATGGTGACAGAAATACAGATGCTACAATACACCAGACAACATAAATCCTAATAAAAGAGTAGTAACACAAATTAATCAACAAAACACTCAGAAGACTGAACATAATTTAACATCATCATGACAATCTCAAACAGCTGACAGCAAGAAAACAAGGGCGTTCATAATGGCTGATGACGATGAGAAGAAATGCTCTTAAGTTGTCAGCAACAACTTTCAATTTCAGCAAAGTTCATTAAGAATTAGTCCTGAGGTTATAATATTTGTTTTGATTACACTGCTAAGATAACAAAATCAATGTCTTATCTTAGAAATCTTTTCTAATTCCCCAAGAAGTACTTTTTAAGAGCATATACCTAGATTCCCAAGTTTAAAAAGACACACCAAACCTAAGACAAAGCAAGCAAATCTAAGCATTTAGACACACGCATCCCTTCTGTGCATTAATAACAACATATTACTGAGTATTTTTGAAATTACCAAAATATAAGACCAACGCAAAAACACTGACCAGTGGGTTATCAGTAAGAACGTACATACAACAACCTGCTACTTACTTTCTTGACCACTGAAAGATTTGAATCACCGTCATCTATAATCTTTATTAGGTAGTCCCTGGTCTTTGTCAGATAATTTCTGCATTCTTCTTGTTCTTCAGGAGAAAGGGCATCATTTTCAATGTCTTCTGCCTTCCTGTGAAAAATCTATACAAATAGTGCTTTCATGAAATCATTAGCTTTTTAAAACAAAAAACTTTCAGCTTGGCCACGCATGGTGGCTCATGCCTGTAATCCCAGCAACTCGGGAGCTGAGGCACAAGAATCGCTTGAGCCTGGGAAGCAGAGGTTGCAGTGAGCCAAGATTGTGCCACTGCACTCTAGCCTGGCCAACAGAGAAACCCCGTCTTTTAAAAAAAATAATAAATAAATAAATACAACTTTTAGCTCAAGTACTGCATCTACTTACCAGTGCAAGATTCCAATAAGAAACAACACTTTTTATAGATTCAAAAGCAGTCACAGCATCTTCTATATTTCCATTTACTGCATCCAACATAGCAAAAGTTATGTGTGCGTCTTCTTCATATTCAACAATTTCTGATGCCTAAACACATAGAATAGTTTTTAGTCAAATTGTTTATACTCAGAATATAAAACCCAAATGATTTTCCAAAGATTTTATATGATCTTAAGAGACAAACATCTCATTACTCTTCTCTGTCATATCTTATCTGTGAGAGCTAGTGAATTTAGAAAACAAGATTACCGTTAAATAACAAGGCAATTAATTTAAGCAGTTTATAGCTCCACGTCTTTGTTTATAAACTGGAAATTCCCATCTCCAATAAATTCATAAAGGAACTCTGTTACCTGAATGTCTACACTATGAAAATGTTTAAACAGAGGATCAATAGGTTCAGGAATACTGTTCTTCTTTATTATCTTCAACAATGGCAAAACTTTCTTCCAATAATGAACACTTCTCCCTATGTATTCTAGTTGACCATAAAAAGAATTAAGACCGCTGCCCTAAAAAAGAAAGTTAAAAGCACACAACTTTAAGGAACACGCATGATTAGATCTAAAGTTCATTTACAAGTTGTAAGAACTGGCTAAAATTTCAAGTCAAAACCAAATGGTACCTCAATAGTCATTTGTTCAACTTCCAAATACTGTAATAACTAAACCACCTTAATACCAGTGAACTCACTGCAACCTCTGCCGTGCAGGTTCAAGCAATTCTCCTGCCTCAGCTTCCCAAGTAGCTGGGATTACAGGCACCTGCCACCATGTCTGGCTAATTTTGTAGTTTTAGTAGAGTTTTTTTTTGTATTTTTAGCAGAGACGGGGTTTCACCGTGTTAGCCAGGAATGATCTCGACCTCCTGACCTTGTGATCTGCCCGCCTCGGCCTCCTAACGTGCTGGGATTACAGGTGTGAGCCACCGCACCCGGCCTCTACACTCAACTTTTAAATGCTTCTAATGATACCACTCTAACGTAGCAATCCAAACTACTTTTTAACAGTTGTCCTTTTTAGATAGCTGAAACCTGCCTCTTCTGTAGTGTCAGTTTGTTCAAAAGGCTGACCATCTACACCTAATGGTGACACAAAACACACCTTAAATATTTAGAAAGATCTATAATGGTCTTACCTACAAAGCCTTGTGCTAATTTTTTTTTTAATTTTCAGGCTGAATAATTATCAGAACTTAATTATTAAGGAATAACAGTAACAGCTCAGCTAATATGTAACATTCACTGTGTGCCAGGCATTGCTCCTCTAAGTGCTTATATTTAACTACATTAACTATTTTGCAGCAATAAAAAACACATCTGTCATAATATGACCAAGCTGCTGTTTTCAGAACAAAAAAACTTTCAATAAAAAGTTCATGATTTTAAAAAATTAAGGTAATGTTCATTAAAAATGCTTATACTTTAAAACTCACCGTTTTCTGAAGGTATTTTGCCCAATGTACAAGCAGAGCAGGTTGAAGGCCATGTTTTTCCTGGGCTCTTAGAGTGTTTATTTCATGCTGAACTAGAAGTCTCAATTTTGCCAAGTTTCCAGGTCTAAAAAATAGTTCAATTTACTAAAATTGCTTTCTAAATACACAGTTCAGCGCTTACATACATATATGTTAATGGGTCACATGACAAATTAAATCTTCACACGAGGATTAAATCCCCGGTAAAACCTACGCACTAAGTGAAAGCAATATTTTTGTTTTACTACTTACACTGCTTTTCTGTGAATCAGAGTACAAACCGCATCCCACCAAGATTTTTGTCTTTCTGTACAAAGCTGTTTACACACAGGAAAGGGCAGGCATAACGGCTGATAGGAGCTATGGTGAGAATTACATTTCTCCTTTAATTGTAAGTGGCTGGTATATACTACTCCAAGGAGAAATACCTGTTTCATTTAAGGAAAAGTTAAGTTAGAAAAAAAAATTAAACAAAATTCAGAATATTTAATTTGTTAAAATCTTTGCTTACTTCAAGATCTAAAATACATATTGATTCAGGCGCATTTGTTTCAAGCCTTGAGGTTTCATGGGGCAAACGATGGAAAAGCTGTTTTAGCCATTTTCGGATTCCAGGTAAAGCAGGCAATGAATTCCACTGTAAGCCAAGCCAAGTAAGATGCTGAAGACTACCATTATGTGCTCGAATAGCACCTGAAATAAAATTTAAAAATTGGCTTAAGGGTTTGAAATTTTTCTTTGTGCCATTAGTTTTGCCAACATAAACAATTCACATTATATATATCTTAATTATATAACTGCTTTTCTATATCAAAGCTGGAGGGAATTCTATGTTAGGCAAAATCTCATGTTCTTATTAAATGCATTCTCACTTGATTATTTCTAGAAATTTTAATAAAAATAGTAGTGATGAAGAATGTTTAAGTCCATCTTAAAAAATGACACTGACTAGAACTCAATAAACCAAAATCAACTGACAAAAGCCAAATAAAGAACACCTAACCTAATAAGAAACCCCAAAACAATGGGTTTTGCTTTAAGTCATTAAAGCAATGGAACACCACTATATTAATCCATCGGTACAGTAAAGAAATCTGTTTTTCTACAAGAAAGTCAATATTGAAAATGTTATGCGCAGTCAGGAGTTCGAGACCAGCCTGGCCAGCATGGTGAAACTCCGTCTCTACTAAAAATACAAAAAATTAGCCGAGCACGGTGTCACATGCCTATAGTCCCAGCTACTTGGGAGGCCGAGGCAAGACAATTGCTTGAACCTGGCAGCCGAGATTGCGCCACTGCGCTCCAGCCTGGGTGACAGAGCGAGACTCTGTCTCAAAAACAAGAAAAGAAAAGAAAAGAAAAGAAAAGGTTATGCGCTTCTGGAAGCATGAAGAGGTATAATCTTTCTGTCATTTTGGCAATTTGCAAGACTTAAAGATGTTCATGTCCTTTGTCTCAGTAATTCTGTTTTTAGGTATCTCTATGGAAATAACTTGCAATGAAGACACTTTTTGTTGAAGTTTTTATCAGAGTATGATTATTAACAGTGGAAAAGTTGAGAAAACTTGGATGCCCAATAACAGAAAGTAGCAAGCAAATTATGACTACTTCATAAAAAAGATTATATTGCCAATAAAAGTGATATTTATAGTTTTAATACACAGACTATGGGAGAGAATTCATGAAGGAAGCAAGATAAATCATACATAAACAACCATTTAGATGAAAAATATGGCCAGATGCAGTGGCTCATGCCTATAATTCCAACACTTTTTGTTTTTGAGACGAAGTCTCGCTCTGTCGCCCAGGCTGTAGTGCAGCAGTGTGATCTTGGCTCACTGCAACCTCCACCTCCCGGGTTGAAGGACTCTCCTGCCTCAGCCTCCTGAGTAGGGACTACAGGCACATGCCACCACCCCCGGATAATTTTTGTATTTTTAGTAGAGACGGGGTTTCACCATGTTGGCCAGGATGGTCTCGAACTCCTGATCTCAGGTGATCTGCCCGCCTCGGCCTCCCAAAGTGCTGGGATTACAGATATGAGCCACTGTGCCGGGCCTAATCCCAACATTTTGGGGGGCTTAAGCAGGAGGATCACTTGAGCCTAGGAGTTGGAGACTAGCCTGGGCAACAAAGGGAGACCCTGTCTCTGCCAATTAAAAAAAAAATTATCTGGGCCGAGTGGCATGTGCCTATGGTACCAGCTACTCAGGAGGCTGAGGCAAGAGAATCCCTTGAGCCCAGAAGTTCAAGGCACCAGTGACCTACGATCATGCCACTACACTGCAGCCCAGGTGACACAGCGAGACCCTGTCTCAAAATACAACAAGGCTGGTCGCAGTGGCTCACACCTGTAATCCCAGCACTTTGGGAGGCCAAGGCAGGTGGATCACCTGAGGTCAGGAGTTTGAGACCAGCCTGACCAACATGATGAAACCCCGTCTCTACTAAAAATACAAAAAATTAGCCGGGCGTGGTGGCGGGCATTTGTAATCCCGCTACTTGGGAGACTGAGGCAGCAGAATCACTTGAACCAGGGAGGCAGAGGTTACAGTGAGCCGAGATCGCACCACTGCACTCCAGCATGGGCGCCAAGAGCAAAACTTGGTCTCAAAAACAACAACAACAACAACAAAAAATACATGCCACCCCCACAGCACCACATTCAAACTCCCCCCAGCCCAACCCACACACAAAAGGAATACAGGAAAATATTAAGTCGTTATTTCTGGGTAATAAGATTATGGGCAATTTATAAGAATTAAGACGGAGACCATTTCCTCTGAAACATATAACTTACCAACATCGTATCTAGCCAAATCTTCAAGCTCTGGTTCTTGTACATCAATTTTTCCAATATCATCGCTACCAAGAAAAGATGTATCCTTAGGTGACTGACTAGAAAACAGAGCATCATATAACGCAGACTGCCCAATTTTGTTGGCAAAAGTTTCAACAACCTCTTTTAAGAAATCTTGCTTGCCACGACTTAAGCTTAGCAACATGTGCCCTGAAAAAAAAATTTAAGTTATTTCCATCACTTTAAAAATACAGATTGTATTTGCTCACGTTGTCTCATTTGTATACCCAAAGGGGAAATAACATGATTATTGCAAACCTAACCCTCCAACCCAAAAAATACAGCTGGACAACAAAATGGGTGCTTATGTAGCAAATGAAAAGAGTACAGGTTTAATATTCTCAGTATCTACATAAGACAGCAGAACGGGGAAAAAAGACAGGAATGTGTATGAAAAATGCCAAACATATTTGCACTTTAGATGAAAAGGTCTGGATTTAAGTGGCCATAGGAGAACAGGGACAAGCTCTTATTCTCTGATCTGATACACTGATTTCTGAACCTGGCTGATCAGAATCCTCCTTTAAACAGCTTTTAAGAATTATTTCCAGCTGGGCACGGTGGCTCATGCCTGTAATCCCAGCACTTTGGGAGGCCAAGCTGGGTGGATAATGAGGTCAGGAGATCAAGACCATCCTGGCTAACACAGTGAAACCCCATCTCTACTAAAAATACAAAAAAAAAAAAAAAAATTAGCCGGCCCTGGTGGCGGGTGCCTGTAGTCCCAGCTACTGGGGAGGCTGAGGGAGGAGAATGGCGTGAACCCGGGAGGCGGAGCTTGCAGTGAGCCGAGATCACGCCACTGCACTCCAGCCTGGGCGACAGAGTAAGACTGTCTCAGGAAAAAAAAAAAAAAAAAAGAATTATTTCCAGGCCTTGTTCCCAGAGATTTTTATGCCATAGGTTTACAGTAAGCAATCAAAAAATCATAGTCCTCGGATAAAGTACTGATACATGCTACAACACAGATGAACCTTGAAAACCTTGCTAAATCAAAGAAGCCAGTCACAAAAGACCACATACTATGATTCCATTTATGTGAAATGTTCAGAAGAGGCAAACCTACAGAGACAGATTAGCGGTTGCCAAGGCTGAGAGGTTTGGGTAAAATGGGGAGTAACTGCTAATAGGTAAGGAATTCCTCACGGAGTGATGAAAATCTTCTAAAACTGACTGTGGTGACAGTGGTAATACTCTATGAACATAGTAAAAGCCACTGAACTGTACACTTTAAATGGGTGAAGCGTATGGTATACGAATTATATTTCAATTGAACTTTTTTTAAAAACCCTCCTTCGAGTTAATTCTGCTGGGCAATTAGGTTTGGTTACCACTACACAGTTGTGTCTCAGCACACTTACAGAGGCACCCTCGGAATGCCCAGATCAAAGACATAAAAAAAAGATACAGGCAATTTTTATCTAACTGTGACACCATGCAAAGGCACTTATGAGAGCCCTGCAAGGGTAGAAGGAAAAGAGAAAAGGGAAAAAGTAGAAAGTCACTTTAAGGACTGAAAGCCTAACTCCCACAAAAAAAGTGGGCTATGGAATAAAAGAGCAATGTGAGCTCTGGCCAACAGCCTAACTATACACCAAAGCTTATAATAACTTTGATTTAATATTACATCTTGCTCTTTACAAAATTCATCCAATTTTATATCAAAACTGCTCCTTATAGAAAGCATTATGTTTCTTCAGTTCACTGCTTGATTCAATGGCCATCTAACTACCTTAAAGTTTGTATCTTAGCAAAATCACAGGTAATATGCAACAGACCTTTAGGATTCATCCCAAGCCAAAAATGGGGGAAAAAATCCACAAATTCCAAGAGCCTAATATAAGGTAAGTATATATCTTCTATCTTCCTCACTATGCTCTCAGCTCTTTAAGACAGATCCGTATCTTCTTCATCTTTATATCCCCACAGCAGTGTTTTTAGAATCAGCTGGTGTTAAATGGTTGGCAAATCAATAATTATACTTAGTTCAGGAAGTGACTAAATATTCAGGATAGAGGCTCTAGCAGCCAGATGAAGAAAGAGTTAAGAAATCCTCTCCACATAGGAACAAACAATATCAAATATTCATTTTTTTAAAAGAATGTGCTATTTCTTCGCATCTCTTCCATACCTATTGCTCTTAACTGATACGGCAAAAAGAAATAATTTTGACAAATTATCTCCTGGACAGATGAAGATTTTATCATAAGATATGCCTTAACAGAAATTCCTTTTTCTTTTTAAATTAAATTAGTTTAATATTACTATTACCTGATTGGCTCAGTCGGTCACAGGCCATCATTTCCAGCAGATTTTGTCCAGCTTTACCTTCTCTTAATTTAATCTTTGGTCTTGGAACCTAATAATTTTAGAATCAAAAATCTTAATTTGATGATACCCATACTTCTAATAGTAACATGGTCTTATCTATTACACTGTACTTTTTTTGATAATGAATAAACAGTTAACCATTAATTAAACTGAATTGGAAAAGACTGCAAAAACTGGGAACCAAGGAATTTATATAACCTATGAAAGATAGGCCAGGTACAGGCGTGGTGGCTCACACCTGTAATCCCAACACTCTGGGAGGCCAAGGTGGGCTGATCACTTGAGGTCAGGAGTTCGAGACCAGCCTGGCCAACATGGTGAAACCCAGTCTCTACTAAAAATAATAAAAAAAAAAACAAAGAGCCAGGCGTGGTGGCACACACCTATTAATTCCAGCTACACGGGAGGCTGAGGCACAAGGATAGCTTGAACCTGGGAGGCAGAGGTTGTAGTGCGCCGAGACTGCGCCATTGCACTCCAGCCTGGGTGAAAGAGCGAGACTCCATCGCAAAAAAAAAAAAAAAAAAGAGGGGCCAGACATGTTGGTTCACACCTGTAATCCCAGCACTTTGGGAGGCCGAGGTGGGGGGATCACTTGAGCCCAGAGTTCAAGACCAGCCTGAACAACACGGTGAGACCCTATCTCTAAAAAAAGTTTTTTTTTAATTAGCCAGGCGTGGTGGCACACACCTGTGGTCCCAGCTACTCAGGAGGCTGAGGCAGGAGGATCACTTAAATCCAGGAGGTCAAGGCTGCAGTGAGCCATGATCATGCCACTGTGCTCCAGCTTGGGCGACAGTGTGAGACCCTATCTCCAAAAAAAGAAAAAAAAAAAAAAAGCATACACAGAGCAGCTCTGAGAAATTAGTTTCTACTAAAAGCACATTCATGTTACATTCAGAGAAATGGAAAATTTAATTACATTACTTTTCTACCCTGCATAAATAGGACAACAGCAGATGTTGTCCTATTTGAGTAGATATGACACCCTACTTTAAAAAGCACAGGTGAAATGACACTTGGAAATGCCACATTGTAGATAACACATTTTCAGAGTATGGATAATAGGGGATAGCACTAGAATAAATGGGACAACCAGGAAATTAAAGAGATCCTCATGCAATAACCTATGGAAGAAAAAAAAAGCATGATGAATAGAATGGCGAAGGGAAGACGTGACAGCTGCCTTCAAATATTAAAATTATTTTATAAAAGAAATCATCAAAAGAAGAAACAAGACCAACAGGTAGAAGGCTTGAAGAATATTTTTATTCTATATAAGGAAGTACCAAGAGCCAAACCACCTAAAGATGCACTGGGCTATCTTGAAAAGTAATGAATGTCCATCACTGAAAACGTCCAGTCATAGGCAATGCCCGCTTACTAGAAACATGCCAAAAGTAACTATATGGGTGACTAGAGCATCGGCTTTTAATTCTATCACCACTTTCTTAATTGGTGGTGGAAATGTAATTTGATACAACCTCTTTAGGGTTAGATATTTGGCAACAGCTCTAAAAATTATAAATGCACAGATATACTTTGATACTGCAATTCTTTCAGGAATTCATGGCACAAGTTAATCATTGCTAAATTACTTGAAGTAGCATTTAAAACAAAAGTAAAAGCAAGCTAATGTCCTGGTTTTAGGACCCTGGTTTTAAAAACTCCAAAACTACAGTACATCCATACAATGGAATAATATGCAAGCATCCAAACTAATGAGAATGCCCTTTATATATACTGACATGGAAACATCTCCAAGATACAGTTAATGGAAATAAAGTAAATGCAATGTTCAAATGTTTTCCTCCTTCTTTTAAAGACAGGGGATATATGTGTGTTTACTTGGAGATGCATAAAACATTTCCTGAAGAACACACAAGAAAGCAATAACATTAGTTTCTTTGGGGGTGGAGAAAGTAAATAACTAGGGAACAGAAAGGAGTCTTCATAGCATATTCTTAAGAGCCGCCAGAATTTTAAACCATGTATATATAATTCTTTCCAAACATGCTCATTTTTCAAAATATATGATTTATGAACCTAAAAGCTTCTGATTTTGAATTTTAGAAATATTCGTATCGCCTATCCTTTTACTCACAAGTTTTCTAAACATCATGTCAAAGTTTGTCATCTATATGTTGAAAAGAGCACACAAAGTAAGAAACAAAATGTTGACATCATTCTTTTTGTTTTCAAACTGACCTCAATTCATAAACCCGGCCTCTTTTACAAAATTATTCAACAGTTGAATCTGTGACCAGTTAATTAGTTGTGAATCCACTCAATCAAATCATCTCAATTCACTATTTCCTTTTTTTTTTTTTTTGAGATGGAGTCTCGCTCTGTCGCCAGGCTGGAGTGCTGCAGTGGCACGATCTCGGCTCACTGCAACCTCCGCCTCCTGGTTTCAAGCAATTCTCCTGTCTCGGCCTCTCAAGTAGCTGGGACTACAGGCACCCGCCACCATGCGTGGCTAATTTTTGTATTGTTACTAGAGATGGGGTTTGACCATGTTGGTCAGGATGGTCTCAAACTCCTGACCTTAAGCGATCCGCCCGCCTCAGCCTCCCAAAGTGCTAAGATTATAGGTGTGAGCCACCACGCCTGGCTATTTCCTCATCTTAACTAAAAGGTTTCAAGATACTTTGTTAACTACCTAGCTGCAATGCAGATGCACTTACTAGAACCACAGTATTCCTCTGATTAAGAGTCTGAAAATCTTGCCATAAAAGTTAGCCAATTCTTAAATACCCAAATGCCAGCACATAACCTACATTTTATGCTTATAATCATTTGTTCATTAAGCTTTAAAATAAACTGATCAAATAAAATACAAGCATCTAAGATGTTTCTATTATATATTCATTCTACAGAAATATGTGGTAGTTAATAAAGACTGAGGTAGGTATCTCTGTGCTGAAGTGGAACAATGAAGAAACATTTAGAAAAGCAAGGCATCTGGCAATAGGTAAAGCACACCCACACTGAGGCACAATATTTTTTAAAAGCAGAGAAAGAATGTATTGCACATTTGCATATGCAAAAAATATTTCTGAACACCCAAGAAACTCCTAACAGTAGCTGTCATCTAGGAAAGGAGACCTGAGTGAATGGATTAAGAGGGAAACTAACTTATTATGATTAAAAGTTCACAGTCAGGTGTGGTGGCTCATACCTGTAATCTCAGCACTTTGGGAGGGCAAGGCAGAAGGATCACTTGAAGCCAGGAGTTCAAGACCAACCAGCCTGGCAAACATAGCAAGACCTTGTCTTTACAAAAAATTTAACAATGTAGCCAGGCATGGTGGCAGGCACCTGTAGTCCCAGCTACTGAGCTGAGGCTGAAGCAGGAGAGGATCACTTGAGCCCAGGAGTTCGAGGATGCAGTGAGTTATGATCATGCCACTGCACTCCAGCCAGAGCAAGAGTGAGACTCTGCCTCCCAAAACTACATATCAAAAAATTGTAGGCTGTGCGCAGTAGCTCACACCTATAATCCCAGCACTCTGGGAAGCTCGAGCCCAGTTCAATGTTACGGTGAGCTACGATTACGCAACTGCACTCCAGCCTGGGTGACACAGCAAGACTCTAATAGACACACAGACAGATAAATTTTAAAGTTTCCATTAAAAATAAGAACTATTGGCAGGGTGCGGTGGCTCACACCTGTAATGCCAGCACTTTGGGAGGCCAAGGTGGGCGGATCATGAGGTCAGGAGATCGAGACCATCCTGGCTAACACGGTGAAACCCCATCTCTACTGAAAATACAAAAAAATTAGCCAGGCGTGGTGGTGGGTGCCTGTAGTCCCAGCTACTCGGGAGGCTGAGGCAGGAGAATGGCGTGAACCCAGGAGGCGGAGCTTGCAGTGAGCCGAGGTCGTGCCACTGTGCTCCAGCCTGGGCGACAGAGTGAGACTCCATCTCAAAAAAAAATAAAATAAATAAAAATAAGAACTATCAGTTACTTGAGAATTTCTATAAGAACCTTTTAATGTTTGTATTACCTAGTGAACCTCACTAAATCCATTAATTTTCACTAATCCATTCCTTATGAACACAGAAGTTTCTACTGAGCAAATATTAGCACTTAACATGTGAACTGTCTATCAACGGTGTTTTTAAAAGATTTACAGGCCGGGCTCAATGGCTCATGCCTGTAATCCCAGCACTTTGAGAGGCCGAGTCGGGTGGATCACGAGGTCAGAAGATCGAGACCATCCTGGCTAACATGGTGAAACCCCATCTCTATTAAAAAATACAAAAAATTAGCCAGGCATGGTGGTGTGTGCCTGTAATCCCAGATACGTGACAGGCTGAAGCAAGAGAATCACTTGAACCCAGGAGACACAGGTTGCAGTGAGCTGAGATTGCGCCACTGCACTCCAGCCTTGTGACAGAGCGAGACTCCGTCTCAAATAAAAATAAAAAGATTTATATTAGGCAGGGCATGCTGGCTCACTGCCTGTAATCCCAGCACTTTGAGAGGCCGAGACGCGCAGATCACCTGAGTTCAGGAGCTCAAGACCAGCCTGACCAACATAGAGAAACTTCGTCTCTACTAAAAATACAAAATTAGATGGGCGTGGTGGCATGTGCCTGTAATCCCAGCTACTCGGGAGGCTGAAGCAGGACAATCGCTTGAACCCGGGAGGCGGAGGTTGCAGTGAGCCAGATGGCGCCATTGCACTCCAGCCTGGGCAACAAGAGCAAAACTCCGTCTCAAAAAGAAAAAAAGATTTATATTAGAAGGAGGGGCCTTCTCTAAAAGTAATGAATCTTTTTTCTCCCTCCCCAAGCAAAAAATCCTTCTCTAAAATTAATCATCTTTCTAAGCCTGGTTTAATGTTTTTTTGGAAGACTGCTTATTTCTTTTCCTTTCGAAAGTTATGCAAGCTCATTAAAAAAAAAAAAAAAAAAAAAGGCCAGGCATGGTGGCTCATGTCTGTAAATCCCAGCACTTTGGGAGGCCGAGGCAGGTGGATGACTAGGTCAGGAGATTGAGACCATCCTGGCTACCACGGTGAAACCCCGTCTCTACTAAAAGTACAAAAAAAAATTAGCCAGGCATGGTGGCGGGTGCCTGTAGTCCCAGCTACTCAGGAGGCTGAGGCAGGAAAATGGCGTGAACTCGGGAGGTGGAGCTTGCAGTGAGCCGAGATCGTGCCACTGCACTCCAGCCTGGGCGACAGAGCGAGACTGCGTCTCAAAAAAAAAAAAAAAAAAAAAAAAAAGCCAGGCGCGCCAGGCGCAGTGCCTCGCGCCTGTAATCCCAGCACTTTGGGAGACCAAGGCAGGTAGATCAAGAGGTCAAGAGATTGCGACCATCCTGGCCAACATGGTGAAACCCCATCTCTATTAAAAATACAAAAAATTAGCTGGGCTTGGTAGCATGGGCCTGTAGTCCCAGCTACTCGGGAGGCTGAGGCAGGAGAATCACTCGAACCCAGGAGGTGGAGGCTGCAGTGAGCCGAGATCACGCCACTGCACTCCAGCCTGGCGACAGAGAGAGACTTGGTCTCAAAAAAAATAAAAAAATAAAAAATAAGAAAAGGTTTTATGTTTTCAAAGATTAATAGATATACTGTTACATATACACAATACAGTCATAAATGTTATATACATGTGTTTCAATTAACATGTTAAATTGCAATCATATTCTTCTATCATAGGCTATAAAGCCATTGCCCTACGTCTACTTATTAGGATTTTGTCCAAGTAACACATCTTTTTGAATCAAGCTTTACCCATAATACGAGATTACATCTTTATCATGTTCCCAAAAATGGCAGAGTAAAAAGATCAAACTCTTCAAATTTGTCTACAAACAAATCATGGCAATGCAGGCTTTCGACAAGAGTGCATTCAACATCCCTGTTTCACCAGCCTCACCAGTATTGTGTATGCTTAGTTATTTTCCACTGTATCAAATTGACTATTTCATTTTAACTTTAATTCCACAGGTTTGTTCACATATTGTCATTACATACCAGAGCACACCTTCATTTAAAACACATCAAGACTCCGTGAAATGTCAATTGCTCCTACAAGTGGAAGACTTACCTGAAATGCTATGAGATAGCACAATGCAGCCAGCTCAGAAAGAGCTCGCCATTGAACATTATTACCATGCTGACCCATCTTCAAGAGCAGAGAACCAGCATACATATAGAAATGTCCTTTCATTTCTAAGAAAGTAGCTGACAGTTCATCATTTCCACCCAAAGAAGATTTCGCAGACTGAAGAGCACTATCAAAACTGTAATATGAAAATATCAAACAGATGATACACACTTACTGCACTGTGAATAATCATGGTTGATTTAATTCAAAACAAAATAAAAATTTTATTTCAAGCTTCATCTTCCACATTCAACTTCTAATAATTCTTATTCCCCATGTTATAAATTATGAATCATCTAATGCTTATTTTTATCCTGCATACTTCCTATACTTCATGCTTAACCTCTCAAATGATGTCTTATTCCCAGTTATTTCCAGCCCTCCAATCACAGAATAAATATAAGATTAGTGATTATAGGTGCACATTTCAAAATAAACCAGGATAAAGTTGGGAGACTATTTTGTAGTTTCTTCCTGATCATATAATTTCATTATTTAATTAACAGTTGTAATTTCTCAAATTAGACATACCATTTCCAAATTATAAGTAAATAACTGACAGGTATTTGAGTATCAATACAGCAATTGCTCTTTTTACTATATAGATCATTACAGCGTTAAATAAATTGTCTTTTTTTTTTTTTTTTGAGACGGAGTCTCTCACTATCGCCTGGGCTGGAGTGCAATGGCACGATCTAAGCTCACTGCAACCTCCACCTCCCAGGTTCAAGTGATTCTCCCGACTCAGCCTCCTGAGTAGCTGGGATTACAGGCACCTGCCACCATGCCCCGCTAAACTTTTTTTATATTTTTAGTAGAGACAGGGTTTCACTATGTTGGCCAGGCTGGTCTCGAACTCCTGACCTCACGATCCGCCCGCCTCAGTTTACCAATGTGCTGGGATTACAGGCATGAGCCACTATGTCTGGCCTACTATTTGTAATCTATATTCTAAATTAGTTCTTCTAAATCCTAATGTTTCTCCAAATCCTCACTTTGGAAGAAAAGTAAAAGCAAAAAGCAAACACTTAAACGTGAAGCATGATTTTAAAGTGGCTTACAATAAAGCAACCAGAGCAAGTGAGGTCTAAAGATCTCTGAGGGTGCTCAAAAACCCCTTCAGGGGATCCATGAAGTTAAAATTACTTTTACAATAATACCAAAAAAAATTTATATATTACATACTCATTTTCTCATGTATGTAGAGCTGACTTTTTTTGTTTTTGTTTTTGGAGACAGAATCTCACTCTGTCACAAGGCTGGAGTGCAGTGGCACAATCTTGGCTTACTGCAACCTCTGACTCCCAGGTTCAAGCGATTCTTCTGCCTCAGCCTCCCGAGCAGCTGGGACTATAGGCGTGTACCAACATGCCCGGCTAATTTTTTGTATTTTTAGTAGAGACAAGGTTTCACCATTGTTAGCTGGGATGGTCTCGATCTCCTGACTTCGTGATCCACCCGCCTCGGCCTCCCAAAGTGCTGGGATTACAGGCCTGAGCCACCGCGCCCCGCTGAGCTGAGTTTTCTAGAGGCTTCATGACATGTAATAGTTTTACAGACTGAAAGAGGAAGTAAATGAGAATCTAGCTATGTTCTATTAAGCGAGACATTAAAAAGATTTACAAAAATGCAAAAACAATGACACTTTTCTGACTACTTTTTTGCTGTTGGGAAATAGTTATTTTTCATAAAAAATGCTATTATTGGCCCTGCGCGGTGGCTCACACATGTAATTCCAGCACTTTGGGAGGCCGAGGCGGGTGGATCACCTGAGGTCAGGAGTTCAAGACCAGCCTAGCCAACATGGTGAAACCCCATCTCTACTAAAAATACAAAAAATTAGCCAGGCGTGGTGGTGGGCACCTGTAATTCCAGCTACTTGGGAGGCTGAGGCAGGAGAATCGCTTGAACCTGGGAAGCAGAGGTTGCAGTGATCCGAGATCACACTGTTGCACTCTAGCCTGGGCAACAAGAGCAAAACTCCGTCTCAAAAAAAAAAAAAAAAAAGCTATTATTATTAACACACAATAGGGCTTATTACATTTTTAATGGATTACATTTTTTGTTTTAATTTCTAATGTAATAAACACTGACAGAAATAACCCACATACGGCCGGATGCAGTGGCTCAGACCTGCAATCCCAGCACTTTGGAAGGCCAAGGCAGGCGGATCACGAGGTCAAGAGATTGAGACCTTCCAGTACTTTGGGAGGCCAAGGTAGACGGATCAAGAGGTCAAGAGACCGAGACCAGCCGGGCGTGGTGGCTCATGCCTGTAATCCCAGCACTTTGGGAGGCTGAGGCAGGCGGATCACAAGGTCAGGATATCAAGACCATCCTGGCTAACACGGTGAAACCCCATCTCTACTAAAAATACAAAAAATTAGCTGGGTGTGGTGGCGGGCACCTGTAGGCCCAGCTACTCGGGAGGCTGAGGCAGGAGAATGGCATGAACCCTGGAGACAGAGCTTGCAGTGAGCCGAGATGGCGCCACTGCACTCCAGCCTGGGCAACAGAGCGAGACTCCATCTCAAAAAAAAAAAAAGATCGAGACCATCCTGGCCAACATGATGAAACCCTGTTTCTACTAAAAATACAAAAACTAGCCAGGTGTGGGCTGGGCGCGGTGGCTCACGCCTGTAATCCCAACACTTCGGGAGGCCGAGGAGGGCAGATCACGAGGTCAGGAGATCGAGACCATCCTGGCTAACACGGTGACACTCCGTCTCTACTAAAAATACAAAAAAAATTAGCCGAGCGTGGTGGTGGGCGCCTGTAGGTAGTCCCAGCTACTCAGGAGGCTGAGGCAGAAGAATGGCGTGAACCTGGGAGGTTCACAAGGCGGGTAACAAAGGGCCCATGAGGCCTGATTAACTGATCTGACAAACCATCTGTCACCCACAGCCCTAAGCCACACTGTGAAACTGCCTAGGGTGGCACCAGCTTTTTATCTTCCTCAGGGTCCTCCCCTCAGGCCCCCAAGTCACCCCATCATGGTCCAGATTCTCCCCTGAGTGACTCCATCCCCATGGTCATTTCCCCTCCTGAGCCTCCCCCTCTGAGGGCCAAGGGCTGTCCTCAGGGCCCTCCTGGGGCTTCCTGGTGGGGAACAACCTGAGGCAGGAGGATAAGCTCTTATTCAGAGCATTGAGAGGAAATTGTGAAGCTTGCAGTGAGCCGAGATTGTGCCACTGTACTCCAGGCTGGGTGACAGAGCAAGACTCTGTCTCAAAAAAAAAAAAAAAAAATTAGCCAGGTGTGGTGTCGGGCACATGTAGTCCCACCTATTCAGGAGGCAGAGACAAGAGAATCACTTGAACCCAGGAGGCAGAGGTTGCAGTGAGCCGAGACTGCACCACTGCATGCCAACCTGGCGAGAGCAAGACTCAGTCTCAAAAAAAAAAAAGAGAGATTGAGACCATCCTGAACCCCGTCTCTACTAAAAATACAAAAATTAGCTGGGCGTAGTGGTGTGTGCCCGTGGTCCCAGCTACTTGGGAGGCTGAGGCAGGAGAATCGCCTGAACCCGGGAGGCGGAGGTTACAGTGAGCCAAGGTCGTGCCACTGCACTCCAGCCTGGTGACAGAGCAAGACTCCATCTCAAAAAAAAAAAAAAAAAAAAAAAGAAAGAAAGAAAAAAAGGAACCCACATACAAAGATCTTTGATGTCCTTAAGAAAAATGTAAAAGGAACTTGTGACCAAAAAATTTGAGTATACAAAGAACACAAAATAAAACATCCTACATGTTTTCTAAAATAAAGTTATGTTAGTTCTTTTAGGTACTGCTCTTACCCTACCAATTTAGGACACTATGTACTTTTTCAAGAAAATTACCTACTCCCTGCACTCAGTGAAATGAACTTCTTTCCTTATACCAGATGGGGAAATAAATTAACTTCCAAACAAATGGACAGCCTAAATTAGCAATCAGTAAACTTTTTCTACAAAAGGAGGAGATTACTAATCTGGCTTTACAGGCATACAATCTCTGCTGCAACCACTCAACTCCAACCCTGTAGTATGTAAGCAGCCACAGACAATACATAAACAGAGGCAAGCTGCATTCCAATAAATATTAACAAAATTAGGCAGGGGCCATATTTGGCCCACAAGTTCTAATCAACCCCTGCTCTAAACTAACATCTTTATACAAATCCAAGTGATGTTTTTGTTCAATGGAATTTATTTTCAAAATGGAGACACTGGTTTTCAAAATCAAAATTTAGGAAAAAAGGTAAATCACATAGTTGAGTTATTTTGTTTCTTAGCTAAAACAGTATTTTCTGAAATACCAGTGATGCTAAGTGCTTATACTAGTACATGTGAACCTAGCCATCTGATGACAGATGAACTTTAATTTTCACTAAAGATTATACTATTATAAAAAAATAAAATATGAAATAGCAGTTAGAACATTCATTTTAAGCTTGACTATGACAAAACTGAGTAACCATAAGGCTAATTTTAATCAAGCTTGAACTATAAGAGTTCTCTAAAAAGGAAAGTCATATAAAACCAATTAGAACTTCCCTGTAAAAGAAGAAAAATAAGATTGCCTCCTAGTGGTTCACTGTATTAACTATAACTCCTAGGTACATTATAGAAATAATGATTCAGTGAAGAAATTTAGAGCAATGAACTTACTGCAAAAAGAAAAACTGCAATTTGTACTAAAGCATTCTCCTCAAAGTCTACGCACCTTTCCAGTAATTCTCTATTTTCCTGCACATCTCTAGTGGAAAGCGTAAGAAGCATAAGATTAGCATAGGCCAGCAGTAAGTCTGTATTGGTTGCTTGCCAGTCACTTTTATCAGACTCCAAACACTGTAAAGACTCCAGATATTCCTATTTTGTGGAATGAATAGTAAGTTACAAAACTTAATCAAGTGTTAAGTAATTAACCATTTTATGCCTACAAATTCCTTTTCTCACTCCAACCACATTTGTGAAACTACATTGATTTTTACATCAACCTTATAAATGAAAACACCAAAAATATATACATTTATCATAGTTATCTCCCCAATCTTCCCATTATAAATTTAACTGATCCTGGTAAAAATTTCATTTTATAACTGTTCTACATAAATAAAAGAAATTTAAGTCCTGCGGGGCACTGCTGCTTTAGTACAAAAAGATGTATGCTAATTGCCTACATAGAAATGTAAAGACTCAATAGCTTTTATCTACCTTAAGGGTCTGTACAACACACGAATTCCACTCTAAACTTGAACGCAAAGCTATGTTCCTCTCTGCCTCATGGCAGTGGGCCACAGCATCCTTCAATCTTTTAGTTGAGCGATACAACTCCACTAGCCGGATGTTCACATGGACGTCATCAGGTCTTACATAAAGTTCTGACTGAATCAAGTCAAAAAGTTTATTCCATCCATCTTCACCTTCACAATCTAGAAGCTGTTCCTATTTAGAGAGGAAAAAGAAAAATTATTAGAGTAACACTTGTGCAACTTTAAACAAGTCATGCTCCCAAAAAGCACCATTCCACTATGTCTAGTTTTATGATGATGCCACCAAAAACACCATCCTAAATACCTTATTCGTCCCTTCTGAGAGTTGCTTACAACCCAGAAACTAAGCCTCAAGAACTGTATGTGAAGAAAAGCATCTGTGATTACTGCAGTAGCTCATACTCTCTTCAGAGACTACCAGGACTAATGCCACACATTCCTGTCCATCTGAGTCACCACCAGAAGCCTAGACCTCCCCAGTCAATCCTCAGCAACAAGGTCCTTATGTTCAAACTGCTCTGTATCTCCTTAAATCTGATTCAATCCTGCATCCCCTCTCCTCCCACTGTTCTGTTACCTTTATCATCATCTCAAAGCACTGTCATCACCTCCTGACCTTAAATGAAGACAGTATCATCTCAGGATAACCCCCACTACCATGATGGCTTTTTCTCTCTGAACTTACATACGAGGAGAGGAAGTAGGGTTTGTGGCCACTCGCTTCTCATTTGCGATGCTCTTCCATCAGCCTCTCAAGAAGCTAGGACCATAGGCATGCACCACCATGCCCGGCTAATTTTTTTTTAACGTTCTGTAGAGATGGGGTCTTGCCGTGTTGCCCAGGCTGACTACTCAGTTCCTTAATCACCTCATCTCCAGTGATGTTATCCTCTACTCCAACCTCAACCATCCACTTGCCACTGACACAGGTCTTCAAAATCTGCATTTTGGTCATACCACCGAAACCACCATACCACCCTTCTTATTCTTCCACCTCACTGAGGGCCTACATACCCTTACTTTCAGAAATATACTTCTCCACCATATGACAAGTTCCCTTCAAGACAATAACATCATCAAGTTTTAAACACCTGTAAACACATATAAATACACACACTTTCTTCTGTCAGGCAAAAAATGCTATAATCCCTTATATCCATAATTACTGTTTGCTTACAGATCCCTTCAACTAATTCCCTCTTTTCCTCAGAAGAACCCTCCCAACTGGTTTCTGTGTGCTTAGATTTGGGAAATCATAACCCCAAGCTAACTGATTTCATTTGCATTATCTCAACCATCAAACTGGTGCTGCCTAAAACAAAATACCATTTTAGTACTAACAGACTCACTTTCTCCACTCCCTGACACTTCACACCTCCTCCTATTTCCTCAACTTCCCCATACCTTCCTTTGACCCTCACTTTCAACTTATAACCTAGATTCATCCTTCACTGAGAAACCTGATGCTATCACATATAAATTCCATTTTACCTTACCTACTTAAACTCGTCTTTCCCCAACTCTCAAGACCAAGCCGCCCATTAGTACTCTGTATTTCATTCCCCTCTCTCCTTTATCAATTTCTCCTCTTCTGGATGAGATGGATGAAACCCTGGCCTCTCCCTATTGCAAAAGCCCTAGTCTTTGACTCTATGTTAAACATTTTTTTAAAAACCACTATGAGTGCTTTTAAAAAGTTCTATCTCATACTTGAGAGAAAAAGCCTTCTCAACAGTAATACTCTCATTCATTAAACAAATGTCAGAAACTGTTTACCTTAGCAAGCCTTAAATTTTAGGAGAAATGGAATTACTTTGCATGACAGTTATAAATCTCATGGATTTCAATTCCAAAAAAAAAAAAATCTGATACAGGAAAGGTGTAACAGTGCCTTCAAGTTATTAAAGAAAATCTTTAAAGAGTGCTTCAAAGTATCTAACTTGTTACACTGCAAGAAAAGAATCTCCTGCCATTACATATGTTCTTTAACACTACTGACACCAGATTAACTGGATTGCCACGCCCAATATGGGAGTTATGTTTGAGGCATAACACCTAAGAGAGTAAAGAAATCTGCACAATTAGACCTCACGCTTTAGACTAACATTTAAAATCCAGCTGCTTATTACTGGGGAGAAAAACTTATCAGTAATATTTATCTTTGGAAGCATCTTCAATGCTTTTTCAGCTTCAAAAATCTGTACATGATTGTTCATAGCAGTTGAACAATAGCCAAAACCTAGAAATAACCAAAATGCCCCTCAAAAGTGAATGGTTAAGGCTGGGCACAGTGGCTCACACCTGTAATCCCAGCACTTTGGGAGGCCAAAGTGGGTGGATCACCTGAGAACCCGGGAGGCAGAAGTTGCAGTGAGCCGAGGTAGCACCACTGCACTCCAGCATGGGCAACAGAGCAAGACTCTGTCTCAAAAAAAAAAAAAAAAAAAAAAAAGTGAATGGTTAAATTGTGGACCATGAAATACTACTCAGAAGTAAAGGAACCAACTATGGATATACAAAACTTAATATGGATCACAAATGGTATTATGCTGACTGAACAAGCCAACCTCAAAAGGTCACATGCTTGGCTGGCCGCGGTGGCTCACGCCTGTAATCCTAGCACTTTGGGAGGCTGGGGTGGGCAGATCACAGGAGGTCAGGAGTTCGAGACCAGCCAGTTTCTACTAAAAATACAAAAATAAGCGGGACATGGTAACATGTGCCTGTAGTCCCAGCTACCCGGAAGGCCGAGGCAGGAGAATCGCTTGAACCTGGGAGGCGGAGGTGGCAGTGAGCCGAGATTGCGCCAGTGAACTCCAACCTGGGCAACAGAGCGAGACTCCGTCTCAAAAACAATGAAAAAAGAAAAAAAAAGTCACACATTTCATGATGACATTTACATAACATTTTGAAATCACCAAAGTATAAAGATGGAGAACAGATTAATGGTTGCCAGAGGTCAGGCATAGTGAAGAGAAGTAAATAGCATGACTACAAAAGGGGCAGCATGAGGAAGATCTCTGTGGTAACAGAGTAGTTCTGTATCTTGACGGCAGTGGTGGTATGAATCTACACGTGATAAAATGAAAGAAAACTATACATACACATTGTACCAATGTCAAAATTCCTGATTTTGATACTGTGCTTTGGTCAGGTTAAACAGGTTGAGTATCCCTTATCCAAAATGCTTGAGACCAGAAGTATTTCAGATTTTGAACTTTTTCAGACTTTAGAATATTTGCAGGATACTTAGCAGATAGAGCATCCCAAATCTGAAAATCTGAAATCCAAAATTTTCCAATGAGCATTTCTTTGAGCATCATGTCAGTGCTCAAAAAATTTCAGATTTTGGAGCATTTAGGATTTCGGATTTTAAATGCTCAACCTGTATAAGCATTGGGGAAAAATGAAGTAGCATATAGGATCTTTCTGTGCAAACTTTGCAACTTCCTGTGCAAAAAAATCTATAATTATTTCAAAATTAAAATTTTTTAAATTTCTATCAGAAACATATATGATGGGGGTAGGAGGAAGCTAAAGGCAAATATACATTTATAATTTTATATTGTACACACACAATAAAGTATACATTAATATATAAAACATTACAATATACATTTTAAATGTTTGCCAAACATATTTGTGTAGATTTCTCCAGAACAGTTACTTAGTAAACTATATTTTACTCTATAAAGAATATCAGGACCAGTCAACACACTAGCAAGAACTTCCTACCATTTTTAGTAATTACGTCTTATATACTACAGAAACCACCTTTTATCTTTTGCTTGAAAACCTTACTATCTCAAAATACAATCCCTTCTACTTTCAGACAATAGTTATCAGAAAACTCTTCTTTAAAATATCCCTAAATTGTCATCCTGTAGGTAATTTTCACTTAATGAAGCAAAAATTGTATATCAGACAGAACTTAATGTAAATCTTAGCTCTACTTAGTTTACAGCTACTAAACTGTAAAATCCCTAAAATATTAATTATTCCAGAAGGGTAAATGAGATGTCACTTATAAAGTATAACAATGCCTAATAAGACAGTAGATGCTCAGAAAGGTTTTAATACACTTTTTAAAAGAAAAATGTTAAAGGAAACACAAACACCTGAGCTTAAGGTTTGCTATTGAAAAGTAATTTAAACTCCAAATATTAGAAATGGTTATGTCTTAAGTTTTCTCCCTTTATGTTTTGTTTGTTTACCTTTAGTTTATAAATTGCAGGACTTCCTGGGAAAAGTTTTGCTGCTCTTTCGACCCAGTATTTTGCTCTTCCATCAGTAACATCATTTTTACAAAGCAATTCTGCAATCTTCAACACAAGATCTTTTTGTGTTGGGTTTAATTCCACTGAACGCTAATATCAGAAAAGAAATTAAAGATTAGTAAATAAATTGTATGTATGTATGTAGGAGTATATATACTTATACATAAAGGTTAAAAATTATCACTCCAACCCTTAAAAAATTCTACTTCTAGAGAAAACATGTTACTTTAAAGGTGTTAAAATAAAAGTGTCTTGGAATTTTCTAGAAATGAATCAAATAAAAATTATATTTGTGTCATTTGAATGCAAAAAACACAAAAGAACACCATTTCTGACCGTGTTAGACTTACAATTTATAGGTGTTAAACAATTCTAAATCTGTTCCAAGCTGTATCACATAATTGTACTATGATACCAATGCCTGTTTTATGATATTCATAAAATATATTTGACTTACTTATATAAATTTCTCTGGGCATCATGTGTTTGGCTACGCAAAGGCTATATTTGAATCTTATAACTTACCCTGTAACATTCAACGGCTTTCTCTGTGTTTTCTTCCAATTCATAAAGAAGACCCAGAAATCTGTGAGCTTTGGGATCCCTCTCTTGCACATTAATGTAAGTACATATGTATCTGTTTTTTAAAAGTAATACAAAAGTAAATTAAACTTAGAACTGTACTTTTAAATGCTAACCGAAGAATACATCTTAAACCAAAGCAACCACTAAACTCGTTTATATTGTTACTCAAAACTACCACTATTTATGCAGATAACTCAAAAGTATTCATAGAAAGAAATGGGTAATACTTAAAAACACGTACATAGAGTTGACCACATACTCATTTTACCATTAAATGTCACATTTACCAAATTTTTCTCCAGTGTTAACCACACATAAGAAATGAACATATAGATTGCTTTTTCTTCCTGATCACATTTTAATAAAGCACTAACAGTTTTGCCAATAAATTAGAAGTGATTATAATAAACATTTTTAAAGTTATCATAATGCAAAATACTAAACAGCAACAATTTCCCAAACAACAAAGGGAAATACATTTACCCTTTAAGCAAGAAAGTAATTTCTAACAGTACTATATCCAGCTAAAATCGAACAGAAGAAAAATTACTAATTACAGTACCAAATACAGGAAATTTCCATTTCTCAAATCAAGTAACAACTAAAATAAGTAAATATCCTCTAGGTTCCTTGACAGTATTACGATCAGAGAAATTAGGCCAGACCTAAACTAAGGGATTAAAGTCTCACAGTAAAAAGGTACAAGAGTTAACAGTCACAGTGCTGCTAGTTACATAATTTATGTACCACCATTTTCCTTTCTTACCAGCATTTCCATCTTCCTTTGGATGCCTTTAAAAGCCTGCCTCCCAGCTGGGAGCAGTAACACACACCTGTAGTCCCAACACTATGGGAGGCCGAGGCAGGCAGACTGCTGTGCTCAGAAGTTCAAGACTAGCCTGGGCAACATAGTGACACCTGTCTCTACCAAAAAATGCAAACCTTAGCCAGGTCCACGTGGTGGTGCGCATCTGTATCCCCAGCTACTTGGGGCGCTGAGGTGGGAAGATCGCTTGAGCCCAGAAGGCAGAGGTTACAGTGAGCAAAGATGGAGCCAGCTGCTGCACTCCAGCCGGAGCAAGAGAGACAGATACTGCCTAAAAAAAAAAAAAAAGCCTGCCTCCCTCTTAATTTCCTGCTTTAATCCACTCCCAGCCAGGAAATCAGAATCACCAAGCTTCTCATCCCTAGGATAGAGCCTTAGAGCATCACATATTGTGTCAGTTAAAGATCTTTTATACAAGCTATTCTCCTGCCTTACAATTACAGTTTAATTTTTTATTCATTGCTATTTTCCATCTGATTAAGGTATCAGATATCTAACCAAAAACAAATTAAGATATAGGCATGGTCCTCTTTTACTCCAACAGAAGACAATTTTTAGAAAAAGTGTTTTAAGCCAAACAATTTCTTGCCCTTGGTATAAAGCAGCAGCATGCAGAAAACACTAATTACAGTTTCAATCTCAATGGAATCTAGGCTGGTCCTTAGCATCAGTCTGAGTGATAAATCCCTTATTCCAGAATACACTTAGGAAGAACTACTAAGGACATATTTTTACCTATTTCAAAGAAGAAAATGAGAAAAGGCATTGATTTTAAAAAAAAGAATACATGTTACGGTTTGTACTTACTTTTTAGCAAGATCATATTCTTTAGCTTCATAATACAGCTTTGCAAAATAGAATCCTTTCATTGACTTCTAAAAAAAAATTAAAAGTTGTTTTACGTTTCATACAGAAATATTTTCCAACATTTTTTCAAAAGTAGTTAAAGCCTGACAAATGCATAATTCCATGTTTTATAATTTCCTACCACAAAACAAAAAATAGAGCTGGGTGCAGCAGCTCATGCCTGTAATCCCAGCACTTTGGGAGGCCGAAGTGGGCGGATCACCTGAGGTCAGGAGTTTGAGACCAGCCTGGCTAACATGGTGAAACCCCGTCTCTACAAAAATAGAAAAATTAGCCAGGCATGATGGCGGGTGCCTGTAATCCCAGCTACTCAGGAGGCTAAGGCACAAAAATCAGTTGAACCCAGGAGGTGGAGGTTGCAGTGAGCCAGAGGTTGCAGTCAGCTGAGATCGTGCCATTGCACTCCAGCCTGGGCGACAGAGACTCCATCTCCCAAACATCATCATCATCATCATCATCATCATCATCATCATCATCATAAATAAGCTGGGTGCAGTTGGTCACACCTTTAATTCTATTTAATTCTAGCACTTTCAGAGACCAAGGTGGGAGGCTAGCTTTGAGGCCAAGAGTTTGAAACCAGCCTGTGCAACACAACAAGATCCTGTCTCCAGGGGGAAAAAAATAGCCAGGCATAGTGGAGCATGCCTGTGTTCCTAGCTACTCAGGAGGCCAAGGAAGGAGAATCACTTGAGCCCAGGAGGTTGACACTGCCGTGAGTTATGACTGTAACACTGCACTCCAGCCTGGGTGACACAGGGAGATCCTCTCTCTAAATAATAAATACATAACATACAAAAAATAAATTCAAGAAAGCAAGACAAGCAGACAACAGAAGTTAAGAATTTTCATCAGCCTTGGAAATCTTGGAAACCCTGTGGTACCACTCTCTCACTTAACAAACAAAAGAAACCAGCTTTCTTTGGGGAGGAAAGGTATTCCAGAAATCTCTTCTCCTACCATGTGTAAGCCTCTATGGGAAAGAATAAGTAAGTACTTAGGATCTATTAAGGCACTGAGGATTCCCGGGTCCATGTACTGTTCTCTCTACAGATCAGATCAGTATTTTACAGTCAAGGAGTCAAAAAGGCAGAAATAAATATTGAATTCTTCAAGTAATAAACGAGGTCCACAGCCTGGATCCTTGGTTACATAAACTCCAAAGTCCAAAATGCTGATGCACACCAGGCTGGGTGCGGTGGCTCACATCTGTAATCCCAGCACTTTCGGAGACTGAGGCGGGTGGATCACTTGAAGCCAAGAGTTCGAGACCAGCCTGGCCAACATACAGAAACCTCCTTTCTACTAAAAATACAAAAATTAGCTGGGCATGGTGGCACACGCCTGTAATCCCCGCTGCTTGGGAGGCTGAGGCAAAGAATCGCTTGAACCCGGGAGGCAGAGGCTGCAGTGGGCCAAGATCGCACCACTGCACTCCAACCTGGGCAACAGAATGATTCCATCTCAAAAAAAAAAAAAAATGCTGATACAACCAGAGTATGTTCCATCCATGTGATAGAGTATACAGCTACTCAAACATCTTATTTTTGAAATTCCAAGACCCCAGTGAATGTCCAAAAACGATGAATAGTACCAAACCAGGTTGCCATCAATCGAAACATGCTTCCTGTTTGTGTCCTCCACCCACAAATTTAATGTCTTGTCCATCTCAACTAAGCACTTATCACACACTGTGGCTGTAACTTTTGCAGTTTGGGGTGTCACAACAAAACTAGCACAAATTTCTTTTTCCTTCTTCACAATTTCATGGACAAAAGATTTGTTCTTACCATAGATCTCAGCAACCCCAGTATATGATCTTTTTTCTTTCCTAAGTCAAAAACTCACCTCTTCACTTAAAGGAAGCACTATATGGCTTCTCTCTGGCATATGTGAACTGCCAGCATCACTATTCTTGCTCTTTGGTGCCATTTTAAATAAAATAAAGGTTACTTGAACACAAGCACTGCAATACTCCAACAACTGATCTGATAACTGAGATGGCTAGTATGTAACTAGCGGGTGGGGAGCACATACAGCATGAATATGTTGGACAAAGGGATGATTCGTGTCCTGGGTAGGACGGAGCAGGAGGCCGTGAGATTTTTATCATGTTATTCAGACCTGTTTGCAATTTAAAACTCATGAAATGTTTATTTATATAATCTTCCATTCAATATTTTTGGACCACGGGTGACGCAGGTAAGTAAAACCACGTAAGGCAATACTGTGGATAAGAAGGGACTACTGTACCAGCAACGAACAATCAGAAAATGAAATTAAGAAAGCAATTCCATTTACAATCGCATCTAAAAGAAAAAAATGCCTGGGAATAAATGTAAACAAGGAGGTGAGAGACTTGTATGCTTAAATTACAAAACCTTGCTCAATGCCAGGCTAACACCTGCAATCCCAGCACTGGCGACAGAGCAAGACTCCGTCTCAAAAAAAAAAAAGAACTATAGCAATCTTAACAAAAATAATACACAACAGTCAGGACAGCACATAAAGGAACAAGGCCTGTTCCCCCCTTCCTTTTTTTTTTTTTTTTTTTGAGATGGAGTCTTGCTCTGTCGCCAGGCTGGAGTGCGGTGGCTCGATCTCAGCTCACTGCAACCTCTGCGTCCCGGGTACAAGCTGGGACTACAGGCGCATGCCACCATGCCCAGCTAATTTTTGTATTTTCAGTAGAGATGGGGTTTCACCATGTTGGCCAAGATGGTGTCGATCTCTCGACCTTGTGATCTGACTTCTTCCGCCTCCCAAAGTGCTGGGATTACAGGCATCAGCCACCGAGCCCGCCAGTTCCCCCTTTTCAAAATGAAGAAATAGATTCAAGGTACAATGCCAAAACATAATAGAAAAATAATTCCATTACCTTCTTTGCTTCCAACTATGTTAAAACATAATAGAAAAATAATTCCATTACCTTCTTTGCTTCCAACTATGTTATTAAAGTAGACAATCTTAAGATAATTAAACAACTTTACAAATTATTCTTCTATATGATCTTTTGCCTCTAACCTGCTCACTTTACAAGGGAACTGAAGCTCAAGCAGGCAAATGCCTTGTTTAAAGATATACAGCTAGAAAGGAGCACAGCCCATGTTATGTAAACAGGACAATATCTGATGCAAGCAGTACTTCTTTACATGACAGCAGATGTCACTATAAGCAAATACCTGAATTCACTTAAGCTGTCAAATATCAAGAACTGATGCAGGGCTGAAAACAGGAACAGTAAGACCCTAAGAGATGCCACATCATCGCTATCTTGCACAGTAAGATAGAGATGTAATTGTAATTGTCCAAAACTTAATATTTGTGGCCTACTTTTTCATTATGCAGTTCTAAATTTCTCTCTCTTTTTTTTTTAATTCAAACGGAGTCTCACCCTGTCGCCCATCTTGCACAATCAAATGAATCTCCCTCCCCCTAAAATCCTCCAAAAAAGCTGCTGTTCTCAACAAACCCATCTGATCAGCTCCAAATCTGTGGAGTCCCAACAAGGGTGAAGGCCGTGATTATACAGGACAATGAGGAAAAGTCTAGATACTGAACCATGAGTTCCCCAATCTTCTTCCCCTGGAACATAAGGGTAAGGAAATCTCTCAAAAGGCAGAACAAACAAAAGAGGAGAATAAGAGAAAAATTAGAGAAACTCCAGCTTTCAGGTAAACATCATTAAAAAAAAGGGTAAGAAATGGTTAAAGAAATAATACAAGAAATGCTACAGAACTGAAAGAAATGAGTTTCCCAATTGAAAGGACACTTCCAGAAAACCTTTAAGTTACCAAGAACAAGAATCTCATGGGACTCCTAACAACAGAACTTCTAGAAAATGAAGCAATGCTTTCAAAATTGCGAAAAAAATTATTTGAAACTCAGAATTCGATAACCAAATGATCAACTAAATTAAGTAAAGATGTTTTAAAGACATACCATTAGTTTCTAGACCAGCCTGACCAGTATGGTGAAATCCCATCTCTACTAAAAATAGAAAAAATTAGCCGGGCATGCTGGCGCACACCTGTAATCCCGCTACTCGGGAGGCTGAGGCAGGAGAATCACTTGAACCTGGGAGGCGGAGGTTGCGGTGAGCTGAGACCATGCCACTGCACTCCAGCCTGGGCAACAGAGCAAGACTCTGTCCCATAACAAAAACAAACAAAAAAACCTCTCATCCACTTTTCCTCAAAGCAAGTGAGACTATGCTACACCAAAACAAAGAAAGTAAATGAAGAGGACATGAGATACAAGAAACAAAGGGTCTAACTCAGAAAAAAGATGAAGGGAATTCTCAAACTGGTGATAAAGGGAAGTCCCAAGAGCACAGCTGTGTAGCAAAGAGGAAGAAAAACCAATCCGGGTTGGAGAAGTTGGTTAGTAAGGGTATTCCAGGTAGACAGACAATCAATCAATCAATCAGTGTTTTAAGCTGAAATTGATGGGATTATCTGACCAGTTTGACCACATTTGAGGGTTTAAATTGCTGAGTTTAAGTAAGCAAGTAGTAACACAACATACAAGCAAACCAAAAAATAAAGCAATTATTCAGTCCAGGAAAACGTGGGTGCAGCACACCAGCATGGCACATGTATACATATGTAACTAACCTGCACAATGTGCACATGTACCCTAAAACTTAAAGTATAATAAAAAAAAAACAACAAAAAACTGCACAACAAGGGCAATTCAAATGCAAAAATATTTACCTTCTATTTATATAAATGTTAACTATTCATTTAAACAAAAACTGCAGTAACAGTACTGAAAGAATGAGGGGCAAACCAAAGTGTCTGAGGACAGTTTTGGAGGAGCATAATAGCCAGTACAGAATGTCTAAAATGGGGCCGGGCGCGGTGGCTCACGCCTGTAATCCCAGCACTTTGGGAGGCTGAGGCGGGCGGATCATGAGGTCAGGAGATCGAGACTATCCTGGCTAACACGGTGAAACCCCGTCTCTACTAAAAATGCTAAAAAATTAGCCGAGTGTTGTGGCGGGTGCCTGTAGTCCCAGCTACAGGCTGGGGCAGGAGAATGGCGTGAACCCCGGAGGCAGAGTTTGCAGTGAGCCGAGATCGCGACACTGCACTCCAGCCTGGACGATAGAGCGAGACTCCGTCTCAAAAAAAAAAAGAAAAGAAAAGAAAAGAAAATGTCTAAAATGGGAGAAAGGGAATTAAAAATAACAAAAGTATATATGTGTGTTACTCAGAAGTATGAAGTATAGATGTAAAGGGCAGAAAAAACAACTAACAGCTGTCAAAGGTGCCTGCCTGTAGTCCTAAGTACTCAGCAGACAGAGGTAGGAGGATCATTTATGCCCAAAAATTTGATGGGCAACACAGCAAGACCCTATTCTAAAAAAAATACAAATAAAAATAAGAGCTGTCAAGTAGACTTTGAGAAGTAGGAATCAGCTGCAGAATAAGAAACCGACTTGACAGAACATAGAAAAACTAAACAGAAGCCATCTGGAAAAAGAAAAACTAGAGAAAGAATTATATTTTTTTTCTTTTTTTCTTTTTTGGAGACAGAGTCTCGCTCTGTCACACAGGCTGGAGTGCAGTGGCGCAATCTCTGCTCACCACAACCTCTGCCTCCAGGGTTCAAGCAATTCTCCTGTCTCAGCCTACCGAGTAGGTGGGACTACAGGCGCTGCCACCACGCCCGGCTCATTTTTGTATTTTTAATAGAGACGGATTTTCACCATATTGGTCAGGCTGGTCTCTCGGCCTCCCAAAATGCTCGGATTACAGACGAAGAATATTTTTAAGAAGGGCAAAAGCACATGTGAGGGAGTAGAAAAATGGCAAAACAAGAGGAGACTAACAAATGAAAGCGCAATGGAAGACTAGAAAGATATGATATACAGACGCATCATCACACTCCAAAACTCCGACATTCTAGAAAGCATGGGCAGTTCACAGATGGCCAGCCTCTGCCAAACTGGGGGAGAATACTAACCTCTTCATATTCTTCACAGCCACTGCCTCTTCTCCCTCCATTCTTTACCTTCTATCCAAAGCACCCTGTTTTGTCATTTCACTCAAACCTAACTTCACAGAATAGCTTCACATGTTCCAGTTACTCACTAGTTAATCCATATTCCGCTGAAATCCCCAGGTTCTAATGTAAATGACTTTAAATTTGGGGGAAAAAAAAGACTCTAAATGTAAGAGAGGTGTCATAATAACCAATCGTCAAAATTCTGCCACCACTCCACTTTATTTAATGGAGAAGTTATGTAGTTGAAAGAACATTCTAACTTCTGTCTAGACCAGTGGTTTTTAATCTTTTGGAAGCCAAGGTCCCCACTAAGAATCTCAGAAAGGCTCCAAACTTGCTTTTTTTTTTTTTAAGCTTGTTTAAAAAAAAAAAAATCAGGCTGAGCAGAGTGGCTCACACCTGTAATCTCAGCATTATTTACATGTAAAGAGGAAAAATACCCTTAAAACATCTGTGGAAAAGGTTAAAAATTGCAAGCCATACTAACGATTTGTAAGAACTTTAGAATTTTTTTTTTTTAAGCAAAGGCAGCTACCAAAGTGTTCCGGGCGGGGAGGGGGGCGAGGGAGGTGAGTATGAGGAGTGGAGTGGAGCTGGACCCTTACAAAGGGACAGCGACAAACACCTCATACTCAAAACAAGGGGACTTTCCGTGTCATTTGCGCCGTCGGGCCATTGCAAATGTCCGCGCTGAGATGCCTACCTTGTCACTCGACGCAGCCGCCAAAGCTCACCCGGAGCTGCGTCAGTCCCCACTGGGTTCCTCCAGGCCAAGGAGGTACGACCTCCGCCGCAGCATATAAAGTAAATGTCCAGGAGATGGGAAGAAACCCGCCGATACAGCACCCGGGTGCCCAAGCCCCCGAGAACTAGGCCGCGCGGGTACTACGGGGTGCGCGATCGGCCAGAAAGCCCGGGCCAGGACGGGCCCAGGAGCGAGCACCGTCGGGAACAAGCGTCGGGAACAAGCCGGGATTAAGAGGAAGCGCCGGCGCCAACGGTCTCCCGCCCGCCGCGGTCCCCCCAGGACTCTTCCTGCGCTTGCAAGCGCCACGCCGCCCACAGGACTGCGCCAGCCGGCCGGCGCCTCAACAGAGCGCGCCACGGAGCAGCGCCCCTCGGGAGACATGACGCCTGAGCCATCGAGGCGGCCGCCGCCGCCGCCCCCCCCCTCCCCCCCCGGCCGGGTCGAGGCCGCCGTCGCTCTCTTCGAGACCCACTCACCTGTCGAGGCGACGGGGTGAGACCCAGCACCGAGGCGACGTACCGCTCCACATCGGCCTTGCTGCGCCTCATCGCGCCGCCAACCTGGCTCCCGAGACGCGTGCGAGCACCGCTCAGCCCCGCAGCAGTCGCCACTTCCAAGAGGAAAGTGCCTGCAAGCCACTGAAGCAGCGGCGTAGCCGGCGGAGGCCCACTGTGACGAGCGTGCGGCGCCGCCCACGGAGGCCCACTGTGACGAACCTGCGTTCTGCCTCAGCACTGTGTATCCTCGGCGACGTCGGCGCTCCAGCTGCACTCGGCCGGGCTCGTGGCGCCGCCCTGTGGTCTGAGGGTGTCTTGACATGATCTTATCTATAGAAAACCTTAATGAAACCTCGAAAAAAAAAGACCTAAACTATCAGTGATAATAAATGAGTTCAAAGAGATTGTACCATACGAGGTCAACTAAAAAAATGAGATGTCTACTTATACACCAGCAAGGAACAATTCAAGTAAAATTAAGTAAACAATTCCATTTATAATATTATCAAAAATAATAAAATAATTATGAATAAATTTAACCCAAAAGTGTAAGACTTGTAGACTGGAAACTACAGAACACTGTTGAAGGAAATTAAAGAGGAGCTAAATCAATGGAAAGACATCCTGTGTTCATTAATTGGATGTAAACATGTCTACACAAAAACTTGTATACAGGCCAGGCATAGTGGCTCACGCCTGTAATCCCAGCACTTTGGGAGTTTTTGATGGGAGGATCACTTGAGTCCAGGAATTTGAGACCAGCCTGGGCAACACAGCGAGACCCCCATCTCTACAAAAAAGAAAAAACAAAAACAAAAGAAAACCTATACATGAATGTTTATAGCAGTACTATTTTTATTAGTAAAAGGTGGAAACAATCCAAATTTCCATCTACTGAAGATGGATTTTTAAAATGTGGTATTATTGGGCACAGACACACGTGCCTGTAGGCCCAGCTACTGGGGAGGTTGAGGCAGGAGGGTCGCTTGAGCCGGAGAGTTTGAAGCTGCAGTTTGCAGCTGCAGTGATGCTCCTTGATCCATGCAGGAGCTGTGATCAGGCCTGTGAAGAGCCACTAAACTCCAGCCTGGGCGACATAGTGAGATCTCTGTCTCAAAGAAAAATGTGGTATAGCCATACAATAGAATATTACTTTTGCATAAAAAATAATGAAGTACCAATGCATACTACAACATGAATCAGCCTTGAAAACATTATTCTAAATTAAAGGTGCCAATCACAAAACCTCATATATCATTTCATTTATATGAAATATCCAGAGTAGGCAAACTCAAAGACACAGAAAGTAGACTAGTGATTGCCAAGGGCTGGGTGGAGGGGAAATCTGGGAGTGCATGTGACTGCCAACGTGAATGGAGTCTCTCGTTGGGGTGATAGAGATATTTTGGAATTAGATTTTGGGGAAGGCTGTAAAACATTGCAAATTTACTAAAAAAAAAAAAATCATTGAATGAAATTAAATCCTATGGAGATGATAGGTATTTTCATTTTGGCCAGGCAATCTACCTGATTAGGTTCAAGCCACAAGTTCCCACCCCTCCATTCTGCAGTCTGGTTCCAAAGTCAGTTCAGTGTCCAGAGTCTTCACAGGACTATTCAGTTCTGTCTGACTTGTGCACCACCCAGTGGCCAGTTGTGTCTGTGGGTGATGGTCTCTCAGTTCAGCTGTCAATCTTTGGTGTGTTGAACAGGACGAGATCTATGCAGGAGCAGCTCAAGAATGAGCCCTGGGGTTTATAGACAGGTTAATGGGGTTGCTTCACTGATTAACTCTCTCTCAGCAATTACCCTGTTGCTTTCATTTGCTGAGGCTTCTCTTTTTAGTCTTCCAAGCAGAAAACAGGCTTTCGGTATCTGGCTCTACCATGCATTTCTACATCTGAAGCCAAGCAGTGGGAGGACTGAATTGGAAGAGAAGCAACATGGATTGTTTCTGCCCTCTTGGGACCACAGCTCTGTCAGTTGGAGAAGGTTCCCTCCTGCGTCTTGGCTCCTGGGCTCCTCTTGGGGCTGGTGCCAGTGCCACTGTGGGACTGCTTGTGGGCTGAGGTATGAGAGAACAGGGAAAAGAAAAATGGGGAGGAACGAACTTCTGGATTCCCTCGGAATGTTAGGAGACCCTTTTCCCGTTACTTGAGCCAGAAATAGAGGGCATCTTCTGGAGCTCTTTCTATCTGCACCCTGGTGCCCACTGCCAGGTTAGTCACGGGATGCCATAGGGGAAACATGGTTATCTCACCACCGGTTTGGTGGTACTTCAAGTTCTGGTCTTCTTGGGAAAGCTGCCTGCAACTATTTAGTTTTCAATGTCTTCCAATAGCTGCTCCATGCATTCTGTACTGTCTCCTGGCTGGACTCCATGCAGGAAGCCTGTCTCCTCCACAGTGTGCACTCACTCAGGTCATTGCTAAGTTTTATTGTTGGCATTTGTTTGCTTTAATTTTTCAGACTGACTCCCTAGAGGTCGCTTCTTGTTTGCATAGTTCGTCAGTCAAACATCAGTTAAAGCCAATATGGTTTCCACCATCTGCTGCTGGATCTATGTGCAATGGGGAGGAGGCACGCCCCGGGCCATTTGCAAGGGTGTTCCGGCTTTTACTTCCTAACACTGGCACCGGCACACACACAGGCTGTGTGCCCTGGGCATATGGACATGGCTTGGGCTTGCTCTAATCTCTGCCAGCTATGAGCCTTCAGTCCATTTGGGTAGTGTGAAGAGTTTACTAAGCTCCCTCTGGCTCTCCGACCTCCCGGAGCTCCCTCTTACATCCATGACTAATCTGCAGGTCGTTTGCTCGTCTCCAAAGGCCCAGAGCCTCAGGCTAGGAGTCAGTGGCCTTTCTTCCTCCTGGTCACTGATATCACCACCTTAACTAGCCATGCTGCAAATCAAAACCTTCCTCACTCTTGCCTCCAGCCCCTGCAGCGAGGTGGCAGGGGAGCTTATCTCCACAGGCTGCCCTGCTGGGGGCCGCTGTGTGTGTTATCAACAGCTGGGGTAAATGGGGGTAGCAGCCTGGGCAAAGATGCCACGGACACAGGCTGGTCTTATCCAAGGCTCACTTTAATTCTTCTTTTTTTTCTTTAGGGACAGGGTCTGTCTCACTCTGTTGCCCAGGTTGGAGTGCAGTGGTGTGATCACAGCTCACTGCAGCCTCAATCTCCTGGGCTCAAATGATTCTCCCGCCTTAGCCTCCCATGTAGCTGGGACCACAAGTGTGCACCACCATGCCTTTTTTGATTTTTTTTTTGTACAGACGGGGGTCTCACCAAGTTGCCCAGGCTGTTTTTGAACTCCTGAGCTCAAGTGGTCCTTCTGCTTCAGCCTCCCAAAGTGCTGGGGTTACAGGCGTGAGCCACCGCGCCTGGCCAGCTTTCATTCTTAAACACATCCCCATTTGTGCCGTGCCTTTGGTAAAATTGCAGAATGCTAAATGGTTTGTCCAGCTATACAGTTACATTTTGGAAAGATTTGTTGACCTCCTCACTTCATCATGCTAGAAGTGGGAACTTTGATTACTCTTTAAAGAATCTGAAGATGAAGGGAAGACCAACGCATAATTTGAGAGAATGGCAAGACTGAGAAAGGTTTCTGTAGCATGGTGCATGCATGTGTGTGTGCGTGTGTAGGGAGAGGCAAAGGGTTCTGACAAGAGGAAGAGGCTGAGGAAGCAGGCTCATCTCCACAACATGCTGCTGCCACCCAATCATAGGGTCTCTTGCAGCAATTCCAGTCCTGATCTCACAAACCTCATACCCTAACTACGGTCCCCCTAATTGGGGTCCCTCCTCAGAGCTTTCCTAAGGCTCCCTAACTTTTCCCCTCACCTCGGTTGAGGCCTCCATGGTTTGGACTTGCTGGTTTTGCCTTGCTCTTCCCTTGATAAATACACCATTTATTCCGGTTCAGCCCTTGGAACTTTAAACCTTAACCCAAGCCTCCTCCACCCCACTATATTAGCCCAAGCCTAGAGTATCAGATCTGGATATTTGGGTAAAGATGCAGACAAATTTTGAGTTGGAAAAGAAAGAACTTAACTCATTACTAAAAGATGACCTTGATAGCTATATATATGGGAAACAAGAATGTATCAGGAAGTTAATCCTTTGCTCACACTACACCTGGTGCATGTAATTCCATCTCTGAGTTTTCCCCTTATTATTATTATCTTTTTTTGAGATGGAGTCTCACCTTATTGCCTAGGCTGGGGTGCAATGGCACAATCTTGACTCACTGCAACCTCCGCCTCCTGAGTTCAAGCGATTCTCCTGCCTCAGCCTCCCGAGTAGCTGGGAGGCTCAGACACAACCTCCTGGGCTCAAGTGATCCTCCCACCTCAGCCTACCTAGTGGCTGAGACTACAGGAATGTGCTGCCCTGTCCGGCTTGTTTTTGTTGTTTTAATTTTTATTTTACTTCCCAGGACTCTAAAAGACTTGCTGACCTATTAACACACAAACTAGTGCCCACTTCCCTACTCCCCATCTTGTCACTTTGTCCCCACCCAGTCCCTTGCTACCCCTCCCATCCCCTCAGTGTGACTAAGTTGCTGGAGGTACCCTGCCCCATCCTTAATTTCTTGCCCCAGGCCCTGCTGGGCCCCCCGTCTCTGCCCTGCCTGCCTCAGCTCCCCTCTGTCTCTCGGCCTTTTCACCTCCATGCTCCCAGCCTCACATCCTTGGAGCCAAGTTTGCCTCTCACAAAGCATGGCCCCCTACGGTCCCCAGCACCGCTGGTGCCAGGGCCATCCTGCCCCGCCATTGTGTCCTCACATTCCCCAACACTGAACTCAGGTTTCCCCTGGGGGGCTGAGCTGTCTTCCCTCAGTCACGCCTTCCTCCCCATGCAGGCTCATCCAGTCCCTCTGCCCTGCTCCAGTACCCTCTCCCCACCTTTCACCGTGGATCAGGCCCACAAGGTCACCTAGGGACGTTTTATATCCAAAGTAACATGACAACATCTCCTCCTGCACTGTCTAGTCACATGCTCTGAGGTCAACAGTGGTGCGTCCACTAATAACACATTTCATACTATTCAGCACAACTCACAACCCTGCAAACATAGATTAAAGGAAAAATGCCGGAATATGGGACGGATGGCTAAGCATTCTAATTTGAATGAGCACATTTAAAACTACAAGGGAAAACTATCACTAGGTTCACCTCAGAGGACATCTGGGTTTTCTTTCAAGGAAATGAGCAACTGGACACACTGAGACCCTCCTTCTGGGTTAAGGGCCCAGCATGCTTCCCCTGGGCTGCCTACCATATGCTGTTCTCCTCTCCCTGCTGTTCCTCAGTCTGACACACACACCTGCAGTGGTGGCCTGGTGAAGGGATGCACTTGCCTCCTCGGCACGAAAGGAAGATGGGCAAACAGGAATCCCACAAATGGCACCGTCAAAGTAAGAAGTGCGGCAAAATGAACTGAGGGCAGGTGCTGTCATTCGGCAGTCTGTGATTCTAAGACCTAAGACCAGGATTGCTTTTGAGACTGGAGTGAAACAGCAAAGACAGAAGACAAGAGTGACTCTGAGGCCTTTACTTGGCTTCCACACTAAAATGCCTTAGCCCCAGGAATCAGCTTCTCTTTTCTTCCTCTTCATATTTAGATGGTGAGAGAGGTAGCGTTTAAGACATACATTAGGGCCCCAGATGAGGGCCAGGAACAGGCTGGACCAAGACTCAGACAGCCCAGCTCCATGGCAACCTGATGGCCCCTGTGGGGGTGGACAGGTATCGGGTTCATTCTTTCTCAGGGCGACTTCAGCTCTTGGAAGGGAGGGTTCTGGTTAAGCCTCGGGTGGGATAGTTATGGTGAGTGACAGTTGCTAGAAGAACACTGTGACAATTTCTGTTATTTTCAATTGATCCAGTCTCTTGCCCACCACACAGACTCCTTGATGGAAAGCCCTTCAGGAATAAGAAAGGGTTCAGGTTCTCAGGGTAAAACAGGCTTTGCAATTCTCTAATTTGCTAATTGTCAACTTCTGAAGACTGTGTTTCCTCATGGTAGTAGGAGCTAGTATGAGTAATTTACCAGAGTGAAACAGGCGAGATTCCATGCACCTGCGGAAATACAGCCTGAGTTCCAGCACCTCCTTTCTTGAATTCTTGGATTTCTTCCTCAGCTCCTTTCCCAAGTCAGTTCATCTCTGACTTAACCCGCAACGGGCATCCAAGGGAATTATTCCAAGAAGTGTCCTCCCCATCACTCTTTACTGGTTTTTTGTTTCCTTTTTGATGTTGTTGTTTTTGTTTTGACACAGCACACAGCGAAACTGCTGCAGGAAGCAGAAGGATGTGTGTGACATATCATCACCTTCCATTTTGCATTAATAAACATCACCCAAAATTTGCCTATCCGCTGCTAAAATAAAGATCCAACAGAATAGAAACTCAACAGGAAAACTCACTGTCACTAAGGCCAACAAAAGACAAACTGGAGAAATACTAGTCATAAATACAGAAAATAAAGGATGGGTGAACAAATTGAGATCCGGCTTGCTGGGCGTCATGTGGAGACCGTGTGCAGGAAGAGCCAAGACACCAGAGCCGGGGGGGCTCCGGTGATCCCTGCCGCTCTCTGCATCCTGGGCTCATGGTTGGGGCCTGTCCCCCTCCAGCTGGTAGTGCCATCCTCTCTGTGCCCTACCAAGCTCACCAGTAAACTGCAGCTACAGGGCACATAGCATGGAAGAGGGTGACTTCGGGCAAGGTCTCTCCGGCTGGGGTGGGCCCAAGGAAACCTCCCTGAACGGAGGTGGCAGGTGGGGGACCCGCAGGACATCACTGTCACCAACGCCCCATTGTGATGCACCCACCTGCTGCCCCTGCCCTCGCATGCAGACCCCTGTGGCCCCCTGGACACCTGCGAGGTCCTGAAGCCTAGCGAGGCAGCTGCCCTGAGGCCTGAGCCTCTGCAGGGACCAAGGAACATGCCATGTACGTGACAAAACCTTTCCCTAAAGAAAGTGTCCCGTCCACCCCTTGAGGTTCTAGAAAACATTTCTTAAGACCCATTGAATGGAAGGACAAGATAAAAGGAATTGAATTTAAAACAGAGAATGAAATACTGGAGCTTGATTTCACTGCAGAGGAAAAACTGAGTCCCAGAGAATGAAGTTGTTCCCATCTGTGCGTCTTCACCTGGCTAAAACGAAGAGCTGGGCCTGCGCCCAAGGATGGGTCTCCACGTGGTCCTGAGAAATCACAAAGTGTGGGTAAAATATCCTCCCCAGAATGCCCCCAAAGAGATCCACTTGCGATGGGATCCCTTCCTAGGGAAAAGTAGCCGCGCTCACGCTGGTAAGCCAGCTAAGCTTCTCCGCAAATGCTCCCCATGGCTGACAGCCAGAGGAAGCCCATGGCCCCCTGGCCCCAGGGACCTCCTGCCATTCCCCATTCCCCTATTCAACAGCCTCCTCACAAACCACTAGCAAGCCCAGATCTCCTTGTGTCTCTACCTTCACCTTTCCAGAAGGGCATCTAAATAGAATAGTGCAGCCTCTTCTCTCCACCACTCTCACTTGGTCATATACATTGAAGGCTCACTCCTGCCTTTGAGCGACTTGACAGCTCATTCCTTTTCATCGATGAGTAGTATTCCATTGTGTGAATGTGCTTCAGCTTGTTTTTTATTCACCTATTGAAGGACATCCTGATTTAAAGTGTCTGGAAACTTAAATATCTGAATAGAGGGTGCTGTACATAACTGCATGTTTTTTTGTTTGGACATAAGTTTTCAAAGCAGTTGATGACCCAGGAGCACAGCTGCTTTCTTAGACCATATGGTGAAACTATGTTTAGCTTTGAGACAAAACTACCATTGGCACTGCCAGTGGCTGTACCATTATGCCTTCCACCCGCAGTGATAAGCTCCTGTTGTTCCTAATCCTCCATAGCAATTGCTATTGTCATTTTTTTATATTTGAGTTGTTCTAAGAGAACCAATAGGAATTTTATATTTATATACTTATATATATTTACATATATATACACACATATCTCTATATAGAGAGAGATATTTGTGCCCAGTGCAGTGGCCCACGCCTGTAATCCCAACGCTTTGAGAGGCAGAGATGGGTGGATCGCTCAGGAGTTCGAGACCAGCCTGGACAACATGGTGAAACAGCGTCTCTACAAAAAATTAGCCAGCGTGGTGGTGCACACTTGTGGTCCTAGCCCCTCGGGGAGGTGAGGTGGGAAGATTGCTTAAGCCCAGGAAGTCAAGGCTACAATGAGCCGAGATGGCGCTGCTGCACAACAGCCTGGGCAACAGAGCCAGACCCTGTCTCAGAAAAAAAAAAAAAAAGAGAGAGATTTATTATGGGAATTGACTCCCATGATTATAGAGGCCAAGAAGTCCCACAGTATACTGCCTGCAAGCTGGAGAACCAGGAACACCAGTGGTATAACACACAAGCCTGAAGACCTGATAGTCAAGTGGGGAGCCACTGGTGCAGTCTCAGAGTCCAAAGGCTTGAGAACCAGGAAGGACAGAAGACGAAAGCTGCAACTCAAGGAGAGAGAGACTGCATTGTTCTATTTGGGCCCCCAGTGCATCGGATGGCACTCACTCACACTGGTGAGCATGGCCCATCCTCAGTCTACCCATTCAGTGCTCATCTCTTCCAGAAACACCCTCACAGCCACACAGCTACCTCACTGTTGTTGTAACTTGCAATCCCCTGATGACATATGCTATTGAGCTGCTTTTGGTAATGCTTATTTGCCATCTTTATATATTCTTGGTGAGGTGTCTGTTCAGATCATCACCCATTTTTACTTGGATGGTTTGTTTCCTTCTGGTTGAGTTTTACTTTCTTGGTATACTTTGAATAACAGTCCTTTTTTAGTAGATGTTTTCCAAATATTTTCTCCCAGTATGTGCCTTGCCTTTTCATTCTCCTAATGGGGTCTTTTATGGAGTAGACATTTTCAGTTTTAATAAGGTCTACATTATCATGTTTTCCTTTCCTGGATTGGCTTTTGGTGCTGTGTATAAAACCTCATCACCAAATGCAAGGTCAGGTAGATTTTCTTCTATGTTCTATCCTAGAATTTTTACAGTTTTCTACTTTAAATTATAAGTCTATGAATAATTTTGTATGTATTTTTGTGTACGTTGTAAAGTTTGTTTGTACATTCGTTTTATCCCACAAGGTAATCTGGCTGTTTCATCACCATTTATGGAAAAGACTCTTTTCTCCACTGAGCAGCTTTGCTCTTTGACAGAATCAGTTGGCTATATTTATGTTGGTCTATTTAGGGGCTCTCTGTATTGTTCCATTTGTCTGTGTGACCATTTCTTCCCCAATGTTACACTCTCTTCAGAGATTTATAAGTCTTGGAATCTGGATGTGTGAATTCTTCATCTTTGTTCCTCCTCAGTCTTATATTGTCTATTTTAGGTTTAGAAACATTTTATTGGTGTCTTTGCTGGGATTTTGATTGGAATTGCACTGGGTCTATAGATCAAGTTTGGAGGAATTATTTATTTAGCTTTTGTCTAATTTTTTTTCCAACTGTGTTTCAAAGTTTTCTGAATGCACATTTGTACATATTTTGTTAGGTTTATACAAGGACTCAATTTTGGGGGTGCTATTGTAAATGATTTTTCTTTCATTTCAAATCAGATTTCAATTGTTGTTTACTGACATGTAGGAAATCAATTAACTTGTATTATTGCCCTGTTACTTTGATTCTTATATGCATCCATTCCGATCAAGATACGGAATAGCCGGCTCCATTTCAGTTTGAATTTCCAAAATTACCGCGTGGCATAATCTGTACACTGAATTTCAGTGACGCATAGGCGCAGCCGTGAAGGACAGTCTGTGTATTAGCAAAAAAAAAAAAAATATATATATATATATTAAGGCAAGACTCCAGAAAAAGAAAAAACACAGGCATGAACCAAGCACTAACCAGTGTGCCTCAATGTTTTACTTGAGGGAAATGATCTGTATGTTGCCCCCACCCCCGGCCAGGATGCTGCCAAAGGACCTGGATAGTGAACTCTGCACTTCTCTAAAAAAGATGGCTCTCAAGAAGGTGGAAACCTAGGATGACAGCCAGGAAAAGGTTGGAACCAGAGGTGGGGTCTTTATTGGGCTGGGAGCAGACTAAGTTGTACCCAGTAGCTGGCAATCAGGATCAAGGAAGAGGCTACAAAGTCAGATCACAGTAGAGATCTGGGATACACACAGAGGTCAAGGAAAAGCAAGGTTCGGAAACCAGCAATGCAGCCTGAACCACAGGCAGAAAGCCACAGCAACACTAAGATCTGATGCTTCTAAGTTTTCTGCTGGGGGCTGGAGCCATCCACAAGGTAAGCCAAGCCCACAGTCCACAAGTGGAATCAGGTCACTGTCCTCAGGAAGTAGGACGACAAGGGTTAGGAATTACTCACTGGGTACAATGTCTGTCACTCAGGTGACGGAAACCCTAAAATCCCTGACTTCACCACTATGCAATCTAAGCAAGTTACAAAATTACACTTGTACTCCATACATTTATACAAATATTTTAAAAAAGAAAAAGTCTTGATACAGAGGCCCATTTTCTCTAACCAGGAAGGAGTTTCCAAACTACAAGTCAATTCTTTCTAAAAGCACCTCTCTCTCCTTCACTCAGATCTGGAGACAGAAGAGGATGCCTCTGGGCAGCCAACCCAAGCAGAGCTGGGCAAGCGAGAAAATCGCCACCATGTCAGTGACCACCTGCTCACCCAGGCACTTCCTCCAACAGAAGACCTTCTGTTGAGCCTCCACCCTGCATCTGGCCTTCCTGAACGTCCCCTGACCTGCACCCCCTCATCATCTGGCTTAGGAACCATTTGGCCTCTGACCCACCCATGTTCTATATTCACAGACAAAAGAATAGGGAGACTGTGGATTAGGATCACAGGGCCTCTATAATTAACTCTGATTCACCTGTCACACTTTCTGACACACAGAACCATTGGGGGAAAACTCTTCTGATTTATTGAGGGTTGAGTATAAGGTACTGTCATAGGTTAGCTGTGAAAATTCACTTAATTCTCACACAACCCCATGCGTTAGACAGGATAGTGTCCCCATCCTCACTTTATAGACATGAAAATAAAAAAATCAGATTCAAGTGAGTGGCATGGTCAGAAGTAAACTCACATTTGGCCTCTGGTTGATCAACAGTTCTCAGTAGGCAGCCTCTGTAGAGGAATTATGTCTCTTAGGGATAAAACTGAGATGTAATCTCACAGAAAGCTCTTGTGTGTTTTTTAAATTCCTTTAAAGAAAAATTTGTATTGATAGTTCTTCCCTTGATTTAGGGATTTTTTTTAATATCTGGTTTCTTGAAAAGCTTTTTAAGAGGATCTGCCAAATTACATAAGCATTTCTAGTTTTTCTTAATTTTAATTCTCATTATGAGATTTTCTCATCAAAAATAATTCAGATAGTTCTAAAAACGTCCTATAAGTAAACAATGTCAGGAAAAAGTGAGATATGTTGAAATACGAACAAACGAATGAATGAATGGACAAACTTCAGAACAAACTATCTAACTGCAGCAAGAACTGGGACTGGAAACACCTAACCAATGACAGCCCCATAGTGGTTTCTGGATGCTAAATATAGACAAGGTCCAAATTCCCAAAGTCTAACTCTGGCTTTATCACACATACTTGGCAAAAGAATGTTATCCTGATAAAGCCCTCCTGTCTGGCCATGCTTAAGTAAATGTCCCAACATGGACTGTCTTCCACCTAGCTGCCAGGGGAAAATGGATCACTTCTGTACTCTTGGTGTCTAGCCAGACTATATTAAAAAGTCCTTCATCCTGCCTCAGCAACAAAAAGTGCACTGCCAACAGTTACGTTAAAGCTGTTGTGTGATAAATTTGAATATTGCATAATGGAGGGGAAAAAATCAAGGACTTACACTACAGCTATAAAAGGGATATGTGAAGCTATTTAGTCATGATTTTGTCATGGAGTAGTGACCTAGACAACTCAAATTCCAATTAATACTTGAAAAGCCCTTGGGACATAGTGTGATATGCATTCTTATAAAATGGCTCTTGGCTGGGCTTGGTGGCTCATGCCTGTATTCCTAGAACTTTGGGAGGCCAAGGCAGGCAGATCACCTGTGGTTGGGAGTTCAAGACCAGCCTGACCAACATGGAAAAACCCCATCTCTACTAAAAATACAAAATTAGCTGGGCATGGTGATGCATCCCTGTAATTCCAGCTACTCAGGAGGCTAAGGCAGGAGAATCACTTGAACCCGGGAGGCGGAGGTTGTGGTGAGCCAAGATCGTGCCAGATTGTGCCACTGCACTCCAGCCTGGGCAACAAGAGCAAAACTCCGTCTCAAAAAAAGGATAAAATAAAATAAAATGAAATAAAACGGCTCTTAAAATAATGCATTTGAATTCCTAAGTATTTATATACAACATTGCCCCCTTAATTTTATTTTAAGCTAAGAACAACGGTATTTTTCATTTAGCAGTTGTGCCTTGCTACGAGAAAGTCTATGTCAATCAGCCGGTTTGCAGTTCAGGCAAATCTAAGCTACCTGACTCCACTGTGCCATGAGGAAATGACAGACAAGAGAACGCCCTACAGGCACTGAGGTTTTCCTGGAGTACCTTCCAAACCATGGCCTGCATTGTGCTTATGACCTGGCCAGGTCACCGCAAGCCCCTGCTGGTCCAGGCAGTCAAGAAGGGACTCCACAGTGTCTTCACAATCACCGCACTTCTGCTTGGCACAACGGCTTTGCCAAGCTACCCTCTTCGTGCCCACCGTTTCCTCTGCTGCTAGAAACACTCACAAAGGAATAGAGTTCTTACAGTTCTCTGAGCTCCACCTCAGCGTCTGCTCATAATGGAAAACGGCTGCTGCCAGAGCCACTTCCACCCTCACGGAAGCGGGGTCACGGCTGCCTTTGGGAGTCTGAAGAAAGCTGTAGGCTCTCTTCTCAGGAAAGACAAAAATGAAAGAAAGGAACAGAAATGCAGAGACGATGAGAGGGATTCCCTGACCTCCAGGTTAAGGATCCTCAGCTTTACAAGGCTAAGGGAGGAAGAATGGAGGGGGTGGTGGAAGGAGAGGCAGAGAGGGAGAGAAGGGAGTACGGAGTGAGCCAGCTCCAGGGACCAGCCACTGAACAAAGTGCTGCCCTTGTCTCAGCCTGGAATCAGACGGTATGGGTTCTGGCTCAGGCTCGAGATTCCCAGTGAAAGCCACAAAGTTCTATGACTTCATCAAAAACGCTCCCTTGCCCACAGTGCCATTAGCTATTCCACGTGACCACACCAATCTTTCTGACCAAATATTCTCTCTCATTGATTAAACTATTCTACTACAAATTGTTGATGCCTTTGGGCATATACAGGATGGAAATAGCTTAGAAAAAAAAGTATTCTATTTAACAAAACTTTACAGTAATCGGTACAGTCCCTCATTTAGTCAATAAACACTCAGCGACCACATGCTATGTGTCAGGTCATATGCCAGGTACAATTAATAACAACTTAAAAAGTAATCATAGCTAAACACATTGTGCACTTAACTGTACTAAACACTTTACGCATATTAGCTCATTTAATCCTCACATTAATCCTTTGAGGTAGGTATTATTCTTTCTTTTCCACTATTCACAATAGACAAAATAGAGCTATCCACAGCTAGCTGGTGGCAGAGCAGGGGATCAGAACTCAGACTATCTGGTTCACAGTCTGTGTTCTTAATCATTACGGTTCCTGCCTTCAACCAACCCACACAACGAGGAGAAATGTAACAGTACCAAAAAGCACTGCTTGTGTTTGACAGTTCGACAGTGAAATGAACACAACCAGACTTGATCATTACACGTCGTATGCATGTAACAAAATATTATATTATACGTACCCTATAAAAATGTGCACGTATTATGCATCGTTTAAAAATAAGTTAAATCATAGAGTTAAATTTCTTAGAAAAAGAAAATGAACACAACCATAAAATATGCATAGGTATAAAATAGTTTTTCCATAAAAGGGGAATTCTGTTTGATGTCTTATTATACACATTGGAGAAATAAAATTTATTATGAAGGATTTATATAGATTGTCCAATTTCGTGTATCTTTATAATATCAAAAGTTCCATAAAGAGAATTCACTTTGAGAATAAAATTATTTTCAAAAAGAATAGCTTATAGATGTTAAGTGTTTTCATTGGTTGTCCATAGTACACCTCTTTATCCAAATATATTAGCATATTGCATATAAATTACTTTATTACCAAGAAATTCGGAAACTGAGTATATGAAATTATCAGTTTCTGTCTCAACTATTTTGAGATGGCAGTGAACAGACTAACTATGATTTGATGATAAACTAAAGAAAAATATCACGCTTTGTCGAATATAATCAATTTGGAATTGAAGAGTTAATTGTGATGCAATTACATACTTTCTTAAAACTAAAAAAAAAAAAGTCAAATTGACTATCAAAATGTCTTTAGCAGAAATATACTCACAGCTCTTTTTCAAAGCAAATGTACAAAATCTCCTACAGCCCCTTGCTGTCCAAGAGAGTCACATGACGTAAAACATCTTCCTCATCACCTCGGCCACACCAGTTCCCAATTCCATATGCTCACCTAACTGCACCCCTGTCCCCAAAGGCTCCAGTCTCCCTCAATCTTACCTCCCCTTTATGCAACATCATTTCCTCCCTGAGGCTCTTTCTTGGTCTTTCACTGAGCTCCCAAAATCCTAGATTCCAAAACCACTCTCAGCCTGTTACCATTCCCAAATCCAATAAGCAAACTATAGGACTTATGAACTCCAAAATAAATACCTGGGTCCCTACCCCAGGCACTCTGGATCCCCAGCTGATTCTGGGAAGCAGCTAAATTTGATAAGCCCTGGACTACACCACAGAAATAAGCATTTAGTTATAGGCATCACTTTCTCTGCTGTACATTGAGGGAGGTGGGCTGGAAAGATGATCTCTAAGGTTCCTTCCAGACAGATCTAACAGTCTAAGAGCCCAGACTCTATAGCTATTTCACAGATACTGGTTTCTCTCCACACAGACTCCATGCTTCTTCAGAGCAGGGGCCACATTACTTTTTCACTGTCCCCAAGCCAGCATGGTGTGTTATGCATAGAAGGAGCTCAATAAACTTGTGACTCGTGGGTTTCTATGACTGTGCCCGCTGACTGAGGGTAACTAGTAAGCTGAGCCTGGCACTGCTGTGGCAGGGCTACTTGGCAGATCTTGTGCAGACACTGAGTTACATCTTGCTCCAAAGGAACCTCCCACAAAGGCATCAAGATGTCAACACTGGATTTACTGTGGTCAGAAAACTGTAGAAATCAAACTCTTTCAAATTCTAGTATACCAAAATACAACAAGTTCTGACTTTCTGTTTATATGTTAAGGAAACCACAGAAAGCCCTCAGAGATAATGTATCTGGTTTGTAAGAATTATGATGCATACTGCCATAGTGTCATAAGAATTCCCATATCTGGCAGGGCGCCATGGCTCATGCCTGTAATCCCAGCACTTTGGGAGGCCGAGGTGGGCAGATCACAAGGTCAGGAGACTGAGACCATCCTGGCCAACAAGGTGAAACCCAGTCTCTACTAAATATACAAAAATTAGCTGGGTGTGGTGGCACAAGCCTGTAATCCCAGCTACTTGGGAGGCTGAGGCAGGAGAATCACTTGAACCTGGGAGGCAGAGGTTGCAGTGAGCCAAGATCACACCACTAAACTCCAGCCTGGCGACAGAGTGAGACTCCATCTCAAAAAAGAGAGAGAGAGAAAAGAAAAAAAGAATTCCCATATCTAAGAGAACCTAATGGTGAGAAGAACGTATCATGGATCTTTTTGCTGGAATGACAGTGGGGTGATCCAGGTAACAATTCAAGTCCAGGAAGTATATTAAATGGGCTTGAAACTATTACCAAGGTTATTCTACTGTTGAAAAAAGATGTTTCTAGCTGGTCTTCTGGAGTTGTCCAATGCCTGGCTACTAAACGTTCTTAACAAGAAAATCACCTTTGTTGAGATAATAGAAAAGCTAAGATTTATACGGAGAAACAACATTCCACACATTTATAAAGGACTTAATAGCTTGAATCATTTCTATCTGTTATGCCATTTAAATCTCTTACAACAGCCCTTAGAGTTAGGCAAGACACACATCATCTGCATTTTACAAATGAGAAAATGAAGCTTTGGAGAAGGTAAAAACCTACCCCACAGTGGAGCTGAAGCTCAACCCTAGGGCCTTACACTTCATCAGTGACCCCCTGAATGAGGGATTCTATAGAGGCAGCTGTATGATGTCTGGCCAAGAAAGTACAGGTGTGGGTGTGTGTTGTTTACTGTATTTTGCTTGTTTTGCTTTTCATCTGAATGTATTGAAGCAAGGTAGTAGAGCTTCAAATGGACCACAAGCCCCATCACATCCAACTGTGATACTGTTTCAGACATTTATTTGGTCTACTTGGCCCTGAAGGTATTTGAATTTTTGACCCCTGTGCTAAATAATTATACTTACATACTTATATAAATAATTATATCTTCCCATCATGTAACATCTTATGAGCATATTCACTGCATATTTTATTTCTTCCTTATAATCCTGTTTACTCATTAGAGGACTAAGCTAAAAAAATTGAATGACTTGCACAAGATCAGGACCTAAAATCTAAATGTGTCACATAAGAAATTACATTATGTGAGAATTTCTTAAGCAGGTGTCAAGTTAAAATTCTTCAGAAAATCATTACATAAAAGTTTCTGAACTTGAGTACTCAAGTACTCAAATCTCTTTTGAGATTTGATTATTCTTACTTACAGGACTATCATTCAGAGAATATGCAGAAACAATGCTTTCATGTTTCCATGGGCATGTCCTGAGAAAGTCATATTCCTTTATTTTTATCTCAAGTGTTCATGAACTTTCATTATCAAAGAAGAAAATAGGCAACTGTTTCTGAAAAAGGAAGTCATTCAACAAAATACTAGCAAAACAAATCCAGTGATATATAAAAGGATTATATACCATAACCAAGTGACATAGTCCAGGAATGCAAGGTTGGTTCAACATATAAAAATCAGTCAATGTATTAAAGTATATAAAAGTATATTAATAGATTAAAGTATATTAAAGTATTAATAGATTAAAACCCATATGACCATCTCAATACATGTAGAAAAGACTTTGACAAAAATCACACATCCTTTTGTGCTTAAAAACACTCAACAAACTAGGAACAGAAGGAAACTTCCTTAACCTGATAAAGGGCATCTATGAAAAACCAACAGATAATATCATACTCAACAGTGAATGACAAAGCTTTCCTTTCAAGATGAGAAACAAACCAAAGATGTCTACTCACTCCACTACTATTTAACATTCTCCTGGAGGTCCTAGCCAGGCCAATCGGGCAAGAAAAAAAAATTAAAAGCAACCAGATTGGAAAGGAAAAAGCAAAACTATCTCTATTCACAGATGACATAATCATGTGTATATATATAAAATCCTAAGAAATACACACACAACTATTAGAACTCATGAATACACTCAGCGAGGTCACAGGATACAAAATCAACATACAAAAAAGAAAGTAAAAATATCAGTGATCCCTGTTACCATCACTAAATAATCACTAGCACCTAAAAAGCTTCCTCTTTTAGTTTTATTACTCTCAACCTGGGATATAGAAATCTAAAATCCAGAGTTTACTTTAGCTTTTAAAACTATCTATGATATCAGGTTAAAAGAAACATTTCCTGGCAGATGCACAGCTCTGGAAAATTTTGTTTTCCAAACGTCTGGAAAACAAAAGGAAAGCTTCCTTTGTTTACATAGCCAAGAAGGTTGAGTGATGAGAATCAGAAAAGATTTTGAAGCAATACAAGATCTTCTCCTAGGGCCATTAGAGATCAGCTAATCTGTTCAAGTTTTAATTCTCTTCTAATGGGTTTCCTCAAAGTACTTTACAGCAGTTGCAATCAGTTCCAAATATTGCATCGTGATACTCACATAAACTGGAAAGTAACGGCTACATTTCCATTTATTTCATTTATATTTTTACTTTGGCCAGTCTCGTAGAGATTTTAAAAACCATTAAGTACTTCACAATATTGGTGGGGACTGTTTCCTTCTTCATTTTCATTAGAATAAACACAGAAGTGGTATCTACCCTAATAATACAGAACATGCTTCTTAGGTAATATAAACCAAACACAAATAGAAAGAAGCATTGTTTTTATACAGTTCAAAAAAGTGTTACACTTATTTTTCTGCAGGCCTGAATACAGACCCTGCCTGCTCTAAAAGTCACGAGGTATAAAGTGTGAACCTATGCTCTGGGGGCTCCTGATAAGTTCCAGGAAACTCCTTTCACAGCCTCTATCTCAGGGCCACATCAAATACATGTTCACTCACTGGCCTCAACAGTCGATTATCACTCCCTATTTATTTGTAGGTTCACATATTTTTGCCATTTAAATTTTTTCAAAAATTAAAACCTGGCTCAAGTTACAAGTAAAGCTTGGGTTAAGGAAAGCATTCATGAAACACTTTGTTTTCTGTAAATCAGATAGTTTATTGCCTGGTTCCCTTCCAATATATATGTGGGCTTTACTCTCCATTCAGAATTTGATTCTAATTTTTAAGTGGCAAGCAAAGTCGAATTATTAATTAAAGAATCAAGACATATAAGTATACCTTACTCTCTACATGGTGAAGGCAAACACTTTCAAAGACAATTTCCCTAATATTTTAAACCTATCACATGAAAACTTTAGCCCTTTGGATGGAAACATTTCACTGACTTTCTTCATCAGTCCCCCTTTTTTGCCATAAAAATTCACGAGATAATAAATTCCAGTAAAAAGAAAACCACACAGTAAGGCACAGATCTTTGATAGTACAAAAGAACATTATCTAATTTAATCCCCATAACAAATCAGTGACAGTATTATCTCATTTATATATAAGGAACCTGAAGCTCAGAGATGCTGAGTTACTAAAGATGGCACAGCTAGTAAATGGCATGTCAGAATCTGAACCCATTGCTGGATGGCTCTGAACCCTTTGCCCTTCCCAACATTAATTCGTGCCTTTCTGGAATTTTGCCAGCCAAGTGGATTTTTTTTAACCTAACTTAAAATATTCAAAAATAACTAACGTTATTTAACGTCTTATTCTCTAAGATTTTTTAAAAAAACATTTAAAGTTATTTTTGTCATCTGTTTTAATATGTCCCAATCCCTTAAGCTAAGAATCTATCATTTTTACTTTACCCAACTATCTCGTGATATAAATTAAGCCTGTTTACTCTTTCCAGGTCACTGAAGCAATGCTTCTTTCTAGAATTAGAGTCATACAACTAGAAGAGATGGTCTGACTTTGTACAGACCATTTGTACACCATGTGTAGTTCCATTTCTAAGAAGAAACAGCAAAATGATCTACATGAAAAAAAAAATCACCTTACAATTTCAGATGACTTTCATGAAGTGGTTTTATAAATTGTATTGCTGTACCATCATTATTGTTATTAATGAAGTTACATTTAGGTGTTATGGTAGATTTGACCAGATGTGGCAAACAGTTGTTACCATAGTCTTCATCCATAAAATTTGTCAAATTAGAGGTTTTATGGAGTATACAACTAATTGCAAGAAAATATATAGGCAGTGTATTTTTAACATTTTAAATACTAACAAAAAGAGCAGGACTTAATGACAGTGAACTACAGACAATCCATGCACAGTGAAGCCTGTTTAATTAGAATTCCACTAGTCTAAAACCTGTAATAGCTTGAACACAATATACTATTCATTCTGAGTTTGAAAGTTCAGAATAAATCTCAAGATGTTTTTCCATATATACCTCACTGTACCTGCTGGAGACCATTTACATACATATATATATATATTATATATATTTTATATATATAATATATATAATATATATTATGTATATATATATATGTTTGTTTTTGAGAAGGAGTCTCGCGGTGACACCCAGGCTGGAATGCAATGGCGCAATCTAGGCTCACTGCAACCTCTGCCTCCCAGGTTCAAGTGATTCTCCTGCCTCAGCATCCCGATGAGCTGGGATTACAGGTGTCCACCACCACGCCTAGCTAATTTTTGTATTTTTAAATTTTGTATTTTTAGTAGGCAGGGTTTCACCACATTGGCCAGGCTGGTCTGGAACTCCTGACCTCAGGTGATCCACCCACCTCGGCCTCCCAAAGTGCTGGGATTACAGGCGTGAGCCACCACGCCCAGCCTATATCACATATATTTTAAGGTCACATGGGACCTCAGTACTCATGCCCTCTGATTCTGTCATTAAGAGATACATATTACAGGATAGTGGTGATGTGTAGGGGCTCTGGAGCCAGGCTACCTGCATTAAATTCCCAGCTCTGCCTTACTAACTATGGGACCTTGGGCAAGTTACCTTGTGCCTTTGTTTCCTTCTCTATAAAATGGGGAATAGTAGAATCCACCCTACAGGTAATGAAGATTAAAAGAGATAATACATACCTGTGAAAGGCTCAGGACACTTCTTATGTGTAAGAAACACAATACCCTGAGGCCAGCTGGCCTAGATGCCTTTCCAAGGAAAATCTGCCATCAAATGTTAGGACAACATCGTGGGACTCCTGTCTTTTCTATTTGAAAATAGTTTTTAAAAATCCATTTAAAACAGCCCACAATTAGACAAGCTCACTAATTTTTCCTGGCTATGTACCTTCACCAAATTACTTCTCAATCAAAATTACTTTAAATTACAGATAGTATGACATAGATGTATGCCAAAGGGGCTTATGCGGACTTTTAAGTCATATATTCAAAAATAACTAGGAAGAACCTACTAGTTTCCCTTTACAATCTGATGTTTCATATTACCCTCTTCTTTGTAGTTCCATTCTGTGAAACTTCCATTTCTCATAGGTATTTTGTTAAATATCACCCCTACCCACAAGGTTTATCCCAAAGTATCTACACAGATTCCACCCTCGCGTTCTTCCTCTGATTCTGGGCCTGGCCTGCCCACATCTCCTCTGAGGCCTTCCTCCATCAGTTTGCCCATCTTTCCCCTCAAGAGTGGGAACACGCATAGCCGCCCTCCCACCTCCCATCCATTCTTTCACCCTCACTGCCAACTCCAAAAAGCAGCTGGTCACAGACCCCACTGGCTCATGGCCTCGCCCTGGCTGATCTTTCCTTTTCAACCCTCTTCACTGGCTGCTTTCCCTCCCACTACACCGTGGTGCCCGCAGCCTACTTCTCATTCTCTCCTCCTCCGTCCTAGACAATCTTGTCCAATCTCAAGGCTTTCACCAGCACCTGTATGCTGATAACGCCCACTTATTTCCATCCTGACCTTTTACCTAAATGTCAGGATCTTTAGTAAACTTCCTAGAGACAATTTTATCTCCATGGTCCAAGGGCATTTACATGCAATACATTTAAATCCAAAGGGTTCCTCTTTCCCCACTCAGCTTGCTCTTCCTCCTACTTTCCCTATCTCATCACACAAGCTAGATAGCCTCAAAGCACCCTCATCCCCTTCTACCCAGAAAATGAGTGAATACTGTCTGTGTCATGCCCCCAACAGCTCTCTACTCCCTCTCCTCCTCTCCATCCTCACCGGCCCAGGCTAGTCAGCCCTCACTCCTCACTGACCTCCTGACCTTCAGACATGGCCTCTCACAGCCACCAGACTCATCCATCTATAGTGCCTTCTAGAAATAATAAAAAAATGCAAACGTGACCATTTTGCTGCCCTGCTTAAAGCCCTCATGCAGGCCATCACCTACTGGAAAATGTTTGAGCTCCTTAGAAAGCCATGCAAGGCCCTCTGAGAGCTGCTCCCAGCTCCACTGCCCAACCTCCCATCCTGCCATTCCCAACATGAATGCCAGGGACCTGAAACTGACCTGCACTGGTCACTGCTACTGTTCACAACTTGCTAATTTTCACCTCTTTGCCTTTCCTTACATTATCGTACCTGCCATATCCCTACCCCGCTCCCAGCCTGGCTAACTCTTATCCTTCCTTTAAGACTGCAATCAGATGTCACTTTCTCTAGGAAATCATCCCTAAAATACCATGCTGAGTAGGGTACCCCCGTACATACTCCACAGGATGTGGGGCAGGTAAAAAGTCTACTTAGACTAACGAAATAATCTGTTCTTATTATCAGGCTAAAATATAAACATATCAAGGGCTAGAAATGTGGTCTCTTCACTTCTGTGTCTGGCTCAATAAAAGGATGCTCATCTCAACCCAGACACCTAGAAATCCAGAGGAAGAAAGTTACAAAGAGCAGCTTCAAGCCCTCTATACTGTAGATGGATTGCGTTACATTATTATATATTTTAGGGCTCTAAAACATTACTTTTTTTTTCTTTCTGAGACAAGGTCTCTCTCTGCCATCCAGACTGGAGTGCAGTGGTGCAATCATGGCTCATTGCAGCCTTGACCTTCCAGGCTCAAGCAATCCTCCCACATCAGCCTCCCAAGTAGCTGGAACCACAGGCATGCACCACGATGGCCAGCTAATATTTCTGTAGAGATGGGGTCTCCCTATGTTGCCCAGGCTGGTCTCAAACTCCTAGGCTCAAGTCATCCTCCTTCCTCGGCCTCCCAAAATGCTGGGATTACAGGTGTGATCAGCCTGTACCACCATGCCTTGTCTAAAATATTACTTTTGTCCTGCTGAGGAATAAAAGTAAGGAAAAGAAATCAATTTATGTAACTAATTATTTACCTAACTATTAGAAACCAACATACCCTACTTCCTTTCAGACTCCAAAGAATTTTCTCAGGTGTTCCGTTCATATTCAAAGATTAAACTCTACTTATTGAAAAAAATTAAAGGAAGTCACTTACAAGGATTGGTTCTCAAAAGCAGCTATGCCATGTTCTGGGGAAGGAACTACCTTCAATGAAAGGAACACAAATAAGAGAGTCCTGGTGTTACCCGCTGAGCTGTCCTCTCCTGCACGTAGACATGCTTCTGCGAAAAACTCAGCAGGCTCCAAGTCAAACTCTGTCCTGGGCTCTACAGTATGCCGCCGCACGTGATGATCACTGGTGCTCAGGCAGAACGGACTTTATCCACATCACTGTAACCTGAGTCCAGACTTCATCCTAGACAGTCACACAGCTAGGGCCACAGGTGGCACACCATGGTAAAAACGTGAGACCATCTGATTATCCATCAAAACAGAGGGCCTACTGCACATAGACATAGATGTGAGTTGGAGTAGTGTGGTCTTCCCATTTCTGATGTTGCCATCTATTTCCTCGAGATGACAGACAGCTCATATATTTTGCTCAAAGGGTTGCTAGAGCTGTATCCTCCTTTAAGGTGAATCTTCATTTCTACTCCCACAACAGAAGTGGTCCTCAACCTCTTTGGCACCAGGGACCAGTTTTGTAGACGACTTTTTTTCCATGGACCAGGGGTGGAGAGATGGTTTCAGGATGGTTCAAGTGCATTACATTTATTGTAGACTTTATTTCTATTATTACATTGTAATCTATAATAAAATAATTATACAACTCACCATAATGTAGAATCAGTGGGAGCCCTGAGTTTGTTTTCCTGCAACTAGAGAGTCCCATCTGGGGGTGATGGGAGACAGTTACAGATCATCAGGCATTAGATTCTCATAAGGAGAAACCTAGATCCCACACATGCTCGGTTCACAATAGGGTTCATGCTTCTGTGAGAATATAATGCCGGTGCTAATCTGACGGGAGGCGGAGATCAGGCAGTAATGTTAGCAATGGGGAGCAGCTGTAAATACAGATGAAGCTTCTCTTGCTCGCCCTCCACTCACCTCCCACTCTGCAGCCCAGGTCCTAACAGGCCCCGGACCAATATTGATCCACAGCCCGGGGGCTGGGGACCCCTGCACTCCTTAACAGAAGAGGGGCCTGGCAGGATGTTTCAGAAAGTGGAAGGAAGTAAACATTTGAATCTTTAGCACACTGAGAAGGCCTGGCAAGGAAAGTCTACCTGCTTCTTCCCAGGATGCTCTGAGCTTCTATTTTAGTAAACTACAGAGTCTATGGCCAGTGAAGATACCTACTTCACAGCCTGAGATAAAGTCCTCGGCCTCCAACTGTAGTTTCTACCTCAGCAGTTCTGAGAAAGGACACCAGAAGCCTCCCTGCCATGGAATATGATTGGTGGGACAAGAAGCAAGTGGGCCATGTGGGCAACCTATCTTCTCAACCAAGGCAGGGTCCCAGGGCAAAAGCCCAGACAATGCATCTAAAGGTCAGAACCTACCTGACCATCATCAGTAGCTTTTTCTATTCTTAAGGAACTCCTGAATGTCGCTTCTTGGGACCCAACAGAGTAAACCTCTGAGTCTGACAGTCTTTTTTTTTTGGTGTGTGGTGGGGGGCGGGTTGTCTGAATCACCTGTTATTTGTACTATTTATTGATAGTAAACTGTATTTTCTTAAATGTAAAAGAAACTGTATTAATTTGATGACACTAGTACTGAAGCAATAATCAAATACTTGCTTATCTTACTATGGGCCTGACCTACCTTCACGCTTGAGGGCAACTGTTTTCCTCTCTCCTCCCCCACAATCTGAAGGAAGAGTTAGAACAGTGGAAAGTAATGTTGCATATTACAAGAAATGGTTAAACACAATTAGTCAGATCATATAATGGACTATGACGTATTAAGGCAGTATCACGGCTACCAGGAGTATAGATACCAACTATGGCCCCAAATAATGCTAAACACTGTTGCAAGAACTTCATCCACCAGTTCACGTGTCTCAAGACTGCAAGATTTAAATTTGCCCTACTATTCGTGAAAATTCACCTTTCTTTTCCAAATCTGGAATACCCCCCATTGTTTAAATCCAGTCTGGGTTTCTCTTGTCAGTAGCAGTCTTCAACGCCTACTTCAGAGAATGAAAATGTGTGTATGTGCACTCATGTGCTTATGTGCACGCACACACCCTCCTTAGAAAGATAAAGTCAATAAACTTCCTGTCAGTATCACAGAACATGCAAAGTCAATTGTGCAATATTTCCTTGCATTATCCATCCTATATGCAAACATTCTAATGAAATAGAACTGGAAATTACACATGGAAACCGCAGCTAGGTTTGGCCACCTAATGGACTCAGGGTACTCCGGTAATGGCGCAGAGAGAAGAAGGTTGGCCGAGCGGGGATGCAAGGTCCCCAACTGAAGTATCTGAAACCTACTATGGGTTCCACGTAGAGTCTTCAGTTGTGATTTCTCGTAGGACACTAGGAAAGTTGCAATTTGCAGCTATGGCCACGGGGTAGTGCAATAATTCTGCAAATAGCTGACCCCACCCCCAACACTCCTATCCCCCCAACCCCAGCCCTCCCAAAGACAGAATGGCTAGGAGAGAATGGGGACATTTGGTCTGAATCCTGGGCATCCACAGGGGTTACTGAGAGATTCTCCACAAATCCAAAAGTGTCTGTAAGACTATCCAGTTACTCTCAGCATTCGAGCCCGATACAACAGAAGGTCCCGGGCTTTGAAGGAATGATGAGAACTGAGAGGCTATAAAAAGTGATTAGCCTATTTATTACAAATTGTGTTTACTTAGGTTTTTATGTTTACTTCCCACCATATCTCCACCAGAATACAATTAACCACCCCCTCACTCATCAGAATTGTATTAGAAAGACTCACAAAAATAAAATAAATACTGCATCTAAACGCAACCGTCAAGCTTTATGGAACTGGACTGTTATTACACAAAGGTGTCCCCAAAACAGGGAGAAGGAAATGCAAATTTTGAAAGGGCTTCTTTTCAAAGGAAATTTTTGTCCATTTAGTCCTTACAAGTCAAAGTTTGGTCTGTGGACCAAAACTAATACTTGGGAGCCAGTTAGAAATGCGGACTCCTGGTTCTATTAGATTAGAATGTGTATTTTAACAAGGCCTCTAGATTATTTGGATGCACATGGAAGTTTGAGAAGCATTCCCCGAGTGAGAGCTAAGCATACTGACCTATGCTCTCAAAACTATTTTCTACACCCTGGGTCTTTTCTTCTTCTACAAGCATTCTACGTGAAAACAAATATATTTTGAAATTTTAAAACAAAAACAGATTATTTCCCAGAACTGGTGGTGATCCACTACAGTAAAGCCTCTTCCTATCTAAATTGCCAGGTAACTAATTAACATGTCAATGAACACTGGCTGAAATTCTGTTCTGTCACTTCATAACGCAGGTAAACAGTACAGATATGAGAAGAAAAATTTAAGACCAACAGACTCACATCATGGTCCTCTAGGGGATTTTCGAAACTAATTTCCTGCCCATATAAAAGGAAAAATAAAATTATTTCCAGTATCAAGTTAAGCACATAACTCTCTAAATGGAGTTGCTATGTTAAAGTGGTCTCCAAATTACAGTCATTTTTGTTTACCTCCGCTAACAATGAGCCTCCTGGGAAGAAATTATGTGAAGAAGTTTAAGTACCCTCTATGCCTTTCTCCACAGGTGAGTGGGGAAATTGCAGAGGAAAAATACACAAGTGAATACAATTAATGACTTCTGCACTCTTTGATTCCTGCTACCCTGTGAGGGGAATGATCATAGAATTTTGAAGCTGGAAGGAATCTCGGAGATAGCCTATTGCTGCCGCTCTGCCTACCCAGGAATGTCTTTCTACAAAGTCAGGTAATTGTTACCCTTTGAGACAGCCCACATCACATCACTGTTAAATGCTCTCACACCCACTGATCTTACTCGTGCCCTTGAGCAACCCAGAACAACTCTATTCCCACTTCCCAGCTAAATGCCTTCAAACACTTAAGGCCCCTATCATATCCCGGGTGGTAGTTTCCTTAGATTCAACCCATTTAGTTCCTTGGATTGGGTGGTGTCCTCTTACTCTGACATAAACACTGTGTATTTTGTTTCCAGTGAAACTAAATTATGATTAGCCTGACATAATTTAATGAGACCCACAGTGCCAAATGAAGTCATTCGATGTAATGGTTGGTAATGCAATACATTCTCAGTGAAACATAAAAGATTATGTAATGGTTAATAGATCTACATATGTGAGTAGTACCACCGTAAGTAAGAGCATATTTGTCTGCTGGACTATGATGCACGACTAAGAAAAGCTACCAACCTCTACTCAAAACCGTCCCAGGGTCCTGTTGCCAGGGACAGAACGCTGCACCGCATGGACTGCTGAATCTGACCTTATGCGGCCTTTCTGTATTCTTCCTTGTTTATGAAAAAGAGACATTTTTAAGAAAGCAAAGGGTATAGAAGAGCTACATTTGGCATTCAGAGCAATTGACACTTTTATTACTTAACGTCACAACCTTATGAGGTAGGCCAGTCTAAGTGCTGTCATTTTATAAGTGATTAAACCAAGACTGAGAATAGGAAATGAGAAAAATCATGAGCTGCCCAGGGCCAAACAGAAAGCAAGGTTGGGGCCAGCTGAATTCAGAAACCTCAATTAAATTCCAAGACAAAAGGGAACAGCCAACATTGAAAATAAGTTTTATGGATTTCACTTTGAAATAAAACAACAAAAAAATTATGTTACCATTAAATGATATTAAAATCGTCTTTTATGGGGCCTCGATTTTGCCACCAAGACTTTATTCCCAAAAATTAAAATAAAAAAAAAAATCAAACAGGCAAATCTATTCCAGGTTAAAAATTCCACTTACACACAAAATCTTGCATTCCATATTGAGAGGTTTTTTTTTCTTAATTTGCCTATTAATCTGTATTAAGCCAAAGGTCTTCGTTCAAGTTGCTCAAGTGTCATTGATTAGACCCATTGTAGTTAACAAGGACATTCTCCCAAAATAGATTCTTAGCATTTTAAAACCCTCCTACATTTTCACAAAAGAGAATCTGGAACACAGGAAGGAATCATTTCCCCACACACAATACTCATCTTCATCGTCATCCAGATACATTTGGTTAAAAACCTATCCACACATTAAGGTGCACACTCCCTGGGTTCCTCCTCCCTGGTATCCTCTGGGGCCCCAGCCCAGCTGGAGTCCCCAAGTTCTCGGCGCCCTGAACTAACCAGTCTCTCCACCCAGCTTTCTCCAAAACACGCCCCACACGAGGGCTGAGCTCCTCCACAGCGGATGCAACACTCCACTGCTTCCCATCGAGGGCCCCTGCCTCCTCCAGGCTGATGAGCAGCCCCTTCCCCACTGCTGCCCACAGCCCTAGCCCTGGAAGCCACTCTACTGAGAAGGCTTTGCCTCCTCGTACCTGCCGAGGCCCCTCCAGGCCCATGCTGAGGGCCAATGAGAGCCACGCAGTCAACTACACGGTGACCTTCGGCCAGTGTGAGTACACGCAGCTCTGCAGAGCTGCTGTCTACCAATCAGCTCCAGGACACCTGGGGCTCAGACAGGTGCACTCTCCTTCTGCCCTTTCTTTGTACTCTGTTTTGACCCATAAGGACTGACCAAAAGGATAGGAATAGGCCTTAAAATGTTTGCTTTACTGCAGCTGGAGGAAAGGGTAGAGGCACCTGAAGGTCAAGATCAGGGATCTGTAGCATTTTCTGGCACTATGAAGTAAAGTCTAAAAAGGCCTGGAGGAAGCCGCCCACTGGCCTGCGCATGTCCCCTGGCAGTTGATTTGAAGACAAGCAAAAGCATCAGCGGGCACTACTGGGCAGCATCCTTAGGGAGACTAAACTGCTAGTGCCTCTGCATCCCTCCCTGCCTGTTAGCCTACCTTCACCAAACAAGATCCACACTTTATTCCCTCCATGTTTCTATTCACAGTCTTCCCACCACGTGGTTTTCCTCCTTTCCATTTCCTCCTGAAATTCTACTCCAGGACCCATTTCAAATGCCACCCCACCATGAATATCTTACTTTCAACAGGATGTGCCCATGCCCCCTCAAGCAGGCAGTGTCAGCCTTGGATTGCAGGTATTTATGGGTATGGCTTATTCTTCTATTAAGTTCCCAAAAAACACACTGTCCTTTGACCCCTGTACAGCAGGGTTTCCTAAACTGCAGGTTTCAGCCTATGAATGGGAAATTCTAAAAAAAAGAAAAAAGAGAAAGAAAGAGGATAGGAAATATCGAAGTGTATCACACATAGTAATAAGCGTTATTTCATGATGCTCTTGTTTCACTTACGTGTATGCATGTTCAAGGGGTGGTGGGTGGCAGTGTTAAACGTGTATTTGTTACTGGGGGTCATGGTCTGAAGCATTTGAAAGTCACTGCCCTGATGGTACCTCTCCTCTGTCTAATATTCTGTGAATGCTTATTGAATTGAACAGGTTGATGAGTATGAAATGATCCATGTATTATAACTTCAAAGGCTCCAACTTAAAGGAATATAAAGAATAATGCCTATCTGAACAAAAGTGTGTGGATTCTGGCTTATATGAAGCTGTGGAGGAATGGGGTGAGTGGTAGGGAAGATCAGAATATTTATTATACTGTTGTATGTTGATAGACTTTCTCTCCAATGATTAAAATGTGTTAACATTTAAGGAAGATGAAATACAAGTTCATTTTGGAAAACTTTTCTCATTCACTGAAACTACCTCATGACTACAAAGTTCTGCATCTTTAAAAGAGACAGTATAGGTAATTCCACCATGATGCATAAAATGATCTTTTAGAGACACCATGAAAGCCCTTGTTCAAGTTTTCTTTGCCCAAGATGTCTCCATGTACTCTCAATACCCCCACCCACACCATCTGTCTTCCAAGACTTAGTTCAAAGGCCACCTATTTCATGGAAGCCTTTTTTCGTTTTTTAACTCAATTTTTCCTCTTTCCATCCTCCACCCAAGTCCCAAATATGGTCTCTTTTCTGAATCACCAGTGTTGAAAACTTCCTTTTTCATGTGTGTTCTTGTCTTAATTTCCTCACTTGACAATAACACTAATATGTACAACCTACACCTTACTCATCCTTGCATCTCCCACAGAAACCAGCACAAGGTCTTCTACTTAAGAGATGATCAATAAATATTTGTTAAACGAATTAAATGAAAGCAACAGTTAGCCTGTTAAAAGGGATGGTCATTATTTTAAAGGCCCTGAGGAATGGCTTATATGTCTAGCACCTAATCAAAAGCTGGTGGACCACAGAAGGAAGACCAGGGAGTGGAGGGGGCAGCCTTGCGCCTCTGCATATCTGCTGCCCCTGTAAACTCACGGAATGCCCAACTCTTCAAGACTCTACAGAACAAAGCTACAGTGTCGGGTGCTGAATGAACACCTTCACCTTTTTCCAAGTTCTCCAGTCTTGCTTCAAACCAGAAATTGGAAGTGGAATTAGAGGTGGAAATTAGGGCCATCCTTTTCAACTTTAAGGTATGGCTGAAAAAGTTGAAACAGCCATCTGGATAATTCAGGCTCAAAAAACCCATCCTGAAGAGTAAGTATGGATGTTTCTGAGTGGCAGGAAGAGCGTGCAAGAAGGCAAAGGAGGTAGTTGTGAATTATCAATTGATTGTGTATATTGATTATATTCAACAGAACTGAGCTTTTCCCTTTATATTTTCTATACAGTCATTTGAGGACACTCTCTGTGACTGCAAGAATAAACTAGCTCAGATTCAAAGCCACAGTCACCACTAATAAATTCCAATTTGTTCAATTGGAAAATGATGTCCATCAATTAGAAAAAGTTCTTAGGGATTAAGATTCTCTTTTGCCATTAATCTGTACCTCCTCCTTCCTCCTTCAAAAAAGTTTTTCTATGATCAATCAAAGGAAGAAGTTTTCAATGGTCTTTAAAATGTATATTGCTCTAATACAATAATTCATAATTAACAGGTATACTTTCCTAACTATGGTAGTTTATTTTCAAATTTTTAATTTTAATACCATTTAGGGCTCTCTCTCTTTGTTATTTTAGTAGGACCTTAACTTCCAGTCCATCGAGGTTTTGTTTTGTAATTAATTTCAGAGCTGTCCTTATAAGCTGAGAGATATTTGAAGTACTCTAGAAAATGGCAATTGTCTGACTGGATTTGAAGTCAGATCACTGGGCTTTGAAGCTAATTTCTGGTTGAAATATGGCTGCCCCATTTTTAGATGTGTGACTCTGGGCAGGTTACCCTATCTTCCCATCTTCAATTTTCCTATCTTTAAAATGGAACTAATAACAGTACTTGCTTTATAATTAAATGAGCTAAAACATGTAATGTACCCAGAACAGTGTCTGATAAATAATACGTGTTCAGCAAATGTTAGTTTTAAAAAGTCTGCTGTCATCTGTTTTATGACCTCAGTAAAGTCATTTAACAGTTCAAAGCTTCTATTTCCTCATCTATAAAATGGAACTACTACCACTTACTTACCCTTTCCAGGATTAAGAGATTCAAATAAGAAAACAATGGATATGAAAGTACTGGACACACAGAAAGTTCTCAAATATTAGTTATTTTGAACCATCTATAAGCTTAAAAGTAACCATAAACTTAAAAATTTACGTAAACCATAAAACTGAGAACATAGCATCCAAAAATTCATCTGTGAGAAAATGTCTAAACATATTAGAAATGCATACTCAAGCTTGGTTTTTCTTTAACTTATCAGAAACATATAAGCTTTTGTAAAATGTAATTCTACATCTGCAAAACTAGAAACCCTCCCGGTCAAGCCAAACTGTCCTAGTATATTGTGATCAAGAAAGTCTACATGCCTTCATAAGCCAAAACTCGATGCACTCATTAAAATGTGATTGCACGTACATCAACTTTTTAAAAAACGTGTAAGTTTTTGTTTTTTTAAAAGTAATAAATGTACTGCTAATGTAAATTTCAAGTCAATTCAACAGATATTTATTCTGTGACACTGCTCCAGGGTAATTCAGCTGGGAACTAAGGATGCAAAAGGAAACAGAGCTCAGGTTCTGTGCAGGAAGACCCCACAAATTACGCTGATAATCTCAAAATATTACTTATGAAAGTCATAAGGGGGTTCGCTTTGAGTCAGCAAGCAGACAAGCAGCATAAAAATATACCGAAACAGTAAGTTCTTCCCTTTGACTGAAAAACTGCCTTTTAAAAGCAAACAGCATTTTAAAAGTACAGTTGCTATCTGGAAAGCTATTGAATTTGCGCCAGAAACCAACATTTCTAAATGTAAACCTATAAAATAATAGGTATCTGTAAATGAAAGGCTGAAATAACCCCAGGAGCAGCAACACAGTAATTAGCAACTTTTACACAGTCATAACATGTTTCATATTCTTTCTGCCCTGGCTCTTTGAAGTTTCCAGTGCAATACGTAAAAGTTTTATTACATTAGGGCCCGTCCTTGTGTGTTTTACAGGCACCAACATTATGCAGAGCAAGCTGTACTTACTCATCATAGGATCTTTTATAAGAAACCGTTCGATAATGTGCTAGCTTTGTGTCCAGTTTATTTTGTTACACCTGTCTTTAGGAAAATAAAAGTCACTGGAAACCTAAATCACAGAAAATACACACAGATCCACATATCATCTATATGAGTTATAAATCATAAAGCAGTTTAGCTTTAAAATTGTACATTGCATATTCATGTGCACATCACATGCAGTTTTAGACACATGTGAACTCTTTACTGAATTAAAGCAAAAGGAAAAAAAAAACAAGCTCAGCTCTACAATAAGCGATTACCAGAGGCAGAACAGAGTGCAGTTAATATGCTTGTTCCAGCAGATGTTCATCCCCGTAAATATTAAACATAACACAAGTTCCTCCAGGAATATGCAGGCAGTAATTTTACCACCTGAATAGTGCTGGTTGGAAACATTTAAGAGATAGTGGGGGGTTGGGGGGAGCAGAGAAAGAAGGGGGAATAAGACAGATACTAAAGCAGCCAATGGGATTTTTAAGACACCCGCAACTGGAATTAAACTGCTTCCAGCGGCGATTTACCTACAGCAGCTCCCCAGTGTGAGATCCCCGAGAAACGGAACCTGGAGTGCCCCCCGGGCTGCGAGCTGTGAGCGTGGCACAAAGGGATACCCGGGGCGCCCGGGTGGGGTGGGGAGGAGGAGTGCAACTGTGACGAGGTGTGAAGAAAGGGCCCAGAGGAACTGTGAACCCCGAGGAAAGGAGTCTCCCTGGGCTAAGGCCTCTGGAATACTGGCACGGAGAAACCCTCGTTTCCCGCCCTGGATGTTCACTTTTCCATCTCGGTGGAAGTGGGTGGGAGAGACAGAAAGGATGCAGCCGAGACCGGGCGCAGGCGGGGAGGCTGGAGCATCCTCTAAGGGCACTTCGCAGCAGCACCAACTCCAGGGGGTCGGTGGTGCCAGCCGGAGGAGGGAGGGGGCGCAGTCGGAGGGAAAGGAAGTGAGAGGAGCAGGGGGCCGACGGGTGGATCCCCAGGCATTAGTGACGCAGTCTTCAAATCGCTTCTTTTCCTCCCCACGGCTGCGCTCTGCCCCTGGCTACCTAGATCACCAGTCCCTGGGCTGGGGCGGGCCGCCGCGAGGGAGGCGAACAGGAGAGGGGGAAACAGACGGGCAGGCGGCCACGCATCCCACCCGGGGAGGCAGAAAAGGGCTGGCGAGGCAGGCGCCCCCGACCCACCCCACCCCCACGGCGGCCGGCCGCCCGGAGCCCCCGGCCCAGGTGAGGACGCGCGGGCCGCCGCGGCCGCCCCTCGCCGCTCCCGCCCGCCCGAAGCGGCCGGCACGGGGACTTACCACAGTGACTCGAGGTCCCATTCCTGGAGCAGGGCTAAGTCGAAGCTGTCCATGGTGGGAGGTGTCAGCGTCGCCGCCGCCGCTGCCGCCGCTGCCGCCGCCGCCGCCGAAGCTCGGGCCGCCCGCGCGCTGCGACGAAAGGCGCCGCTCAAGGTGCATCCCAGCCGCGCCAGAGCGGCCGCCGCCCGCCCCCAGGTCGGGGCTCCCGACGCCCCCCGCCCCCGACTCCGGGCCGGCCGGGCTGGCTGCAGCGGCCGGCGCACTCACCCGCTCCCCGGCTTGCGCGCAGGCACACTCAAGAGAGAGCAGCGAGCTCGCCGCGCCGCCGCCGCCACCGCCCCCGGCCCTGCGCCGCCGCCGCCGCCGCCGCCGCCGCCGCCCCCGCCCCGCCTGGCCCCCGGCCCCGCCCCCGGCCCTGCGCCGCCGCCGCCGCCGCTCCTAGGGTTCCGTCTGCTCATCAGACAACAGATATTTATTGAATGTAAGTAGTTGCTGAGGTTTTATGCTTCACTGACATTCTACCCCCTGGGAATGAGTGTTCCTGGGAATGTGCATTTCTTTCCTTTTTTTTTTTTTTTTTAACAAAACCAGGTTTTTCCCTAAGGAATGCACCTTCCCCAAAGTTTCCCGCATCCTCCTGCCTACATAATTCACTTATATAGTCACTATGACATTAATTAGATTCAGAAGTCTGTGGAAACAGCAGAGCTCGGCAGGGTCAGAGGGCAAGCAGGGCAGAGAAAAGAGAGGGGAAAATGAGCCCCGGGAGAGGGGAAGGAAGTGGAGGGAAGTTTTTCATGCCCTTCAAGTACCAAACAAAACAAAGATAATTTCAAAAGTGGTCAGCCACTATAACACTGCTTAGAGAATTAAAGTATTGACAAATTGAAGAGTGCTTTAAAATAAAGTGGATGGGGCATAAGCATGTATGTCTTGGTGTTAGTTGCTCCTTATACAGCCGGTACTAAAGGCTGGTGGGTGAAGCTTACTACATTTTAAAAAGAAAAAGGCAGGCACACATACTAAAGTTGAAAATGCAGGCAGGAAGGACATTTACTTTTCATAAAAGCGGATCAGAAAAGCATCTCCTATCACAGATCATGTATTTTATGCCATGCTGACCAATGTTGGGGGATAATCTCATTATTTTGTGATATGAGAAGATCCTTTGATGCTGGTAACAAGAACCAATCATCCTGACTTAAATCTTAATATCCCCACAGGTTCTTTGTCATGCGTCTTCAAGATGTGCCCTGGCCATTCATGCAAGTTTCAAGGACTCTGAATCTGTTGAGAAAAAGAGGTTACGTTCCAATTCTGCTTTAGTTCCAACCCAAATGCTGAGAAACACTCCATGGAATTTAATTACAGGGCGATAACTGTGATCTTACCAAGATTTATGAACAGGAAGATCCTTGGTGATTGTAGTCAGTCAAAGGGTGGCTTTGACATAGCACCTATCTGTTAGGGCAAATACTGCCAGGGAAAAGGTGACATTTGGAATCATCTGGGATTGGACTCTTGATCAATAGATGCGAAATGTCAGGTGGACATGAGAACTGTTGGTCTTTGGTACATATGTGTTGCAATGAGTAAGGATGAGTAATGTGAAGGAAAAGTAGAATCTTGGGACCCCAAACTCACTATGCCAAAGGGAAAGTTAAGCGTGGGAGACTGAGTCAGGCAAAAACTGCCTTCCTTTTGTTCCCAAATAGATGGCTGTAATTTCACATGCTTGCGTTATGTGAAATGTGGATTCATTGAGTGCTAATCAGAGCCCCACAAGAATGAAAGCACTTGCCTTGCTGCCTACCCTCCCTCCTCTTTTTTCTTCCCCTCCTGCTTGCTCTTTTCCCTTTAAATAATGAAGTTCCCAAAACCCTCTTTGGAAAAAGCATAGGTCACAGATCCTATTATAACTTGCATTTCTTTTTCCTGGGTACATTCTCAACCTGGGCAAAATAAACCTCTAATCAACGAAGATCTGTCTCAGGCACTTTTTGGTTTAGAGTAAAAATAAGGAGACGTGGGAGCATAGAGTAGAACCTGGGCTTGGGGTAGGGTAGTGACTGTGTGTTCAGACTGAAAAGAAAAGGCTCTGATAACAAGGAAAAGCCTCTTCTCGCTGGTCAGACAGGAGACATATTCCAGTAAAACCTGACTCTGGTGTCCACCTCTCTCAAGACAAACACATGTAGAAATTTGAGATAGAGATAGGCAGAGCTTGGTTTAAATTCTAGCTCTGTCATTTTGTAGCATGAGACTTGGTCACATTCATAAAGCTTTTAGAACTTACTTCATGTCACTTGTTATATGGACAGCTGATCCACAAATAGCACACTTATTGTGAGGATTTTTTTTTTTTTTTTTTTTTGAGATGGAATCCTGCTCTGTCACCCAGGCTGGAGTGCAGTGGCATGATTTCGGCTCACTGCAACCTCCACCTCCTGGGTTCAAGCCATCCTCCTGCCTCAGTCTTCCCAGTAGCTGGGATTACAGGCATGCACCACCACGCCCAGCTAGTTTTTGTATTTTTAGTAGAGACAGGGTTTCACCGTGTTGGCCAGGCTGGTCTCAAACTCCTGACCTCATGATCTATCTTTGGCCTCCAAAAGTGAGTCACCTCACCCAGAGGAGTAAACAAGGTGGATTACATAAGCAATCTCAAGTAACTGATTCACAGAGCCTCAATTAATGCTATGGGGATTTTTTTCTCTTTTGGGGACTTCACTCAAGGAGTTGTCTTCCCACCCTGTTCATGACTCATTATCACTATCTGTCCATGCAATACATCCAATTATTAACGTTGTTCTGGAAAGTAGTCTACTGTTGGCAAATGCTTCAAAAACATAAATTATGAAATGCTGAGATGTTCCTGCCAATGATAATTACTAAGGCAGAACTCCAGCTACCATTTTACTAAGATTTCCAAAGGAGTCAAATATCCCCCAAAACTAAGCTCTTTCCTTCTGTATTCTATGAGCTCCACTGCCGTAGGATGACTGTGAGACACAGCAGTGGCATTAGAAAGGGCTCACTCCCGCTTCTTTTTGGTAAAAGGGGTTTTGTTGCTAAACTAGCAGAGTGAACCACTGAACCCTCCAACAGGGGATGAGGCTTTGAATTGTTATGTCCACTGTTAAACAGATTCCAAATGTGCTTGGCTGCACATTCAGGCCCTGGGGCATGGAGCTGGGATTGAGGCTCTGGTGCTGCCTGAACCCACATGCTGGGGAGTCAAGATGATTGAGGGCAAGTGCATTGGAGGGTGGGGGTGGGGGGAGCGTGGGGGTGGGGGACAGGGCAGGATGGAGAGGAAGGGGGTAGGGTGGGACAGGACAGGGAGGGTGAGGGCAGGGCACAGCAGGGAGGTGGTTGTTCTGCAGGGCTGGGTGAGTGTTAGGGAAAGAATGCTAATGCACCTAACCAAGAAGTATTAAGTCACAAAGTTTTGTTCTTGGTTGTGCAAAGAAGAATCACCATGTGACATGAGTCAGGTCCTCCTAGGAGTTGCCATCAGGGAGGGAATTATATGATATCCCTGAAAACCAGGTCTAAGCAAAGCATACAACACTATAATTGTCCTCTTATTTTTCTATAAAATGAGGATTTTCACATGTTCCTTATGAGTTGCTGTAGCCAAAGCCTTCTTCCTTGTGATCTGGGAAAAAAGGGTTCCTCCTGTTTGTCTTAGATCACCCTGCAGGTACATGTGGGTTGGAGCTGGTGTCACTCACTCCCAGATGAAGGCTTGGAGGTCCATGAAGGGGTGAATAAGACCAGGGTCTCATGGTTTCTTTATCCTTCTTCAGCTTTGTCTGCTTAGTTTTCAGACCATCCTGAAGGAGAATGTGGAGGAAGACAGGTGGCAGCCGAGTTCCTGACAAGGAACCCACGGGTGCGTGGGGACTTGCTCTTTCTCCTGAGTTGATTACCCTTTGCCAGCAGACGAGCACATTTCTCCTCTTGGCCTGGATCTTCTATTAGTAAGGGTGTCCGGGAAGTGTTCATGCAAGTTCTGTTTCTCCAGAACTCTGGAATGCTCATGGCAGATCAAGAACTCATCATGAGATCATGTCCTTCCCAACATGTACATTAATTTTTTCATTCTCCGTTGAGGATGTCCTTTCAGGGAACATAAGTGAAGGGCTGTCTTTTTCTCATCCATCCAATGCTGTGTTAGGGAAATGACTCACTCAATTAACCATGTCAGTGGTTGCAGGGGTCTTAGGTGTGTGGTGACCACAGGTAACAGGGATGTGTGACAGCAGGTGCTGAAGGTCGGGTATGGAGGTAGGTGTTTCATCAGGTGCTCAGCCCGTCAGGCCAGGCAGCTTCCACATACGCCACTTTGTCTCTTTCCTCATCTGTTTTCTTTCACAGCACTTACAACTGCCTGAACATTGTTTATTTACTTAAATCTAGTTTATCAACCACTAGAACACGTCTTCCTGACCACAGTTTTGTGTCTTTATTACTACTCCATCTCCAACATTGAGAACAGTGCTGGGAACTCAATGACTATTTTTTTGAATAAATAAATGGATTAAATTTTTTACTAAGTGACAATACTGTTTTAAGCACTAAGCTAGGGTTTGAGACCATAGTAATAAAAATATAGCCATTTTCTTTTCCAAATAGAACCTAGATTGTTCCAATGGATCTTAATTTTATTGCATTAATTATGAGAATAAATTCCACAACCCACTGTGGAAACATTTAAATCTTCACTGCTGCTGAGACTCAGGGGCTTGGTGTCAGGGGTTTTCCTTCCTGCTCCAGGGAAGGGCCCTCAATGTCCTTGGTGTTCAAGGTGCTCTTCCCCGGGTGCCCTTCCATGCTCGCCTTGTCTTGTTGGGAGCCTGCCTTAGATCTGAAGATCACACACAGTTCTCACACAGAATTCAAAATCCATGCAACTTTGCCCAGAGAGCATCAGCTCTGCAAGTCATTCATGATTTCCCAGTTGAAGCAAGAAGCAATGCTGTGGAGGGAAGGAAGGATTTCTCCAGAGCCCAAATCCAGGTGAGCTTCAAAAACCCTTGGAGTTTTCTGAGTGACAGCAGTGTCTTAGAGATGCTAGTGAGGTGACTGTGATGAGCCCCTAGATAGCTTCAGGATGGGGACAGGTCACCAGAAAGATCAACTATGCAATTACAGGGTTGATACTTTGACCCAGCCCAACCTGGGGGTGGGAGGAGCAGGAGATTGAGTTTGATTATGTGGTCAATGATTTAATCAACCAAGCCTACATAATGAAACCTCAGAAAGCTCTCTAGACACTGAGGTTCAGGGGAGCTTCTAGGTTGGTGAACACTTTGCTGACCAGGAGGGTAACCAGCAGTGACTCCATGGGGAGAGGGCACACAGCTCTGCATTCCCTCTAGACCTCACCCTATACATCCCTTCATGTAGTTGTTACCAAGTTGTATGTTTTATAATAAACCTGTAATCATAATTATTGCTTACTCTTGAGCTCTATGAGTTATTTCAGTGAATTATTGAATCTGAGGGGAAATGAAATGAAAACCTCTGATTTTATAGCCAGTTGTGTAGAAGTACAAGTGGCTTGGGCCCCCCCCCCCAAGGTGTGCCTAGCATCTGAAATCTTAAGAACAGCTTTGTGGGAATGAGCCTTTAAATATGTGAAGTCTGATGCTAACTCTTGATAGTTAGTGTCAGAATTGGATTTCCATATACCCCTGGTGTGGTTAAAATGGAATAGGGGAACATCAGATAATGTATACTGGAGAAGGAAGTGAAATAAACATAAGAAACCCTTTACAAAAAAAAAAAAAAAAAAGAAAGAAACCCTTTACTCACAGAGCAACTCTTGTAGGACACACAAGGATTCACGTAGTACAGAACAATTTCAGTGTAACTAATGAGGGACAGGGCCCAGTGATCACTCATTCCTCAGTCAGTATTACAGTTCTCACAGCGGGGCAATACTAATCCTAAAGTCAAAGTGGAAAAACTATCTGCTGGAATTCATCAGAAAACTCAAACCAGGAAAAAACTCTATCAAGAACCCTTTAGGAAGTCCTAGCTAGAGCAATCAGACAAAAGAAAGAAATAAATGGCATCCAAATTGGAAAGGAAGAAGTCAAATTATTCTTATATATGACATGATCTTAAATTTGGAAAAACCTAAAGACTCCACCAAAAAACTATTAGAACTGATAAATTCAGTAAAGTTGCAGAATACAAAATTAACATACAAAAATCAGTAGCATTTCTATATGCCAACAGTAAACAATCTGAAAAAGAAATCAAGGAAATAATCCCATCTACAATAGCTACAAATAAAATAAAATATCTAGAAATAAACTTAACCAAAGAAATGAATGATCTCTACAATGAAAACTGTGAAACACTGTTGAAAGAATTGAAGAGGACACAAAGAAATGGAAAGATATTCCATGTTCATGGATTGGAAGAGTCAATATTGTTAAAACGTCCATACTACTCAAAGCAATCTACAGGTTCAATGCAATCCCTAACAAAATACCGAAGACATTCACAGACATAGAAAAAAAATCCTAAAATTTTCATGGAACCACACAAGACCCAGAATAGCCAAAGCTATCCTAAACAAAAAGAACAAAACTGGAAGAATCACATTACCTGACTTCAAATTATACTACAGAGCTATAGTAATCAAAACAGCATTGTACTGGCATAAAAACAGACACATAGACCAACGGAACAGAACAGAGGATCCAGAAACAAACCCATACTCCTGCAGTGAACTCAGTTTTAACAAAGTGCCGAGAACAGACATTGGGGAAAGGATGGGCTCTTCAATAAATGGTGCTGGGAAAACTGGGTATGCAAAGGCAGAAGAATGAAACTAGACCCCTGTCTCTTGCCACATACAAAAATCAAATCAAAATGGGTTAAAGACTTAAATCCAAGTCCTCAAACTATGAAACTACTCCACAAAAACATTGGGGAAACCCTCCAGGACATTGGCCTAGATAAAGATTTTTTGAGTAATACCCCACAGGCATGGGCAACCAAAGCAAAAATGGACAAATGGGTCACTTGTTTAAAAGCTTATACACAGCAAAGGAAACAATCAACAAGTAAAGAGACAACCCACAGAATGGGAGAAAATATTTGCAAACTGCTCATCTGACAATGGATTAATAACTAGAATACATAAGGAGCTCAAACAACTCTATAGGAAAAAAATCGAATAATGTGATTAAAAAATGGACAAAAATTCTGAGTAGACATTTCTCCAAAGAAGACATATAAATGGCAAACAGGCGTATAAAAAGGTGCTCAACATCATCAGTCAGCAGAGAAATGCAAATCAAAACTACAATGAGATATCATCCCACCTTAGTTGGAATGGCTTTTATGCAAAAGACAACCAATAACAAATACTGGCAACAATATGGAGAAAAGAGAATCCATGTTCACTGTTGGTGGGAATGTAAATTAGTTCAACCACTATGGAGAACAGTTTGGGGGGTTTCTCAGAAAATGAAAAATAGAACTACCAAATGATCCAGCAACCCCACTGCTAGGTATATACCTAAAAGAAAGAAAATCAGTGTATTGAAGGGATATCTGCACTCCCATGTTTATTGCAGCAGTATTCACAATAGCCAAGATTTGGAAGCAGCCCAAGTATCCATCAACAGACAAATGCATCAAGAAAATGTGGTGCATATACCCTACGGAGTACTATTCAGCTGTAAAAAAGGAATGGGATCCTGTCATTTACAACAACATGGATGGAACTCGAGGTCATAGTGTTAAGTGAAATAAACCAGGCACAGAAAAACAAATTTCCCATATTCTCACTTATTTGTGGGAGCTAAAAATCAAAACAACTGAATTCATGGAGACAGAGAGCAGAAGGATGGTGACCAGAGGCTGGAAAGGGAAGTGGAGGGTGAGGGGAAATAGGGGTGATTAATGGGTACAAAAATATAGTTAGATAGAATGAATAATATCTAGTATTTGATAGCATAACAGAGTGACTATAGTCAACAGTGATGTATTGTACATTTTAGAATAACTAAAAAAGTATAATTGGGTTGTTTGTAATGCAAAAAAAGTATAAATGCTTGAGGGGATGGATACCCCATTTACCCTGATGTGATTATTATGCAGGGCATGCCTGAATCAAAACATCTCACATACTCCATGAATATGTACCTACTACATGCCCACAAAAATAAAATTAAAAAATTTCTAAAAAGAACCCTTTAGCCCACAATTCATTTAAGAACTCAGAATTTTGCCATGTGACTCAATTTTTAAAAGTAAGATAAAAATAGGAATTGTGATATTATTTGGGTTATTGAATGCAAAATTTTGTGACAAGTAATAAGTGATGAGGTTACAGATTAAATACTTTTCAATAGATTGATACTTTTCAATACATATGCAGCCAAAGTTGCTGAAAAATACCATATGTTGGTCAGTTTCTAGCTTTTTATGCAGCTCTAAACATAATTTTATTAGTAGAAATTTGGATCCATCAGAAAATGACTGAAAATGAACTGAGAGACACAAAATTATGCATCTTAACCATTATATTAGTATTATGTGTTCATACACATGGCAAATATTTATATGAACATGGATAAATAATGCATAATTTATGAATGAAGTCTGATGTTAATATAATTCCTCCTTTAAAATGTCAAACCTGTTCATACTTTCCCACCTACACTGCCATGGTTATTCCTCACCTTGACAAGCAGGAGAGGGCAGGGAGAGGAGGCTAGGAGGGAGGAAACAGGCAGAAGGAGACGCCGCAGGAGCATGCAGTATGCGGGTGAGTGTCCCCAGCCGTACTGGGGCAAGGATGGACTGGTGGCGGGGGATGAAGGGCAGTAGGAGCAGAAAGAAGGAAGAGGGCTGCACAGGCAAGGCACTGATGGGGCAAATGAGGCGGTGAGGTTTAGTATCGAGAGCATCACAGCCACAGAGGAGAGGAAATGCAATGAAGATGTGGGTGTGTTGTCCTGGGAAGCTCACGCCTCCTCATGAGGGTGCTACCAATTCTTGTGAGAATCAGATCAGCTGAAGCATACAGAGCACTCTCTCTGCTGAACAGCGGGAGCTCAGTTCCTGTTGTTTCCCTCTCTCATCTCTCCCAGTTCTTTCTGATAAACCTTGAGCTGCTCCTCCTTGTAAATTAGAACCTCCAACTTTCTAAGTTGGAAGGGGACTGAAAGGCTATTTTGGTAGACACAATTCTAAGACAGTCCCCCAGATTCTGTCCCCTGGAGTCCACTCCTGTACAATCTCCTCCCATTGAGGGGGGCCTGGACTTCTGAATATATTGGGATGTCATTTCCCTAATTAGATAACCTTACATGGCAATGCTGGAGGTGGCAGGGGTGGGGGGTGGTTGCAGATATATTTAAGGTCTATAGTATTCTGACTGTGATATAATCAAGAGGTATATTTTGTCTAATTAGAAGAGTCCTTTTGAAGAGAGTCTATGGGTCAGAAATGAAGGAAGTCTGAGAGACATTCCTAACACTCAACATAAATCAATTGGTAATTTGAGGTTTCCAGTCATTTGTTTCACATAAATAGAACTAACAGAGGTATCTAGACTCCTCTGCCCTGTTCCCTGGATCCTAGTCCTAGTTTTAACCAGTTACTAAATCCTTGTCAACAAAGGATCATCCAGCCTGTTCCTAAACAATCCCAATGTAGGGACCTGACTGACACCTAAGGTAGATTAATTTGGTTTTATAAATAGGGTTAATAATTATAGTAGTGGGGCCGGGTGCAGTGGCTCACTCCAATAATCCCAGCACTTTGGGAGGCCGAGGAGGGCAGATCACGAGGTCAGGAGTTCGAGACAAGCCTGGCTAACATGGTGAAACCCCGTCTCTACTAAAAGTACCAAAATTAGTAGGGCATAGTGGTGCACGCCTGTAATCCCAGCTACTCAGTAGGCTGAGGCAGAAGAATCACTTGAATTCGGGAGGTGGAGGTTGCAGTGAGACGAGATCACGCCAGTGCACTCCAGCCTGGGTGACAGAACAAGACTCTGACTCGAAAAAAAAAAATTATTATTATTATTATTATTATTATAGTAGTGATTCTTTTTACCTGTTCAGCACTAAGTAGATGCCAGCTACCATGCGAAGTCCTTGATCTTATCAAATTTTTACAATAGCCTCATGTGGACAAGAGAGAAGGGCAGGGTAGCTAGGTGAGAATCAACCATTTAGTTCAACCTCATTCAGTTGTGAGGAATCTCAGGCCCAGATATGTTAAGCTTGGGGGTTACAAAGCTCCCTGCTGCTGTTTTCAACCATTAGCATAACCCAGAACACCTAGATGTTTCCTCTATTTTCTATGAACTCAGCAAAAGTATCCTTGACCCACACAATCTCCTATGGTTGTGCTTGTATGCACTACTCTTGTGCTGTGACCAGAATTCAGTTCACAGCAGCCTTTCATGTTGTCACAGTGTTAACTTAGCACATCTTCAACACCACCAGCCTGTGATGTACTTTAGAGAATTGTACATTTCTGGCTATATATGATTTAAACACAGTCAAACATCTATCATACTGAAAATTCAAAATTCATAAATCTATAAAATGCTTTAGAGGCTCAGAAAAGAAGTGAGCTGGCATTGAGAACTTTTCATATATTTGAGTTTGTCATTTTAATTAAGTTTTGAATGACTGTAATACTCATTATTATCCAAACAGGTTTTAAAGGGACTCTTGTATGACATCAGTTTTTTCTGGAGATAAGCTAACAAATGGTGTGACATGCTATGAAACAGGTTTTATTGTTAAGGGAAGAAATATATATTCAGCAAAGCATATGTGTTGTCCATAAAACATACCACATTATGTGACCTTGTCAGTAGTTAAAAATCAAGTCAAGTTCCATCCAACCCTAACATTCATTAGGCTAAATTTCTTAAAAACAATTGTATCATATTAAATAATAATTGTAATTATTTCTCAAACTTTCTAATCTTGCACCTATTAGAAGTGTTTTTTGTTTTCTTTTTTTTTTTTTAGATGGAGTCTCACTCTGTCACCCAGGCTGGAGTGCAGTGGCATGATCTCAGCTCACTGTAACCTCTGCCTTCTGGCTTCAAGCAATTCTCCTGCCTCAGCCTTTCAAGTAGCTGGGATTATAGGTGCCTGCCACCATGCCCAACTAATTTTTTGTATTTTTAGTAGAGACAGTGTTTTGCCATGTTTCACCATGCCTGACAAGGCCAGACTGGTCTCAAACTCCTGACCTCAGGTGATCCACCCACCTCAGCCTCCCAAAGTGCCGGGATTACAGGTGTGAGCCACTGCGCCCGCCTCAGAACAGTTCTTAAAGGATGCCTCTACTCCTCTATTTGTCTATGGGTTTATTACCTTATATTAAAGCATCTTAGAGACTTTTCAGGACAATACACATGGCTTTTACCATCACTGGAAAGTATTTCTTGCAAATACTTGATAACTTTAACAAAGTGATCTTCCCTGTTTCAGCTGACACTAAAGACACACTCATCCTCCGATGAAGCCGCACACATCAGCTAGCAAGAGTATCAGTGTTTCCACCGTGGAGGTTCGATTCAGTTGCTCTGAACGCTGGTCATACCAAATATACCTCTCTCTGCTCTCCACTGAAAGAAACTCAGCTGGGTGTTCATTCCAAAGTTAGGTTTCTATACTTCTTTGGAACAAATCATCTGAGTTGTGTAGTAAAGAGAAGTCATAATGCAATTCATAGACATATGAATAAAATGCTAAAGGTTTCACAAATGCTAAATTGTAGGGATATTTCAGGCAGTATATGGTTTCCTTTCTATTACTAAGGGTAAATTCATTTTTTATACATGTTTATTTTAAGCTAGTCTTTATTTATTTATTTATTTATTTATTTATTTATTTATTTATTGAGATGGAGTCTCTCTCTGTCACCCAGGCCAGAATGCAGTGGCACAATCTTGGCTCACTGCAACCTCCGCCTCCTGGGTTCAAGCGATTCTCCTGCCTCAGTCTCCCAAGTAGCTGGGATTAGAGGCATATGCCACCATGCCCAGCTAATTTTTGTGTTTTTCGTAGAGATGGGGTTTTGCCATGTTGGCCAGGCTGGTTTTGAACGCCTGACCTCAGGTAATCCGCCCGCCTCGGCCTCCCAAACTGCTGGGATTACAGGCGTGAGCCACTGCGCCCGGCCTAAGCCAGTTTTTTAAATGGGGAATATAGAATTCTAATTGTGTCTCATTCTCTGTTGTACAGAAAATTGAAGAGTTATGCAATAGTACTGGGGGTTACAATATAAATACTCTTTTAAAGGTAAGGCGGGCTAAGCAATTTTTACACCTAGAAAATGAAAAACCAAAATGTTTTATTTTCCATGGAAAGGTAACTTGTAATCAGTCCACTGAAAGTATATTGGTTAGTGTTGTTTATTTGGCTTAGACTTAGAGGATAAGAATTTGTGAGACAGATCCTCTTAAAGAGGTATAAATGTTAGGCCAGGTGCGGTGGCTCACGCCTGTAATCCCAACGCTTCGGGAGGCTGAGGTGGGTGGATCACCTGGCCAATGTGGTGAAACCCCGTCTCTGTTAAAAATAGAAAAATTAGCTGGGTGTGATGATGTGCGCCTGTAGTCCCAGCTACTCAGGAGGCTGAGGCAGGAGAATTGCTTGAACCCGAGAGGTGGAGGTTGCAGTGAGCCAAGATCACGCCATTGCACTCCAGCCTGGCGACAGAGCGAGACTCCGCCTCAAAAAAAAAAAAAAAAAAAAAAAGGTATAAATGTTAAAAAATTTAAAATTCCTTTAGCTTAATATTTTTTTCCGACAATCTCCTTCAACTTAAGTTTAATGGAAATTTAGGACCCTGTAAGAAGTAGTTTGATGGAAATGCAAGACCATGGCATTCTAACCTTGATGTTAAACAACTGGGTTGAGAATGACAGGAACAAAAGTTAGTTTACCTTAGACAGTACATTCAAATTACTACCAAACTGAACCAAAAGTTTAGTGTGTAGGTATTATTAATGATTTTTTTTTTTTTGAGACAGGGTTTTGCTCTTTTTGCCCAGGCTCAATCAAGTGCAATGGCGCAATCTTGGCTCACTGCAACCTCCGCCACCCCAGTTCTCCTGCCTCAGCCTCCGGAGTAACTGGAATTACAGGCACCCATCATCACGCCCAGCTAATTTTATATTTTTAGTAGAGACGGGATTTCACCAGGCTGGCCAGGCTCGAACTCCTGACCTCAGGAGATCTGCCCACCTCGGCCCCGCAAAGTGCTGGGATTACAGGCGTTAAGCCTGTTAATGATCTTATAGGGCAAAGTCGTCCTTGAACATCAGGCATATTTAAAAAAACACTTTTTAGAGTCGTTGATTTGAATCATTTTGAAAGGAAAACTAATTTTATACCTCAAAACGAATTTAGATTATGTCTAGTCATAATTATTTTATAGTCATAAATGTCTGTTTTCTAAATCTGGGGATCTTGCTCAGTGTAATAAAATATTCATTTTTGTACCTATTAGATTCACTTAACTACTAAAGCTGGTATTTTTTATTACCTCATATGCTGATAAGATAATGAATATTTTCTTAATAAATGTTCAGTAATATTGGGAAGATCATGGTGCTATATGAATCATGTTTCATATATAAAGAAATCAAGGATAAGAAAGGCATATAGATATATTATTTGCGCTATGTTACTAAGAATGGATATCATCTGTCTCAGCCCATCTGGGTTGCCATAAAAGAATACCTGAGACTAGATAGTTTATAAAGAAAAATGATTTATTTGGCTCACAATTCTGTTGGCTGAAAGATTGGGCATGTGGTGAGGGCCTCTGGCTGCCTCCACTCATGGAGAAAGACAAAGGGGAGTTGGCATGCAGAAATCGCATGGCGAGAGAGGAAGCAAGAGAGAGAGGAGGAGGTACCAGGCTCCTTTAACAACCAGCTCTCATGGGAACTAACAGAGCAAGAATTCACTCATAAATCCCCCGCCAGGGAGGGCATTAATCTACTCATGAGGGAGCCAACCCCATGATCCAAACACCTCCCATTAGGCCCCACCTCCAACACTGGGTATTAAATTTTAACATGAGGTTCAGGGGCCAACATCTAAACCATAGCATCATCTGTTGTGTATAACAAAAAAAAAAAATGAAGAATATTTGTGGAAACATCACTTAAGTCTATGCGAGATTTCACAAATACCTTGCCATTCCTAGAAGTCGAAATGACTTTTTTATAATTTTGGATTGGCACATTTATAAACATTTTCCAAATACAGTGTCACCACCTATAACAGTGGTTTGATTTAGTATCTCTTTAGATCTTTCTACATGTTTACAGGAGAGTTTTGGAAAATTAGTTCATTTGTTCTAATTCTTTATACATTTATTGGAATGTAATAGAAACTAATTAGCTGGTATGTTTAATGTAGATTTCAGAATTGTCAATCAAATGTGCTGTGCTCATTACTCAACTATTGAAGCCAGAACTTTTTCTCAATATCTTTACCTTTTTTTCAAGCATTTCATTACCTTTTTAAAAACTAATACACTATGTTTAGAGCTTGGTTTTACAGAAAAACCAAGCAGAAAATACAGTGTCTCCTTTACTTCCTCCCCCACTTTCTCCTCATCTCCCCTCTTCCAGTTTCCTCTATCATTAACTTCACTGTAGTACATTTGCTACAACTGATTAACCAATAATGATGCATTATTATTCACTGAATCCTTAATTTTAATTAGGACTACCTTTTTTTTTTTTTTAGATGGAATCTTACTCTATTGCCCATGCTTGAGTGCAATGGTGCAATCTAGGCTGACTGCAACCTTTGCCTCCCGGATTCAAGCGATTCTCCCGCCTCAGCTTCCCGAGTAGCTGGGATTACAGGCACACACCACCATGCCTGGCTAATTTTTGTATTTTTGCAGAGATGGGGATTCACCATGTTGCCCAGGCTGGTCTTGAACTCCTGACCTCAGGTGATCCACCCGCCTCAGCCTCCCAAAGTGCTGGGATTAAAGGCGTGAGCCACCATCCCCCGCCGGGCTATGCCTTTATGTTTTGTACTTCTAGGGCTTCTGACAAATGCACAATGGCATATGTCCATCATCACAGAATCATAAAAAATAGTTTTACTGCCCTAAAAATCTGCTGTGCTCCACCTATTTATTCCTGGCTCCCATCCCCCACCAACTACTGATCATTTTACTGTCTCTATAGTTTTGCCTTTTCCAGAATGCCAAATGGTTGGAATCTTACAGTGTGTAGCCTTTTCTGACAGGCTTCCTTCACCTTGCAACATACATTTAAAGTTTCTCCATGATTTTGCATGGCTTAACAGTTCATGTCCTGGACAGCGTGGTGGCTCATGCTTGTAACCTCAGCACTTTGGGAGGCTGAGGTGAGCAGATCACTTGAGCTCACAAGTTTAAGACCAGCCTGGGCAACATGGCAAAATCCTACCTCTATAAAAAATTTTAAAAAATTAACTGGGCATAATAGTACATGCCTGTAGTACCAGGTACTTGGGAGGCTGAGGTGGGAGAAAAACTTCAGCCTGGGAGGCAAAGATTGCAGTGAGCCAAGATCACACCACCACACTCCAGCCCGGGCAATAGAACCAGACCTTGTCTCAAAAAACAAAAACAAAAACAAACAAACAAAACGGAAAAAATATATATAGTTCACATCCTTTTATTGCTGAATAATATTCCATGATATAGATATACCACAGATTGTTTATCCATTCACCTACTGCTTCCAGTTTGAGACAATTGTGAATAAAGCTGCTATACGCACTCATGTGCATTTTTGGTGGGGACATAAATTTACAACTTCTTTGGATAAATATCAAAGAGCTTGATTAGTAGATTGTATAGTAAGAGTATGTTTAGTTTTGTAAGAAACAGCCAAAGTCTTCCAAAGTAATGGTGCTGCTTTGCTTTTCCACCAGCAATGAGTGAGAATTCCTGTTGCTCCACATTCTCACCAGCATTCGATGTTATCAGTGTTCTGGATTTTAGCCATTCTAATCGGTGTTTAGTGATATGTAATTGTTGTTTTAATTTCCAGTTCCCTGGTGACATATGATGTTGAGCATCTTTTCATACAATTAATTATTTGCCATTTGTATATCTACTTTGGTGAGATATCTATTCAGATCTCTTACTTACTTGTTAATTAGATCATTTATTTTATTATTATTGGCTATTAAGAATTCTTTGTATAATTTGGAGTAAACAGCCACAGAATGGGAGAAACTATTCGCAAACTACACGTCTGACAAAGGTCTACATCCAGAATCTATAAGGAATGTAAACAAATCAACAAGCAAAAAAAAAAAAAAATTTCTCAAAAGAAAACATATAAGTGCCTAAGAAATATATGAAAAGATGCTCAACATCACTAATTCATCAAAGAAATGCAAATCAAAACCACAATGAGAAAACATCTCACGCTAGTAAGAATGGCTATTATTACAAAGTCAAAAAACAACAGATGCTGACAAGACTGCAGAGAAAAGAGAATGCTTATACAGTATTGTTGGGAATGTAAATTAGCTCAGCCACTGTGGAAAGCAGTTTGGAGATTTCTCAAAGAACTTAGAACTACCATTCAACCCAGAAATCCCATTATTGGATATATATCCAAAAGAAAAATTGTTCTACCAAAAAGACACTTGCACTCACATGTTCATCATAGCACTATTCACAAAAGCAAAGACATAGAATCAACTTAGGTGCCCATCAATGGTGGATTTGATAAAGAATACATGGTACATATATACCATGGAATACTATGCAGCCATAAAAAGGAACAAAATCCTATGCTCTGCAACAGCATGGATGCAACTGCAGTCCATCATCCTAAGTGAATAAACCCAGGAACAGAAAATCTACTGCCACATATTCTCACTTATAAGTGGGAGCTAAACATTGGGTACTCATGGACGTAAAGATGGCAATAGACACTGGGGACTAGTAAATGAGGGGGATGGGAGGTGGCAAGGGTTGAAAAACTATTGGGTACTATGCTTGACACCTGAGTGACAGGATCATTCATACCCCAAACATCAGCATCACACAATATACCCAGGTAGCAAATCTGCACAAATATCCGCTGAATCAAAACTAAAAGTTGCAAAAAGAAAAATAGAAAAAAAGAGTTCTTTGTATATTTTGGATAACAGTCCTTTATCAGATATATCTTTGCAAATATTTTCTTTCAACCTGTGGCTTGTCTTCTCATTCTCTTAATAGTGTCTTTCACAGAACAGCAATTGTTATTTTTAGCAAAGTCCAATTGTCGATTTTTCTTTTATGGATATTGCTTTTGGTTTCATACCTAAAAAGTCAGCCAAACCCATGATTACCTAGATTTTCTTCAATGTTATATTTTTAAAGTTTTATCATTTTGCATTTTACATTGAAGTCATTGATACACTTTGAGTTAATTTTTGTGAAACGTGTAAGGTCTATGTCTAGATTTTTATTATTTTTTGAGATGGGGTCTTGCTCTGCCACCCAGGCTGTAGTGCAGTGATGCCATCATGGCTTACTGCAGCGTCAGCCTCCCAGGTTCAAGCCATCCTCCCACCTCAGCTTCCCGAGTAGCTGAGACTACAGGCACTAGCCACCACACTCAGCTAATTTTTAAATTTTTTGTAGACAGGGGGTCTCTCTATGTTGCACAGGCTGGTCTTGACCTCCTGAGCTCAAGTGATTCTCCCATCTCCGCCTCCCAAAGCATTGGGATTACAGGTGTGAGCCACCATGCCTGGCTAGATTTTTTTTAATGTAGATGTCCAATCATTTCAGCATCATTTATTTCTGTATTAAATTGTCTTTGCTCCTTTGCAAATATCAGTTGACTATACCTGTTGGCATCTATTTTTGGGCTTTCAATTCTATTCCATTGACCTATTCATCTAATGTTCTGCTAATACCACATTGTCCTGATTGTTCTAGCGTTATGTTCTCACTTATAAGTGAGATAAGTGAGTAAGTCTTGAAATCAGATGGTGTCAGTACTCTGACTTCATTCTCCTTTAATACCATGTTGACTATTCTGGGTCTTTTGCCTCTTTATATAAACTTTAGAATCAATTTGTTAATTCCACAAAACAACTTGCTGAGATTTTTATTAGGATTGTATTGGATCTACAGATTAAGTTGGGAATAACTGACATCCTAACAATATTGGATCTTCCTATTCATGAACATGGAATACTTCTCTGTTTATTCAAATCTTTATTTTTTATCAGAGTTTTGTAGTCTTCCCCATATATATCATTCATACATATATAGTTTGTTTGTTTGTTTTTGTTTTTGTTTTTTTGAGAAGGAGTTTCCCTCTTGTCACCCAGGCTGGAGTGCAATGGCACGGTCTCGGCTCACTGCAACCTCCGCCTCCCAGGTACAAGCAATTCTTGTGCCTCAGCCTCGCAAATAGCTGGGATTACAGGCACCTGCCACCATGCCCGGCTAATTTTCTATTTTTCGTAGAGACGGGATTTCACCATGTTGGCCAGGCTGGTCTCAAATTCCTGACCTCAGGTGATCCGCCCATCCCGGCCTCCCAAAGTGCTGGGATTACAGGTGTGAGCCACCTCCCCTGGCCTATATCTTGTATATTTTTTAAGATTTTTAAGTACTTCCTTTTTGTGGAATTGTGTTTTAAATTTTAAATTCCAATTGTTCATTGGTGGTATATAGAAAGCAATTGACTTTTGTATATAACCTTGTAATCTGCATCCTTACTGTAATCACTTAACAGTTCCAGAAGTACTTTTGTCAAGACTCTGGGATTTTCTACATAGACAATCATGTCATCTGTAAAGAGACAAGTGTTTTGTTTTTGTTAATCAATACACCTTTACTTCCTCTTCTTATCTTATTCTTCTAGCTAAAACTTCCAATACAATGCTGAATAGTAGTGGGGAGAGGAGATACATTTCCTTTGTTCTAATCTTAGGGTGAAAGCGTCTAGTCTCTCATCAAGTATGATGATAGCTTTAGAGTTTTTTATTTTTTAGTTTTTTGAGACAGAGTTTTCTCTGTCGCCCAGGCTGGAGTGCAGTGGCGTGATCTCAGCTCACTGCAACCTCTGCCTCCTGGGTTCAAGTGACTCTCCAGCCTCAGCCTCCCAAGTAGTTGGGATTACAGGTGCCCACCACTACTCCTAGCTAATTTTTTGTAGTTTTAGTAGAGATGGGGTTTTGCCACGTTGGCCAGGCTGGTCTTGAGCTCCTGACCTCAAGTGATCTGCCGGCCTCGGCCTCCTGAAATGCTGGGATTACAGGCGTGGGGCACCGAGCCCGACCATCTTTAGGGTTTTTATAGATGCTTTTTACCAAGTTGACCATGTTCTCCCCCAATCCTGATTTGCCGACAGCTATCATAAATGGGTACTGAATTTTGTCAAGTATCTTTTCTGCAACTATTCATATAATCATGACTTTTATTGTTATTCTGTTGACATAATTGGTTAGATTAACTGATTTCCAAATGTTAACACAGGCTTGCATATCTGGAATAAGTCCCACTTGGTCATGGTGTATATTTCTTCTTTTAACTTTGTTAGGCTTGAGTTACTACCATTTTGTTGAGGATTTTTACTTCTATATTCATGAAAGATATTAGTTTGTTGTTATCTTTTCATGTAATGCCTTTATCTGTTTTTGGTATTACGGTAATGTTGGCCTCATAGAATGAGTTAGGAAGTGTTTCCTGCTTCTATTTTCTGGACGAGACTATGGAGAATTGGTACAATTTTTTCTTAAATATTTGATAGAATTTAACAGTGACACCAACTGCACCTGGTACTTTCTGTTCTGGAAGGTTATTAATTAGGGATTCAATTTTTAAAACAGATGTAGACCTTCTCAGATCATCCTTGCATGATTCTTTCAATAAATTAGTCCATTTTACCTAGGTTATCCAATTTATAGGCATAGAGTTGTTTAAAATATTCCTTTATTACTCTTTAAATTTCATTTAAACATCCCTGGGGTCAATATTGATCACTCTTCTTTTATTCTAATATTAGTAATTTGTGTCTTTATTCTTTTTTCTTGATTAGCCTGACTAAAGGTTTATCAATTTTACTAATATCTTTAATGAAAATGCTACATGCTTTGTATGATTTCTACTTTTTCTATTCTTTTATACTTGTGGAAGTATGTTTTATGGCCCAGAATGTGGTCTACCTTGGGGAATATTTCATGTGAGCTGGAGAATATGTAACCTGCTCTTGGATGAAGTAGTCTCTAGATGTCAATTAGATTCATGTAATTGATGGTTCTGTTAAGTTTAACTATATCCTTATGATTTTATGCCTGCTGAATCTGTTCATTTCTGAGAGGGGTGTTGAAGCCTCCACATGTTATAATTGATTCATCTACTTCCACTTGCAGTTATATTTTGATGCTTTGTTGTTACTCAAATACACATTAAAGACTGTTGTGTCTTCTTGGCCGGGCGCAGTGGCTCACGCCTGTAATCACAGCACTTTGGGAGGCCGAGGCAGGCGGATCATGAGGTCAAGAGATTGAGACCATCCTGGCCAACATGGTGAAAACCTGTCTCTACTAAAAATACAGAAATTAGCTGGGCATGGTGGCCTGCGCCTGTAGTCCCGGAGCTACTTGGGAGGCTGAGGCTTGAACTCAGAAGGCGGAGACTGCAGTGAGCCGAGATCATGCCACTGCACTCCAGCCTGGCGACAGAGTGAGACTCCATCTCAAAATAAAAAAGAAAAGAAAAGAAAATGTTATGCCCCATATAACAGCAGAGTAACAGAGTAACATAAAATAAAATTACATTTTATAACAAAAAAAAAACTGGGTATAGAAGAAACATACCTCAAGGTAATAAAAGCCATATATGACAGACTCACAGCTAGTATTGTACTGTATAAGGAAAAACTAAAAGCCTTTTATCTTAAATCTGGAAGATGACAAGGATGCCCAGTTTTACCACTGTTATTTAACATAGTATTGGAAGTCTTAGCTAGAGCAATCAAGACAAAAAGATAAAGGACATCAAAATTGGAAAGGAAGACGTCAAATTATCCTTGTTTGCAGGTGATATGATCTCATATTTGGAAAAACCTTAAGACTCCACCAAAAATCTAATAGAACTGACAAACAAATCCAGTAAATTTGTAGGATACGAGATCAAAAAACAAAAATCAGTAGCATTTCTATATGGCAGCAGTAAATAATTTGAAAAAGAAATTTAAAAAGTAATCCCATTCACAATAGCCACACATAAAATTAAATGCCTAGGAATTAACCAAAGAAGTGATCTCTACAATGAAAACTCATGCAAGAAATTGAAGAGGACACACAAAAAATGGAAAGATATTCCACATTTATGGATTAGAAGAATTAATATTGTTAAAATGTCCATACTACCCAAAGCAATCTACAGGTTCAATGCAATCCCTATCAAAATACCAAAGACATTCTTCACATAAATAGAAAAAACAATCATAAAATTCATATGAAATCACAAAAGACCCAGAATTACCAAAGCTATCCTAAGCAAAAAGAACAAAACTGGAGGAATTACATTACCTGTACAGAGCTATAGTAACCAAAACAGCATAGTACTGGATAAAACCATGTACATAGACCAATGGAACAGAACAGAAAACCCAGAAACAAATCTACATGCCTACAGTGAACTCATTTTCGACAGAAGTGCCAAGAACAGGCATTGGGGAGAAAACAGTTTCTTCAATAAATGGTGCTGGAAAAGTTGGATATCTATATGCAAAAGAATGAAACTTGATTCCTATCTCTCACTTTAAACAAAAATTAAACCAAAATAGATTAAAGACTTAAATTTAAGACCTTAAACTATGAAACTGCTACAAGAAAACACTGGGCAAACTCTCCAGGGCATTGGACATGACATTACTCAAAAATTTCTTGAGTAATATGCCATAAGCACAGACAACCAGAGCAAAAATGGACAAATGTGATCACATCAAGTTAAAAAGCTTCTACCCAGCAAAGGAAACTATCAACAAACAAAAAGAGACAGAAAACCCAAATAAATAAAATCAGAAGTGAAAAAGGAGACAACATTACAAGTGATACCACAGAAATACAATGAATAGGCTGGGCGCAGTGACTCACACCTGTAATCCCAGCACTTTCAGAGGCTGAGGTGGGCAGATCACCTGAGGTTGGGAGTTCGAGACCAGCCTGACCAACAGGGAGAAACCCTGTCTCTACTAAAAATACAAAAATTAGCATGGTGGCACATGCCTGTAATCCCAGCTACTCGGGAGGCTGAGGCAGGAGAATCACTTGAACCTGGGAGGCAGAGGTTGCGGTGAGCTGAGATCGCGCCATTGCACTCCAGCCTGGGCAACAAGAGCGAAACTCCATCTCAAAATAAATAAAAAAACAATAAATAAATGGTACTGAGAAAACTGGATATCCATATGCAGAAGAATAAAACTAGACCCCTATCTCTCACCATATACAAAAATAAACTCAAAATGGATTACAAACTTAAATGCAAAACTACAAAACTACTAGAAGAAAACATAAGGAAAATGCTTAGGTCATTGAGCTGGGCAAAGATTTTACAGATGAGACCACAAAAACACAGGCAACAAAACAAAAATAGACAAATGGGATTATATCAAACTAAAAAACCTCTGCACAGCAAAGGAAACAATCAACAGAGTAAAGAGTCAACTTGCAGAATGGGAGAAACTGTTTACAAACTACTCATTTGACAAGGGATTAATATCCAGAATAAACAAAGAACTCAAATAACAACAAATAAAACACAACAACAAATAACCCAATGTTTTCAAATGGGCAAATGATCGAAGTAGACATTTCTCAAAAGATCTACAAATGGCCAACAAGTATAAGAAAAAATGCTTAATATCACTAACCATCAGGGAAATGCAAATCTAAACTGCAATGAGACTTCATTTCACCCCAGTTAAGATAGCTATTACCAAAAACACAAAAAAATAACAAATACTGGAGAGGCTGCAGATTAAAGGGAATTCTTTTACACTGTTGGTGGATATGTAAATTAGTACAGCGACTGTGGAAAACAGTATGGAGGTTCCTCAAAAAACTAAAAATTAAACTACCATATGATCCAGCAATCCCATCACTGGATATACATCCAAAGAAAAGAAAATCAGTACGTTAAAGAGATATCTGGCTTTCTGCCTCCGCTGCTGCCATGGTGCCCGTGAGAAAGCTTGTGGAGAAGGTGGGCAAAAAAAAAAGCAGGTTCTGAGGTTCACTCTTGGTTGCACCCACCCCATAGAAGATGGAATCGTGGATGCTGCCAATTTTGAGCAGTTTTTGCAAGAAAGGATCAAAGTGAACGGAAAAGCTGGGAACCTTGGCGAAGGGGTGGTGACCGTCAAAAGGAGCAAGAGCAAGATCACCGTGACATCCAAGGTGCATTTTTCCAAAAGGTATTTGAAATATCTCACCAAAAAATATTTGAAGAAGAATAATCTTCATGATTGGTTTGTGCATAGTTGCTAACAGCAAAGAGAGTTACAAATTACGTTCCTTCCAAATTAACCAGGACGAAGAAGAGGAGGAAGACGAGGATTAAATTTCGTTTGTCTGGAATATTTTGTATGCGTTCTTGAATAAAACTTGGGAACCAAAATGGTGGTTTATCCTTGTATCTCTGCAGTATTGATTGAAGAGAAAATTGGAAATCATAGTCAAAGGGCTTCCTTTGGGCCTCCACTCACTTATTTGTAACATGACTTCTTTTTTTTTTTTCAGCTTGAAAATGTCAATTCTTGTGGTAATACTAGAGTAGGAGAAGGTGACTTGACGGAACTGACAGCCATTGGGCAGGCACTTGAGGGTGTGGAGGTGTGGGCTGCCCCAGTGGGGAGAGAAGTGCCCTTCATTCTGTTTTCCCTTTTAAACATTTTGAGACCAGTACCTCCCAAATGTGGCTGGACAGTAGCCAACTGCAGCACAGTCATGGCTTCAGATGTATGGACTCAAGGCTGGAGGCACAGGGTGAAATCTCTGCAGAGACAGCCCTTCATCCTCTTCTGCCGGGATACTTCCAAAGCCAGTGGATCAACCTTTGTAAAGCAGACTGCTGTGTTCTGTTGCTGGGCAGCCCTAATTACATTTATTCCTTTTCTAATACCTTTTGATTTTCACCCATCCTTCCCATTGAACAAGGTTTTTTCACTTTGTAGCAAAATGCCATCGCTAGATTTCTGTAGAAATGATGCATACATTATAGAAATTCAAACAATAATATGAATTTAAACTCACCTTAAATGTTACCATCCAGAAAGAGCTTTTATGAATATTTAGCAAAGATTCTTTTAAAAATCTCTCGGCTGGGCGTGGTGGCTCATGCCTGTAATCCCAGCACTTTGGGAGGCTGAGGCGGGTGGATCACAAAGTCAGGAGTTTGAGACCAGCCTGGCCAACATAGTGAAACTCTGTCTCCACTAAAAATACAAAAATTAGCTGGGTGTGGCACCGTGGCTCGCCTCGCTGCGGTTGGTGGTGACGACGACGGAGACTGCAGCACGGCCAGAGTGGTAGAAAGGCTGTGGGGTAGGTGCACTATCTGGGGCTGCACTGCCCGTGGTGGGGAGTGGGTTGGGGTGCTATCCGGGGCATCACTGTCTGTGTCGGGGGCAAGAAAAAGAACAATCCAAATGAAAAATGGACAAAGGGTAGAGTTCACAGGCAAGGAAAACACACATAGCTCTTACAAAGTATATTTGGCCTAATTCATGACAGAAATGCAAATTAAGACAATAAAGACAAAAACAAGCAATGGGGAAAGGATTCCCTATTTAATAAATGGTGCTGGGAAAACTGGCTAGCCATATGTAGAAAGCTGAAACTTGATCCCTTCCTTACACCTTATACAAAAATTAATTCAAGATGGATTACAGATTTAAATGTTAGACCTAAAACCATAAAAACCCTAGAAAACCTAGGCAATACCATTCAGGACACAGGCATGGGCAAGGTTTCATGTCTAAAACGCCAAAAGCAATGGCAACAAAAGCCAAAATTGACAAATGGGATCTAATTAAACTAAAGAGCTTCTGCACAGCAAAGGAAACTACCATCAGAGTAAACAGGCAACCTACAGAATGGGAGAAAAATTTTGCAATCTACTCATCTGACAAAGGGATAATATCTAGAATCTACAAAGAACTTAAACAAATTTACTAGAAAAAAATCAAACCACCCCATCAAAAAGTGGGCAAAGGATATGAACAGACGCTTCTCAAAAGAAGACATTTATGCAGCCAACAGACACATGAAAAAATGCTCATCATCACTGGCCATCAGAGAAATGCAAATCAAAACCACAGTGAGATACCATCTCACACCAGTTAGAATGGTGATCATTAAAAAGTCAGGAACCAACAGGTGCTGGAGAAGATGTGAAGAAATAGGAACACTTTTACACTGTTGGTGGGACTGTAAACTAGTTCAACCATTGCAGAAGACAGTGTGGCGATTCCTCAAGGATCTAGAACTAGAAATAACATTTGACCCAGCCATCCCATTACTGGGTATATACCCAAAGGATTATAAATCATGCTGCTATAAAGACACATGCACACGTATGTTTATTGTGGCATTATTCACAATAGCAAAGACTTGGAACCAAGCCAAATGTCCATCAATGGTAGACTGGATTAAGAAAATGTGGCACATATACACCATGGAATACTATGGAGCCATAAAAAGGGATGAGTTCATGTCCTTTGCAGGGACATGGATGAAGCTGGAAACCATCATTCTGAGCAAACTATTGCAAGGACAGAAAACCAAACACCGCATGTTCTCACTCATAGGTGGGAATTGAACAATGAGAACACTTGGACACAGGGTGGGAAATACCACACACTGGGGCCTGCCGTGGGGTGGGAGGAGGGGGGAGGAATAGCGTTAGGAGATATACCTAATGTAAATGACGAGTTAACAGGTGCAGCACACCAACGTGGCACATGTATACATACGTAACAAACCTGCACGTTGTGCACATGTACCCTAGAACTTAAAGTATAATTTTTTAAAAAAAGACATATTTTTTCATCAATCAGATTGGCAAAAGTCAAAGAGAGCCTGATCTGTCCTAATGAGAGCGTGGAGAACAAAGACACTTATAGATGGCTGATACAACTCCCATGGGAGGCTATTTGCAGATATTAATACAAAATTTTAAACGCACTCACCTTTGACCCAGCAATTTCACTTCTAGGCATTTGTATGACAGATATATCACATAACCAACTAATACGCGACTGTTGAAAAGCATGAGGTCATTCCATATGTAGTTATATTCTCTGTTGCCACACATTAAGTAAAAAAAGCAGAATTATGCTAGTTGCTTCAAAAATACAGTATATAGAAATATGCATTACATTCTTTTTGGAAAGATTCATAAAAAATGGGGTGTGATTGCCTCTGGAATGGGCAACACGATGGCTGATAATGGTAGGAGGAAGCAATTCACTCTGTCCTGAACTGTGCATAACCTGGGATTTGTTTTCATTGTAATGCTAAGGGAACAAGGGAAGGAGGGATGGAGGAAGGAAGGTCAGTCCAGGCTAGAAGGCCCTTCCAGCTCTGAAAGTCAACAAATGCCAAGTTGTCTGCTATAATTTTAGAGATGGTTAGTTAATGATCTATATAGCTTATAAGAAAGACTTTAAGATCAGAGATTTTCCTTTGGTACTTTTAAAAAATAAACAGGCTTAGGATTTGTACTTCGTAGAGAGCAATGAAGAACAGGTACAATAAAGGACAGGCAAGCTTTATTCATAAAAACTTGAAGTCCCTTGGAAATGTTAGGGAAGTGTGTGTGTGTGTGTGTGTGTGTGTGTGTGTGTGTTTACACAGACACCAAACTTCAAATTTGGAAAATAGCTGTCTTGGCCCTTTTTTGGCTTAAACAGGTCAGTGTTTAAAAAGTGATTTCTAGAGAATGCTCATGTCTGAATTATTCTCACAAATGCTTGCATCCCAGAAGCAGCCCAATCAGCCTGCTATATAGGGACCTTATGGGGTTGTATATTTTGTTGAAATATTTATAACAACTAAGTTACATGGAAATATTCCATGGGATTTATTTTTAACAAACATTTACATAAACAATAAATGAAAAAAAAACAGGTTTAAAGTGAGCAGATTCATATTTACAGTGTGATTTTTAAGGACTGTCTATATCCAAATTTTATTTTCGTGAACGCTTACATTCTAAGAGCAGTACAATTAGCCTATTACGTAGGGCCCTAATCTTGTTAGTATAGTGTTGTTGAAATACTTTCTTCAGCTTTTGCCTTAACAAATCCAAAGATGGAAGATGATGACAATCTGGAATATTCAACATAACATGAAAAAATTCATTCCACATATCCAAATGAGGAAGCCTGAAAAAGACAAAGCATAAATAATGGCTAAAATGTAGCCTTCAATATGCAGGATAACCCCACCCCTGCATCTGACTTCCACAGGCTTGGACAGTTTAGTATAACAACTCTCACCTAAACACAATACAATGCAGCAAGTATGGAAACACTATATCTATTATACATGAGAGAGATTAAAGACCCAATTAACTGTCTTATACATCTTGTTCCAAAAAATAAGATAAGTAATCTTTTAGCAATACTGCAAGTCAAAAAATTTTCTCTCTCTCCCTTTAAATAAAAACCCAAACTATCTGCTTCTGGCTAGCCATACATACAATACTGCTAGAATTGGATAATCTGGACAAATGCTTCTGTCAAGCCTAACTGCATATGCACCAGGACCAAGTAGACAGGTTGGACTGCCCAGGAGAGAGCTCAAGAGTTAAGAGTTCCAACTACTATAATTGTTAAAATTAACTGCAGAAACTCCAGAACATGGAGATAAGGTGTTGGAGAGAAAGTAGAATGCAAAGGAATTGTGCTCCACATAGGAAATGCCATCAGGCCTGCTGAGGGTTAACTTCCAGCTCTTCTTCACACTGGTGGTCAGAGATGAAACTATCTGTTCCTTCAATTTTGAGCCAAAGATGGAATAAAGTATTTACTAAACATGAGGGCTCATTATGCAGAATAAAGAATAGTTGTTATAAGCTTTCCTCCAGGGCCTGAACCTAACCTTACTTATGTACAGTATATGACATTTCATAAAATTATTGCCATTTTTCTTTTTTTTTTGTGGGGGCTGGGGGAGATGAGGTTCACAGATGAGGTTCCTACTCTTACGTTTTCTCAAGAAGATATAAACATATGTAAAAGTCCATTAGGCTGTACACTTAAGATGAGTGTACTTTTCTGCATGTTTTTATGCCTCAAAAAAGAAAGTATAAGTGATATAATGAATATGCAGGTACCAAATACTCAGCTTAAACAAAACATTCCAACAGTTTGTTCACACATTGTGTTAGGAGAGCCATCCATGTTGACAGGAAGAGCTCTTGCCTAATCATGAATTTTCACTGTGATTTATAGATAAAAAAAAATCTTTGAGAAGCCCAAGAAACACAGGGCTAGGACTGTCCTGTGAGAGAGAGCTATTCATATTACTTTATAATTTATGAAGCACTTTCACATACACTATTTCCTTCGCTTCTTACAAATATCTGACAAAAATAGGATCAGTATTTCCATAGACCAAAAAAAAAAAAAAGAAAAAAAAGAAAAAAGAAAAAACCAGTGAGAACCTGAGGTCCAGTGACATTAGGTGATTAGGGGTGGAAACATTTGCGTGTGTACAGGATGTCAACCATTTGGCCAGGAGCTTTCAGTGAGGACATCAGCTGCCCCAGTGGGGAGAGAGAAGTGGTAAAGCTATGCAGCTTGCTCCCTGTGCCCAGTGCCCAGGACTGTCCTGTCACCATATTGCCCAAGGCATAGGATTTCCATGCGGTGGCAGAGATCCTTTTTTTTTTTTTGCCAGATGGAACCCAACATTCTACTTTAGTTATTCTCTTTTCACTACAGCACCAATGCTAATACTCACCTTCTAAAAAGACCTTCAGGCTTACACTCTCCTCCTTCATTTTTCACTTTCATGTAAGTGCCAAAGAGCATGCAATATACTGTTGCAGCAACCCCAAAGTAATCGATCTATGAAGAAGATAGAGGTATATATGACTTAAATAGTAATTTACACATGACTATATCAAGATGCCTGTCTAACTTAGGCAGCAAGTTAAATACTCACAGGATTTTACTTTTAAAACATTTTGGAAGGCATTTGTTCAATCGCCCCACTAACATGTCTTACTGAATATCTAGGCTTTGCCACAGGCTTCCAGTCTCTTGAAAAGCTCTGCCCTCCTGAGCTACCATGTCCCTCTCAAGTCCTTCATTCTGTCACACAGAGGACAAACACAACACTCTAAGCCCTCTTCCACATAGACAGCTTGGAAGTCCTCCCAGCTCACTCCCCTGGGACTCTGGTCGTAGTTCTCTAACTCGCCCCCATGGCCTCTTGTTGTGTGATATGTTCATAATTGAAAAGAACACTCCAGCCCCATCCACATCCACAGGATAGAAGATGACCATCTCCTAAGGCCTCACTAGCAGTGACAACATACCAGAAACAAGACCCCTCCCCACCCCCACCAAATCTTTGCCCCTTTTACCATGGGCTCCTGGAAAGACATAGCTCTCACCAGGGAACTTGGCAGTTGGTTTTGTTAAACCCAGGTTCAAAATATTTCATTTATCCCAATTAGCATTCTCCTCCCTGGTCACCTAATATTCTAGTTGGTTGAAAATTCAGCAGTCTTCCATTAGAATAATAATGATCCATTTCTTGATCTGGCCAGTTAGGAATCTGGCTGTACCATCTATTACAGTCAAACCCACCATCCTGCCTGAGAGCATCCCAGGTATATCCAACATGTGCTCAACTCTGCCTGGAGTGGGCATGCAGGTCTCCCTGTTATCCCTGATTTAGGAAATTGGGCTGGCCTACCTTGATCTCAATAAACCAAGCTGTCTCTTTGCTGCATGACTTCCTTTCTGAAGGGTTCACTAATCATTAAATACTCTTCCCTATGATCAAACTCACAGAATATATCTGCCCCCCTTTCCTGATAACAGGATCTATAATGGACTAATAAGAAAGCAGAGTATTCTTCAGGAATAGAATTCTATCCCTGCCATGTTGGCCTTAGGCTCATCTCTCCTTCAACTGCTCCTCAAAAGACCACCTCAAACTACCTAGATCCCCAAATTCATTTTGAAAATCTGATAAGCGCAACACAGAAAAATATTTCCAAGTCCCTCACTTTAGTTTTATACCTGGTAGTTCCATGGTTTGTTGCTGAGCATCTCAACACACTGAAAACCAGATGTTTCACACTTTGCTGTGAATATAGTTCCTTTTGGAAAAAGTTTCATATCTATACTCTGACCCAGGTCAATCAGTGCCAAGCCAGCAGATAAATCATCTTCATCATCCTGTTCCAAAAATCTATATTAAACACAAACAAAGCCAGGCTGCATGAGCACAAATGATGAAAGGCTGCTATGGAAATAGGAAGAGAAGAACCCTGTTAAAAGCATAACACTTGCCCGTTTCCAAGTATGAAATTGTCTGGTTTAATGTCTCCATGAATGATTTCACAGTCATGCACTTGCTCAATCATGTAAAGCATTCTCATAGCAAAAGAGATGACAAGACCTTGAGGCATCACTTTTTCAGGGGTATTTTTATAGAGGTTAATGGCATTCTAGGAACAATGGAAAGTGGAATCCTGAGTTAGTTGCACAAGATTAATAAAATTTCAAATTGAGAGCTTTGCCCCTGCCCACCACTCCACAAAAGCCCCAACCACAAAAGTACGTGCAAGGTACAAGCCAAAAATCCATTTTAAATTCATGTGCTCATCATAAAAATGAATACTTACTAATAATGTTCCATAGCTGTAGAGCTCTCCTACTAATACACTGCCATTCTGGAATAAGTGGGCAGAATAGAACTTCATAAACATGTGCTGCATAGATGGCTTTAGTCTTTCCATCAACTGGGTCCCAATGTAGAATTCCCAGGGGTTGGCAGGCTTTTGGACCTGCAAATCAGGTATGTGAAATTCATATCCAATCTCGTATTCTGAAAAATGATAGCAATAAAGCAACCTCTATCCCAATAAAAGATGTGGTGTTGATAGTGATGACAAGCTATGAACTGTTGCTGCAATGTGGGGCTTGCTCCAAGACAATTTTAGTGGGAAAAAAATTCTAAATCTTTTGTAGTTTTTGTTTTTTAATTGCCAACTGTAGATATAAATAAAAACACCACTATCTTAAAGAAAAAAAATTTCTTGGCAAACTCAAGTTCTAAAATTCATTTCTATATCATACAAAAGACAACTCAGGTCATTTACCTTTAAAACAAATTTCTGTTTATTTTTAGCATCATTCAGATCTCCCTGGGTAGCTTCGTACACCTGGGCAAAGGCTCCTTCTCCAAGAAGGTGATGGACATAGACCAGCTTAGAACCTTAGAAGATAATTGAAAATTTTAATTTATGTACGCCTTTTATTTTAAATAGTTTTCAATTTACAAAGAAGTTACAAAGACATAGAGTTTTCTGTATACTTCGCATCCACTGTCTGCAGTTGTTAACTCTTACATAACCATGGTATATTTGTCACAAATAATCAATCAACCAAAGTAGTATGCTCCTATTAACTAAGCTCTACATCTTACTCACTTTCACTAGTTTTTGCCTGTGTTCTAGGATACTTTATGTTTAGTCATCATGTCCACTTAGCCACTTCTGGACTGTGACAGTTTCTCAGATGTTCCTTGTTTTTGATGACCTTGACAGTTCCAAAGAGTACTAGTCAGGTATGTTGTAGAATGGCCCTCAAATTGGGTTTGTTTGATACATTTCTTGTGGTTACTTTGGAGTTATTGGATTTTGGGGGGAAGACCACAGAGGTGAAGTTGTAGTAGTTTTTTGTTTGTTCTTTAGAGACAGGGTCTTGCTGTTGCCCAGTCTGGGTTGCTGTGGCAAGGTAATAGCTCACTCCAGCTTTGACCTCCTGGGCCCAAGTGATCCTCCCACCTCAGGCTCCTGAGAAGCCAGGACCACAGGCGTGCACCACCATGCCCAGCTAATTCTTAAATTTTTTGTAGAGATGGGGTCTTACCATGTTGCCCAGGCTTGTCTCAAATTCCTGGCTTCAAGTGATCCTCCTGCCTTGGCCTCCCAAAGTGTTGGGATTACAGGAGTGAGCTAACACACCTAGACTGTACTAGTAGATTTTTAAATTAAATTAAAAACAAGAATTCACATGTTCAAAATCAGATGTAAAGTAGTAGATTTCTGGTTCCTGGTCCAGCATATGAGGAGCTTGGAGTCATCACTCCACCCTCACAGTAAGCCAAATGGCTGAAAATCAACGACGCTTCTGAGATCCATTAGAGAACTGAGGTCAAAGGACAATCTGCTTCCTCCAAAATTAGAGACAGACAAGTGGACGCAGAGAATCACAGCTTGCCAAACTAGAAGCCCAGGAACAGAAACCACTGCTGGAACCAGTACTGGGGGAGTTATAATGTAAAGAACTGCACATCTGAGACCTTATTTAAAAAGTCCGTAGGGAAACCCAAAGATAACAGGGGAAACAAAAAAATAAGGACACATAGGGCAATTATAGCCTCTTATGTAGTGACAGCAAACAGTAAACACAGCCTAACCCATAGGCAGATTAAGCATGAAAGCTCACACTAAAGGTCTATTTAATCCCATTTCCTTTTAGCTCATATATTAGGTCTGGCTCTTAACAAAAACTCACAAGGCATAGTAAAAGACAAAAATCACAGCCTGAAGAGCCAGAGTAAGCATCAGAAACAGACACACATATGGCAGAGATTTTAGAATTATCAGACTAGGATTTTGTTGTTTGTGTTTTTAGAGATAGGTTCTCACTCTGTCACCCAGGCTAGAGTGCAGTAGCATGAACATAGCTCACTACAGCCTCAAACTCCTGGGCTCAAGTGATCATCCTACCTCAGCCTCCCAAAGTGGTGGGATTATAGGAATGAGCTACCATGCCAGGCCCACACTAGAAATTTTTTTTTTAATTCTAATTGACATGCTAAGGGTTCTAATGAAAAAGGTAGACAGTGTGCAAGAAGAAATGGGTAATACAGGCAGAGAGAAACTGAGAAGCAAAAAAAGGTGCTAGAAATAAAAACCCACTGTAACAGAAATAAAGAATGCCTTTGATTGACTCACCAATAGACTATACATGGCAGGGAAAAGAATCAGTGAGCTTGAAGATAGGCCAATAAAAACTTCCAAAACTGAAATGCAAAAAAAAAAAAAAAAAAAAAAATAGAAAGAAATAGATAGAATAGAGTATTTAAGGAATGTGGGACAACTACAAAATGTATAACAGATGTAGAATGGGAATACCAGAAGGAAGAAGGGAGAAAGGAACAGACAAAAATATCTGAGGCCGGGTGCAGCGGCTCACACCTGTAATCCCAGCACTTTGGGAGGCCATGATGGGCGGATCACTTGAGGTCAGGAGTTCAAGGCCAACATGATGAAACCCCATCTCTACAAAAAATACAAAAAATTAGCCGGGTATGGTGGTGGGCATCTGTAGTCCCAGCTACTCGGGAAGCTGAGGCAGTAGAATTGCTTAAACCCTGGAGGCGGAGGTTGCAGTGCACCAAGATTGTGCCACTGCACTGTAGCCTGGGCAAAAAAGAGCAAAACCCCGTCTCAAAAAAAAAAAAAAAAAAAATTGAAGTAATAATAGCAGAGAATTTTCCAAAATTAATGATAGACACCAAACCACAGATCCAGGAAGCTTAGAGAGCACCAAGCAGGATAAATACTGAAAAATCAACATCTAGGCATATCATATTCAAACTGCAGAAAAAGACACAGAGAAAATATTCAAAGAAGCAAGACAAAACCATCTTACCTATAGAGGAGCAAAGATAAGAATTACACAGGACTTCTCAGAAACCATGCAAGCAAGAAGAGAGTGGAGTGAAATATCTAAAGTACTTAGAAATTTGGAATCCACCAATCTAGAATTCTGTATCCAGTAAAATTATCCTTCAAATGTGAAGAATAAAAATTTTCTTACACAAGCAAAAAAGATTAGTTGTGATGTATATTGCAAACACTAGGTTAACCACTTAAAAAAATTTTAAAAGAAGTATAATTAATACACTGAGAGGAGACAAAATGGAATTATGAAAGAACTCAAAATCAGAGAAGGAAGAAAGAGAATAGCAGACAAAGAAAGAACAAGGGCAAGGAGTAGAAAACAAATATAGTGACAATCCAATTATATCAATAATCACTTTAAATATCAGTGGTCTAAATATACCAATCAAAACAAAGACATACTTTAAATACCAAGACAGATGAAAAGTAAAGGGATAAGCCCAGGTGCGGTGGCTCACACTTGTAATCTCAGCACTTTGGGAGGCCAAGGAAGGCGGATCACCTGAGGTCAGGAGTTTGAGACCAGCCTGACCAATATGGTGAAACCCTGTCTCCAAAAAAAATACAAAAATTAGCTGGGCGTGGTGGTGTGCGCCTGTAGTCCCAGCTACTCAGGAGGCTGAGACAGGAAAATCACTTGAACCTGGGAGGCGGAGGTGGCAATGAGCCAAGATCATAGTACTACGGCACTACACTCCAGCCTGGGTGATAGAGCGAGACTCCTTCTCAAAAAAAAAAAAAAGTAAAGGGATAGAAAAAGACATACCATGCTAACACTAATAAAAGAAAATGTAATAATAGCTATATTCATTTCTGACAGAGCAGACTTCAGAGCAAAACAATTATCAGCATAGAAAATGGCGTTACGTGTATGTGTGTGTGTGTGTGTGTGTGTGTGTAAGACAAGGTCTTGCTATGTTCCCTGGCTAATCTGAACTCCTCTGCATAAGTGATCCTCCAGCCTCAGCCTCCCAAGTAGCTGGGACTTACAGGCACGTGTTGCCATGCCTGGTTAATTTTTTTAAAAAAATATTTGTAGAGACAAGGCCTCAATGCATTGTCCAGACTTGTCTCAAACTCCTGGCCTCAGCTGATCCTATTGCCTTGGCTCCCAAAGTGCTGGATTACAGGTGTGAGTAACTGTGCCTGGCCTGCATTATATAATGTTAAAGGGATTAATTCTCCAAGAAGACATAATGTGTATAAGCCTAACAAGAGAGTGTCAAAATATGTGAGTCAAAAGTTACCGAAAACTAATACAACTACAAGGAGAAAAAGATGAATTCACTATTATAGTTGGAGACTTCAACACCCTTCCATCAGAAATGGACAGATCAACTGGGTGTGGTGGCTCACACCTGTAATCCCAGCACTTTGGGAGGCCAAGACAGAAAGATGGATTGAGGTCAGAAGTTCGAGACCTGGGCAACATAGCGAGAACCCTATCTCTACCCAAAAAAAAAAAAAAAAAAAAAAGCTGCATGTTGTGGTGCATGACTGTAGTCCTAACTACTCAGGAAGCTGGGGCCAAAGGATTGCTTGAATCCAGGATTTTGAGGTTGCAGTGAGCCAAGATTGTGCCACTGCACCCTAGTCTGGATGACAGAGTGATACCCTGTTTCAACACAGAAAGAAAAGAAGGGGAGGGGAGGGGAGGGGCGGGACAGGGAGGGACGGGAAGGGGCAGATAAAGCAGGCAGGAAATCAGCAGTAAAAACATGGTTGAACTGAATGGTAGCATCAATCAATTGGATCTAATTGACATTTATGGAATACTTCATCGAATAACAGCAGAATATACATTCTTCTCAAGCTCACATGGAATATTCACCAAAATAGACAACATTCTGGGCCATAAAACATTTTACCAAATTTAAAAGAACAGAAATCATACACAGTATGAAAGGTAAAGTCCCCCAAATACTTGGAGATTAAACATACTTCTGAATACCACATTGGTCAAAGAAGTCTCAAGAGAAATTTAAAAATATTTTGAACCAAATGAAAATGGAAATACAATTTACCAAAATTTGTGGGACGCAGTAAAGGAAAATTTGTAGCACTAAATACATATATTAGAAAAGAAGATCTAAAAATCAATGAGATTCTACCTTAAGAAACTAGAAAAAAGAGCAAATTAAAACTAAAGTAAGCAGAATAAAAGAAATAAACATTACAGTAGAAATCAATAGTGGAATGCCATATCCACAAATGAGAATTGAGATGAAATGAACAAATTCCTTGAAAGACGCAATCTACCAAAGCCCACAAAAGAGAAATAGATAATCTGAACAGTCCTATATCTGTTAAAGAAATGGAATCAGTAATTGATAACCTTCCAAAACGGGAAGCACTAGGCTCAGATGGGTTCACTAGTGAATTCTGTCAAACATTTGAGGAACAAATTATATCCATTCTCAACAATCTCTCGCAGATGAAAGAAGCAGAGGGAATACTTCCTATCTCATCCTAAGGGGCTCTAAGGGGCCAGCATTTCCCTGACACCAAGACCAGATAAAGATATTACAAGAAAGGAAAACTATAGACCAGTACCTCTCATGAACACGGATACAAACATCTTCAGCAAAATATTAGTAAATCCAATCCAACAATGTGTAAAAAGAATTATAAGTAAATCCAATCCAACAATGTAGAAAAAGAATTATACACTATAACAACCAAGTGCAATTTATCCCAGGTATACAAGGCTAGTTCAACACTTAATTAATTAATTTCAATTAATGAAATCCATCACATCAACAAAGAATCATATAATCATATCAATAAATGCAGAAAATATTGAAAGGAGCACGATAAATAAAATCCAACACCCACTTATGATTAAAAAAAAAACCCTCTCAGCAAACTAGGAATAGAGAGATACTTTCTTAACTTGACAAAGAACATTTACAAAAAACCTACAGCTAAAATCATACTTATAGGTAATAAACTATGTAGATGCTTTCCCCCTAAGATCAGGAACAAGGCAATGATAAGAAACCAACCAACCAATTAGAAAATGGACAAAAGATCTGGATAGACATCTCACTGAAGATATACTGATGGCAAATAAGCATATGAAAAAATATTCAACACAGTATGTCTTCAGGTAATTGAAACTTCAAACAAGATTGAGATATCACTGTTCACGTATCAGAATGGCTAAAACCCAAAACGCTGACAACCACCTAATGAGGGCAAGACTGGGGAACAGGAATTCTTATTCACTGTTGGTGGGAATGCTAAATGGTACAGTCACTTTGGAAGTTTCTTACAAAAGTAAACATACTCTCATCATATAACCCTGCAATTACACTCCTTGGTATTTACCCAAATTATGAGTTGAAAACTTATGTCCACACAAAAACTTGCACACAGATGTTTACAGCAACTTTATTCATAATTGCCAAAACTTGGAAGTAACCAAGATCTCTTTCATTAGATGAGTGGAAAGGTTTAACGGTGTGGTACATTCATGCACTAAACATTATTCAGTGATAAAAAAAAAAAAGCTATCAAATCATGAAATGACACAAGGGAACCTTAAATGCATATTGCTAAGTAAAAGATGCCAGTTGAAAAGGCTATATACTATATGATTCCAACTATATGACATTATGGAAAAGGCAAAACTACACAGACAGCAAAACAATCAGTGGTTGCCAGGCGTTGGGGGACAAGGAGGAAGGGATGAATAGGTGAGGCACAGGGGATTTTTAGGGTGAGGAAATGATTCTGTATGATACTGTAATGATGGATACATGTCACTGTACTACATTCGTAAAAAACCCCACAGGATATACAACCCAAAGAGTGAACCCTAATGTAAACTAGCACTTCAATTAATAATGCATCAACATTGGCTTAATTTTAACAAATGTACCACACTCATGCAAGATGTTAGTAACACGAAAATCTGTGTGTGTATATATGGGGAGGTAGGAATATGTACTTTATGCTGAATTTTTCTGTAAGCTTAAAACTTCTCTTAAAAATAAAGTCTATTCATTAAAAAACTTAAAAGGGAATATTGTGAAGTCTTGCTACCATTGTTTCCCACTCCCACCTACAGCTAACTGTTTTAATTGTGGCATATAATACATACGGCTCTGCCCTTTTAACAGTATGGTATGTTTTGGAGCTCATTCCCTATCAGTACAGAGTGAGCTTTCTTGTTCTGTTGCCAATGTTACTATAGTATTTTACTATAGAAGTATATAATAATATCTATAGGAAATCCTTAAAAGTGGATAGCTGGCTTTAAAAGTAAATGCATTTTTAATTTTAATAGATATTGGCAAATTGCCCTCTATGAGTTATAGGAGTTATAGTCCCAACAGCAAGCACAATCCTACAATCATGGCTTAACAAAATGATCAGTTTAGTATTACAGATACAACTCCCTATTGGAGGTTGGGGGGCAAATAGGAGAATCACACACACACACACACACACACGTTACCATCAACTTCTCATAGAGAAACAAGAATTTAAAGTTATATTATCCAAATAATTCTTACCCAATTGAAATTCAGTCTTGGGCTTGATGGCTGGAAGTTTACATTGCCATTCAAAAGTATTTGGATAGGAACTCACTGGTTTAGAAAGCCCAGATAAAAGTTTGAAAATCAGCTTATCATCCCATGGGTTCCCAACAATGAAGTCTTAAAGGAATGAGAAAAAAAAAAAAAAAGGGAACATGAATTGAGTACTCAAGAACTTTACCAAATAAATTATAGACAAAGTGAGTAGAGATATTTACTAAGTAAGCTTTCAAAGCCTTATAAGAGTATTAATTCAAAATAAAAAAGAACTATTTTTAAAAGTCAAAATTGGTAGCTCTGCACAGTTTATTATTTGCCATTTTAGATCTACAAATTTGGATCAATATTTAGTTGTGACAAAGGGAATCAACTCTAGGTGCATTTGCTCCACTCAACTGGAACGGCTAGATTCTATCTTTAACACAATTAGGGATACATGTCTTAAGGGCAGATGTGGACATTAGTTACTTCTAATGTGCGCAGATAGACACATATTATTTAATTTCTTTTCCACTTATATCCACAAAACTTATACTACCTATGTGCAATTTGCATATATGAGATATACTTTGGGTCCACAAAAGAGAAATAATTTCTAAAAGTAAGAAAAAGCTTTCTCTCCAACCTGGAATGTTACAAAAAATTATATTAGTGGCAGTTATCAAATACTAATCCAACATGGTTAACACTCACTCAGCGCTAAGCACATGCAGAACACTGTTCTCAGTGCTTTATTAATTTACTTGGTTCTTACAATAAGCCTCTAAGGTAGGTACTAGCATCAGCTCAACTCTACAGAAAAGAGGGATATGGAAAATTGAAATGATCTTGGTCAAGATCACGTGACTACTTAGGTGAGGGAGCTAGGATTAGAACATAGTCAGTCCATCTCCAGACTCTGTGCTCTTAACCACTATGCCAGACTGTTTATGTGTAACAAGGGGGTGGGCGGGGGGGGGTGTCTCTTTAACCTTCAGCCTCAGTTTACTTCTGTAAAATGTAAAATATAATAGTATTAGATTAAAAGCCTGGCACGTAGTAGGCTGTCAAATTCTAATTCCCTCTTCCAACAGTAGTTATTTTGATACCTTCTAAAATTAAAATTGATTTGCCCTTCAAGTATGCTACTGTTACTCCATTGTGATGCATTATGCAAGTTTCATCTGAACTCACTGACATCTGTTCTACTCAGTGACATTCAAGTCCCACTGTGGGTTTCTTTCATGGGACAGCTTTCCCCATGCTCCTGTCCTGATTCAAGGGCATAACAAAGAGTGAGTGTTCGTACTTGGAGCATCAACAGTCCCAAGTGAACTCATCTGCATCCATTCTGCTTGGAGCCCAGCAATAGCATCTGGTGGATCTTCTGCAATGGCAGCGTCAGTGTCTGTGAGTCTGCAAGCCTCAACGCCCAACTCTGCCTCACAGGTAAGTACCCCACCTGCAGCAGGCTGGCTCAGACGAAGTAAGGATGCTGAATACATGTGAGACGACAAGGCCTGTTTTGGGCTTTTCTCTTGAATTGGACTGGACGTGTGAAAGGAATAAAGAAACCAAAACACCACATGATTAGAAATCTGTTGGATTCAGTCACATGAAATTCCCTTCTCATTCTAGAAATGACATTTCACAATAGCCTCACAGACTAAAAGTTGATTAAAGCATTTTTAGACAAACAAATCTATGAAAATATACAGCTAGTACAATATGAACAGAAATAATAAAATCAAGATATGGTTATATTAGATAAATAGGTGAGGTAATACATGGGATATTCTTTAGTAGGAAATGTCAGGAGTGGGTTTATTTCTCCAAGCTGCATCTATGCGACACTACTATCATCAAGACTGAATATTTAACTTTATTCCAAAAATGGCTGCTTTTATAACATTGAAACAAACAGAAAATGTCAATCACAATACAACACTCCAGTACACTTCCATATATATAGTCATGTGCTGCATAACAACAATTCAGAGGACAGCATATGCAATGGTGGCCCCATAGGATCATAATGGAGCCGAAAACCTCCAGTCTCCTAGTGATGTCTGATGATCCTGACCCTGGGTGTGTAGGCCTCAGCTAATGTGTATGTTTGTGTGGTCGTTTTTAACAAAAAAGTTTAAAAAGTGAAAAAAAAAATTTTTTTAATGCTTATAGAATGATATAAAGAAAAAATATTTTTGTATAGTTGTACAATGTGTTTGTTTTTTAAGCTAAGTGTTGTTACAAAAGTCAAAAAGATAAAACTTTTTAAGTTTATAAAGTAAAAAGCTCACAGTAAGCTAAGGCTAATTTATTACTGAAGAAAAATTTTTCTTATAAGTTTAGTGTAACCTAACTATAGTGTTTCTGAAGTCTACAGCAGTGCACAGTAATGTCCTAGGCCCTCACGTTCACTCACCACTCACTCACTCACTGACCCACCCAGAGCAACTTCAGTCCTGCAAGCTCCATTCATGGGAAGTGCCCTATACAGAACACCATTTTTTATCTTTTACACTGTATTTTTACTATATCTTCTCTATGTTTACATACACAAATTCTTACACCACTCTGTTGCCATTGCCTATAGTATTCAATACAATAACATGCTGTACATGTTTTTAGCCTATGAGCCACAGGTTATACCATATAGCCTAGGTGTGTAGTAAACTAATCAAACCATCTAAGTTCATGTAAATACACTCTGATGTTCATGTAACAATGAAACTGCCTAAAGACACATTTCTCAGAAAGTATCCCAGTTGTTAAGCAACTGCATGACTGTACATGGAAGTATATGTATACATATACATCCATACACACACACACACACACACACACACACAGTATACAGTTGATCCTTATTATTAATGGATTTCATATTTGTGAATTCACCTGCATGCTAAAATTTATTTGTAAGCTTCAAATCAATACTCATAGTGATTTTTCAGTCATTTACAGAACGCAGAGTGATGAAAAATTGAGCCACCTAACATACATGTTCTGAGCTAAGGTTGAACAAGGTGACACTCAGCCTTCCGGTTCCAGCTCTCATACTGCAAACAAGTATCCTTTTCGAGCTGTACTTAGTGTCACAATTTTTGTGTCTTTGTGCTTTTTCTTGGTGATTTTGGTATTGAAAATGGTCCCAAAGTATAGTGCTGAAGTGCTCTCTAATGTTCCTAAGCACTAGAAACCTGTGAAAATATGTGTATTAGATAAGCTTTATTTAGATGTAAGTCAGTGTTGCTGGACATAAATTCAATGTTAATGAATTGACAATATATAATAAATAAGGTGTTTTTTAACAAAATGTTGTTATTAGAGGCTTGAAGGATGCTGTCTGTATTCCCCTTAAGAATATTCGGTATTCACTAATTCAGTGTTTGTGGTGACTCTATAGAATTATAGTGAATAATGAGAACTGACTGCACATATATCTCCACATACACCCCCAATCAATATCTACCTAAACATACTGAAGTATGTATTTTTATACAAATAAATTTATACATGCAATTTCATACACTGCTATTTTCACTTGTCACATTTTTCCGTTGTAAACTTTTTTCAACTATACTTTCTTTGTAATAATTTTAGGTATAAAGAAATGTTGCAAAGATAATAGAGAATTCCTGTATACTCCTCACTCAATTTCTGCTAAGATTATCCTTTCCTATTACAATGGTACCTTTGTCAAAACTAATAAACCAACATTTGTTCCATTACTATTAACTAAACTGTAGACATCATTCAATTTCACCACTCTTTTCACTAAGGAACTTCTGCTTCAGGATCTAGTCCTGGGTACCAGGTTGCATTTAGTTGCTATGTCTCTTTACTCTTCTTTCATCTGTGACAGTTTCTTAGTCTTTCTTAGTTTCCCAAGACCTTGACAGTTTTGAGGAGTACTGGCCAGGTATTCTGGAGAATGTCCTTCAATTTGGGTTTCTCTGATGTTTTCTCATCAAGCACCGGCCTGATGTATCAAGTGCTTAGGTTCACTGTTGTATGTATATTCACGGAGAGTACCTTCTGACTTAAAGCTACTAGTCCATAAAATCTTTATTGGCCTTTAAGGCTAAAATTAGGTATTCTATTACAGCCTAAAAGGCAAAGCTAGAATGAAAATGGTAAACAATGTTAGAATGAAAATGAAGAGAATGGCAGAACCAAATAAACCCTCACAATACCTGAATTTTCCATCCCTTGAAGGCACCACCATGTTTTCCTCACAAGAATCCAAAGTCGCCTGGGTACACTGTTTTGCTACCACATTTTCTGAAAGATTCAAAAATTAGAGACAAGATATGTTAGATGCACATGTGTGCACAACACACACCATTTGATATGGTTACAAAGTCTAGGATTTCTTTTGACACTGACTTGCATTATGATTTCAAAATAGTGTTCCATTGTAAAATGTATAATAAGATTAAAAAAATGGGAGGAAAAAATCACTTTAAAAAAATCCACTACTGGCCAGGCACAGTGGCTCATGCCTATATCCCAGTGCTTTGGGAGGCTGAGGTGGGAGGATCACTTGAGGCCAGTAGTTTGAGGCAAGGCTGAGCAACATAGTGAGACCCTATCCCTAAAATAACTTTTTAAAATTAACCAGATGTGGTGGTAGGAGCCTGTAGCCCTAGCTACTCAAGAGGCTGAGGTAGGAGGATCACTTGAGCCCAGGAGTTTGAGGCTGCACTGCACTCAGCCTGGGCAACATAGCAAGACCGTATCTCTTAAAAACAAACAAACAAATAAAATCTACTACTAATATATGTGAGCATTTCAACTCTACATCTAATTCCTATAATCCTTCAAGAAAAAAGGGGTCGAGAGAGTGGCAAGTCCATTGTGGGCAGGATGACCAGACCATGGGAAGTTACTGGTACGGATGGCAGGGCTACACCCAGCTTCAGGAGAACCTGAAGACAAGAACATGGAGAGTAAAAGGCTACAATGCTTCTGGAGGGCAGAGATTTTGGGTTTTTCACTTTAACATGTTGTAGTCAATTAGTTGATTGACTAAATTAGCATTTAATTTATTGAAACGATTTTGTGTTTAAATCAGAAAGCAACCTGGCAATATTTATTACTCTCCATAATTAAAAAAAAAATCTATCTATAGATAGGTAAACTAGGAAGAACAGAAATACAGAATAAATTTCTACCAAGTGATTATAATACTGCACACAGCCAAGTATATTGGATTACATTTTATCAGATACTCCTTCACTGAACAGGTGTTACTACTTTTTAGCACTAGAACATTAGTTTTTGTTTATCGAGCCAAAGTGCCAAATACTCTTAAGAATAGCCAATATTGACTTTTTGAAGGATTCTTTAGACTCATTAAACTACTTTTCCTGGATGGAAAAGGCTTTAATCTTTTTTTTTTTTTTTTTTAATTAAAAGCAAGCTTGTGATGGTGCTTGGCAATTGTCAAAGTTTCAACTGACCTCTCCTTTAAGATTCAGAAAAGAAATTTATTATATTGGATTAGCACTCTAAGAAATCCTTGGTCAAAAATGTTTAGGTCTATAGGCTCAGAACCCACATTAAAATATGCTTTCATCCAATGAAGTGAAATTCTTTGGCAGCTCTTCTATTATTGCTTTGGTAAACAATTGCTATATTTTAAAAGCGTGAGCAATGATAGTTAGTATACAGTCAGCCCTCTGTATTCACAGGTTCCATATCCACAAGTTCTGCAGGGTCAACTATGGAACTTGAGCATCCACCTGGATTTTGGTATCTGCAGGGGTTCCTGGAACCAATCCTCTGTGGATACCAAGAGGACTGTCTAGTTTGTAGGTTGGTACTTAATAGTTAACAATTATCTGTGCTCAATGACAATGTCATATGTTAGGATTCAATTCAGATATATGATGAATTTTTAAATATATAGGGTGATAGATTTGAAACGGTAGAAATAAGGACTACTTGTGAGTTTTATCATTACTTTCTTAAAGTCAGATCACTAAAAGTAGGAAAAATAAGACTTTCTGACTATCGTACTTGGCTATGTCTAATAAAGTTGACATATATGTGTGTAGACACACATCTAGGACTAAAATTGGCTGTTACTCTTATTAAATTAGAAAATATAAATGTTCATTATTTTTAGCATTCAAATAATTTAATGTCTGTAGTGGCTGTTTTGTTTGCTATGAAACAAAATAAACATGCTCTATCTATACAAATGGGTTGGACCTTATTTCCTTTAAATGCTTCTATAGATTTTCTCCCATTCTACCTATAATCTAAGCTATTATATTTTAAAAATACATAGACTTTAGGAAGACAATATGCCAAAGGAAAAAAAAACCTATGAACAAAAATACAATGAACAGATTTTAAGTTTCTTCTTTATGATTTTCAAAGTTCCCATGTGGAATTTCCATGAAGAAAACTACAAGAATCAAACTTCATGAAGAAAACTGAAAGAATCAAAGTTGGCAGAAGACAGACACTAAAACAGTGTAACACACACCTTTATCTTCTAAAATGTGCACTGACTCCACTGGAAGCTTGTGGAATGGTGTAGACGCAAGTTGTGCAGCAGATGTGAAGTCTCCTGGGCTCTTAGGACTGGGTGCCAGGGTTTTGTTGCAGCGAATACCCCATACAGTTGAGTCATCCAAAAACTCTTCAGCATGAGGCACTTCCTCCTATAACAGAAGATGAAATGAAAAAAAAGCAGCAATCTCCCTCTTTAGTCCATGAAACCTTATTCAATAACACTTTAAGATCCAAAGAAATGAGGATTAAAGAAGAAACAGATGTCAACCCCTGGCTAATACAGCCCACAATATCATGGTTCAGTTCTTTTCCCCAGAACTGGAAAATCAGTGGAGTTACATTACAGCAAGAGCCACATTTTTGTTTTCAAATTATATATATATTTTTTAATTTGAAAAAGTTGTGATTTACAGAAGAGTTACAAAGATAGCACAGAATTTCCACATACCCTCCTCACCAAGCTTCCTCTAATGTCAACTTCTTATAGAACTGTGGCACATTTGTAAAAATGAAATAGTACTATTAACTGTAGTTTGGATTTCACCTTTTTTTTCCCACTAATGTGCCTCCTCTGTTCAGGGATCCAATCCAGGATCCCATGTCACCTTTAGTTCTCAAGTGTTCTTAGCCTCCTTGAGTCTGTCATTGTCTATTGGCCTTTCCGAGTCTTTTTTGTACTGACACTTTTGAACACTAGTCAGAAACTCCGTAGAATGTCCCTACACAGTTTGGGCTTATTTGATGTTTTCTCATGATTAGACTGGGGTTACAGATTTTTGGGAAGGATATCAGAGGTGAAATGTTCTTCTCATTACATCATATTAGGGGATATCTGCTGTCAACATGACTTATTCCTGGTTAACCCAATCACTTGATTAGGCAGAATCTCCCATGTTTCCCTACTGTAATCTAATTTTCCCTTTCCCTTTGCTTTTTGTCTGAAGCAAGTCACCAAATCTAGCCACACTCAAAAGGAGATGAATTAAACTGGAGGAAAAAAATTCAAAGAATTTGTGGATAAATGTGAAACCACCACAGTAATGAATATTAATAAATAATTTTGGTAGGACACTTGGAAAATATGCACATACCCTGTTTCTTCTTGAATAATTATTAAATAATGTCCTAAAAGAAACATATTCTTCCTATGTTTCATAGTTTTTAGCATAGTTTCACATACACAATATCCTCTGACTGGCATAATCATTTGGTAGAATAAAGCGGATGGGTTGTAGGACCCATTTCATAGATAAAACAGGTTTGTTTACCTTTGGTTTTGAAGGAAGTCTGCTGACAGAGCGTTCTCCAAAGGTCCTGGCTCCTGTGGGTTTATTTTTAGGCTGTGGTAATCTAAGGAAAGATTTGCTAAATTATAAATAGTAAAATATGCTAAGGAAATAAATGCTATCACTTGACCATTAGAAAAGTTCTCTACTTATCCTATTTAATGAGTTAATCTTTATATAGATATTCCTTGCTTTTATAGCAGTTCTAGCAAAACTGAGTGTAATCAAATTAACATGACTTATAAAAGTAGACCTATCATTACTTGAGGGTGGGAAGTACAGAAATTTCTGTCACATAACTTTTAGAAGCCAAAAATGAATTCCTGCAGTACTGTAAATCTGGAGAACTTTGGCAACACCCCCCTGGTTGTGTGGTCAAAAGGCTCATTTGACCATGTGATTGGCAGTTCACATTCTCTCCTCACCACCCCACCACCTCTGGTCCCAGAGAAAACTCGGCAGCATCCCATTAACTAGATGGTATTTTTTTACCCATAATTTTCTTTGTTTCCATCTTCAAACACATGAAAAGCAGATGACAAAGAAGAGATGATCTTATTGACTCCCCAAGCCCCAGATGACCTTACATTTTCTGCAACAGAATAAAAAATAGCATCTAATTATTGTACTAGGAAAAAACATCCTTTATATTAAACTTCAACTACAAATAAGAAAAAGGACTAACAGCTGACAGAAAAGAACTAATATCAGCTTTTCAAATACTAGGCAGTAAGTCACTATAGTGAGATGAAGTGACTTAACTATGGTAACAGGGTTTTGTACTCAAGTCCCAGGTCACGAGTCCCTGCCACATATCAGCAAGGTGTTAATCATTCTCCTAAATCAGTACTATTGTCACCTGACTCACTCAATAAACGCTCTCAGGGTTTCGTTTTCCATTTCCTTCAAGAAAGAATTAAGCTCTTAGCTTTACATTTCAAGTCCTCCTGAGTCTAATTGGCTTCTACTTATCTTTATCATGATCTCTGGCTTCTAGCATGAATCCCCTGACTCTAGACAAATGTGGGCTAGCTGCCAGCCTCCTCTAATACTCTGCCCCAGCCATTCCTCTACCAGTGAAGGCTCAAGTCACACCTTGAGTACTCAGCCCTTCTTATCCATGGGGGTTTTGTCCTTCTTTAGCACTATTCTTTTTTTTTTTTTCCCTTTAATCAAGCAAATCTATCACACACATTGAGTACCTTGTCAAGAACTGTCTTATTTTTATTTCATGCATTCCCTGCCTTTATGTGACAAGCTAATCAAGGGCAGGGTCACCTCTTAAATAATTCTTGATATTTTCTGTGATAACCACCTATAATGCTATGCACTTAGTAGCTTTTAAATAGTTATTACTTTGAAACTGGGCTTCAAATGCATCTTCATTTTGATCTAGAGATTGCCATTCATCTTTGTCATCAGAAATATCAGGAAGTGTAGGAGCCTGAAACATATTCATGATGAAACCTTAAAGAACAAAAAGAATAATTGTAAACAGGTTGCAAAAGAGCTTTCATTAACTTGTCATCAGGTGCTACACACTCAGATAAAATACTTTACCTAATGCTTCTTTTGTGTGCACGGTGGGTGATGGCTGCACTTTGGATGGCGTTGCCTGAACCATTCCCAGTGATGTGTTTGGAGTTGTGTGAAAAGAACTTGTGTTGGCAACCTTATGTGTTTCACACCCTAGCAAAGAAATGGAGACAAAATGTGGTATCAGTAGGGAAATCAGAATAACTTAAAAGACACACAATTTAAGTAAGTTACAATTAAAACAGTTTGTCATTGTTAAAAATTATCACTAAGAATTTCCAGTATTATAGTGCTTTCATATATTTCATTTTTATCTTTATAATAGTCCTATGAAGTAAATGAGGTGAAAATTATCCTTTTACAGAAAAGGAAATGAAGGCTGAGAGAGATTGAGTGGTTGGTCTGGATTATACCAGATTAGCAACTTTGTCATAAATTATACCCTTAGTGCCACTGTATCCCAAGTTCATAGTCACAATGTAAATCTTAAGATTGGCTTCCCATCTCATTCCACTGCAGTCAGGCATAGAATACAAGGCCCTGCACAGCCTGGGTCCTGTTTGGTCAGGCCTCACCTTCCTCCTCTCCCTGCTTACCTCCCCACATTGGTCCCTTTGCTGTGCTTAGAATATATCAGAGATTTTCCTGCTTGAGGGCTTAGCACTTAATATTCCCTCTGTCTGAAAAGTTGCCCAAGCTAATGGCATGGTAGCTCCCTAACTTTAGCCCTTTACCCAAATATCACCTTGACTGAAATTTCAACCCCATAACTCCAATAGTACATTTCTTTCCCCCTCTGTGTGGGTGGAGATTTTTTGTTCATGACTTCATCCCTAACTATGTATAACAGTGCCTGGCACCTACAGAGCAGGCTCAGTAAGTCTTGGTTCAGTTAATGAACCTCCAGCTATTTCAAACAGCCCTCCTCCTCACCAAACTGTCCAGAAAAAAAATGTCCCAGTCACACAGCGGAGAAGTGAAAGCCCAACCTGTGCATCTTATTATTTATAAGACTTATCTCCTATGCAAATGCCTCTAACAAAGTAGTACCGAATAACAGTGTAACACTCCTAATTAAACTTTTGATAACCTTTCCTACCTAACATACTAAAGATGACTCTGTTTTGGATTAATTTCCTGAGAAATTTACTAGAAATGTATTCACAAATTACATTTCCAAAGAATGTTAAAGAAGATGAGACTAACAAGTGGATTTCTACATTTATTTGAAATGGTTCAGGGATAAATAACCTATACTCTAAGAATAGGAAATCTAACACTCAGGTTCATTAAGGCCTGAAGCCTTCATAAACCACAGCCACAAAATACACCTCTGAGTGATACAGAGGAATCTGGACAGAAACACATTTATTATAATTAAACATTACCTTCTTTGATCTCTGCTCCACTCTGTGGCTTGAATTCATGAGTACTCTTATTCACACATCTGGAAGAGAAAACTCTTGAGACACACTAGAGAATAAAATGCTTGATCTAGGCTGGGTGCGGTGGTGGCTCACGCCTGTAATCCCAGCACTTTGGGAGGCCGAGGCGGGAGGATCACCTGAGGTCAGAAGTTCGAGACCAGCCTGGCCAATATGGTGAAACCCCTTCTCTACTAAAAATACAAAAAAACATTAGCGGGGTGTGCTGGCAGGCACCTGTAATCCCAGCTACTTGGGAGGCTGAGGCAGGAGAATCACTTGAACCCAGGAGGCAGAGGTTGCAGTGAGCCAAGATCGCACCATTGCACTCCAGCCTGGGCAACAAGAGCGAGACTCCATCTCAAAACAAAAAAAAAACAAAACAAAAAAATGCTTGATCTATTAGAATTTTTAACTGACTCTCAAGAAATAATAGTAGAAAGAAAAAAGAATCAGTCAATAATTACAAGCCTGTTAAAATACAGATGGAACTACTTAGGGTCTACAGTGTTAGTAAATAAACTGTTTTTTTTTTCCTTTCAGTTCCATTTCAGGAAAAGAATTCTTACAGAAAAGACCAGGTACTAAACATTTGTGTGACACAGGGATTACAGGGATAAGAACCATCTCTATATGTGGTAGAGTCCTATGACTATTCAAATGATCCCATTCATTACAGAGGTTAAAGAGTTGAGCCCGGCTCCAGGCAGCTAACCAGAGTCAGGACGTGGAGAAGCACTGGTGCGCCTCAGCTGTGCAGGATACCTTTGCTGTGATAAGCCAGCAGCCACAGTGCAATGTCCTCTAGCATTTAAAAGTAATGGTTATCAAGAAAGAAAAAAATGACACACAAGCCATTTATATCACACTTTAAGTGCACTTGGGGTAGTGGATCTAACATGTCTATTTAACATTGCTGGAGTTCCCTTAATAAACCCTGTTAAGGTATAAAGTAAAACATGCAAAGCATTTTTAATTTTACAAATCCCTATAAAAACGAGCTAAAAGAGAGCCAAAATGACTGGAGGTAAAAATGTAACTTAAACGAGTGATATGACATTAACTATAATTTCTGAAATCTGGAAAAATCCCTCAAAATTGGGGTAAAAACTTCCAGTGCAGAGGTACATTTTGAGAGACAGAATCATGTGTATTAATCCCAAACTGCTCTCTATGGGAAGACAGAAGGAATATGAGAACACATGTCAAGTAATTGTCTAGACAGTTATGATCCCTGTAGGTATTCAATCAAAGCCAGTGAGCAAAGGGAATTTTAGCCTAACAGCTGTATATTCTTCAGTTACAAAGTGACTGTTGACTTTCAGGTACTGAAAATTTTTAATTCACGAAAGTATAAAATAAATATTCTAAAAGAAGCATGGAATAAGTAAGCCTAAAGGATTGGGAGCAATGTTTTGCCACTTGCTTTTTCAACAACATACCTATCTAAAAATAAAAGGCAGACATCATTCATCTTTTACATACTGTTCCTGATAATGCAGGTCATGTAAAGAAGGTGACAGGTGCCACTCACATCACTGTGATCTCTAGGACTACCTTCAGCTTACCCAGCATCTTTGCTGGCCACTGCAAACATGGAGTCTGTTACTGTCTGGGCTTTCAAAGGAACAGGAGGAGCAATGCTCTGGCTGGTGGCTGGGGACACCAAAGCTGCAGAAATAGCATTTGCCAAAGGAGGAACAACAGGAGGTGCCTCTCTTGGGTTCTTTTCCATGTTCACTGGTGTCTGCTGATAGGTTACTGGAAGACATGGCGCTCTCAGTTCCTGCTGGGAGCCTACACTTGGCCCCATACGTGCTGGATTAACCTTTCATATTAAACAAACAAACAACAAAAACAAAACCATGAAGTCCAGAATACTACTAATCAGGCATTACATCTTCTCAAAGCATGGCATCTGTCTTCAATGGATTCCTTTTTCCTTGAAGTTTCCCCATACTCCTTCTTCAAGCATTCTGAAATGTACAGTCAACAACAAAAAGACCACTCTACAAAATGGATGCTTTGTAGCTTCTGAACCACAGACACCATCAGCAGCTTATAATTTCTAACCACTGAAATAACAAGTCTCTATAGTTGTATCAGCATTTAAGTATTATCTTATTTCTCTTTACTTAATTTTGGGAAAAGGTCGACAAATCAGTGTTATCAAAAGCTCATTACGGTTTTCCTCCCATTAAAATACCCTTAGATTGGTATATGAGATAGGGCTTGAAAAAGGGAAAAAAATAAATAAATAAAATACTTTTCATAGCCGTTTTCACTTTGAAGAATAGGAAACACAAATATAAATTGCAATAATAACTGCCACAAAAGCCTGTCTCACAACAGGAAGCATAACAAGCTCTAAATTTAAAATCTTTGCTTTGCTACTCACATCAGTGTAAGACTGTAATTGTATGCTTTAGTGTTACAAAGTTAGATGAGTTAATTTCTCACCATATAAAAGTATGCTTATAAATTGTTAAGAAAAACACCAGCCAGGCATGGGTGGCTCAAGCCTGTAATCAATCCCAGAACTTTGGGAGACCGAGGCTGGTGGTTTGCTTGAGCTCAAGAGTTTGAGACCAGGCTAGGCAACATGGCAAAACCCTGTCTCTACAAAAAAATACAAGAAATTAGCTGGACATGGAAGCATGTGTCTGTAGTCCCAGCTACTCAGGAAGCTGAGGTGGGAGGATCACTTGAGCCTGGGAGGAGGAGGCTGCAGTGAGCTGAGATTGCACCACTGCATTCCAGCCTAGATGACAGAGTGAGCCCCTGCCTCAAAACACAAACAAACACACACTACCAAATGTCTAGGGCAAGAATAGTTATTTTACAGACTAATGGAAAAAAATATAAAAACCTCATCCTCATTCGTCAGCAAAAATGATAACCTACACCATTTTCTCACCTACCAAATTAGTAAAGATTAAAAATCATCATAATATTCAATTCTGAAGAAATATTCTGAACAATACCAGAGATTTTCTCCACCAGACACCAAAACACATAAGAAAGTTGGAGGCCGAGGTAGGTGGATCACAAGGTCAGGAGTTCACGATCAGCCTGGCCAACATAGTGAAACCTCATCTTTATTAAAAATAGAAAAAATTAGCTGGGCATGGTGGCGGGCGCCTGTAATCCCAGCTGCTCAGGAGGCTGAGGCAGGAGAATTACTTGAACCCAGGAAGCGGAGGTTGCAGTGAGCGGAGATTGCACCACTGCACTCCAGCCTGGGCGATAGTGGGAGATTCCGTCTCAAAAAAAAAGAAAGTTGTAGTAAATACACCTATGAAATGATCAAGAAGAGATCTACTGACTAAAGCAAAGGTATAGATATTTTAGAATTGGATCTTGTATATATGAAAATTTAGTACATGGTAAAGATATTTTAAATCAATGGGGAAAGGCTGAGCAGATCAATAAATGATTTACAGACAACAGGCAATCTACTTGGAAAATATATCCTGATGCTATTCATACAGAGAAGTTTGAAAAAGGGAGGCTTCTAGTTAAAGACAGTGGCTTGATATACTCCAAAAATCTCACCAACATGACAGTGAAGGAATTCTAACACTTCACATAGCTGTTGAAGGAGGCTAGGAGCGGTGTGTCCCTAATTGCTAGACAAGTTCAGAAATCTACAATGCTAGCTACACCTCAGAATGGAAGTGAAGGTGGAGGTGAAGATAGGAACATTGTAAAATTCTGTTTAAAAGCAGATGCTGGCCGGGCACTGTGGCTCAAGCCTGTAATCCCAACACTTTGGGGGGCCAAGGTGGGCGGATCACGAGGTCAGGAGATCAAGACCATCCTGGTAACACGGTGAAACCCTGTCTCTACTAAAAATACAAAAAAAATTAGCCAGGCATGGTGGCAGGCGCCTGTAGTCCCAGCTACTCAGGAGGCTGAGGCAGGAGAATGGCGTGAACCCGGGAGGCGGAGCTTGCAGTGAGTTGAGACCATGCCACTGCCCTCCAGCCTGGGAGACAGTGAGACTCCATCTCAAAAAAAAAAAAAAAAAAAGAATTTAATAAGATGGCCATAAAAATTAAGGCAATCTCAAAGAAAATTAGGGGGAAAAAAGGACAAAGATAGAAAATGGTGAAATTTAAGAAAATTAAATGACCAGTCCAGGATAGCCTAACAGAGAGTATGAGGAAAAAATATCCACCTCTGAAAATATATATCAAGAAAATTCCCCAGAATTGCAAAACTAGAACATTTAAGCACTAAGTATAATGGATGAAAAGATAAATACCAGATACATCACTATGTCACAATACAGCAGGGAAAAATGATTCTACACCCCTCTAGAGAAAAACAAACATCACATCAAAGAACCAACAATCAGAAGGACTCTGGGTTTTTCCACACCAATAGCGCAAGCCAAAAAACAATGAAGGAGTGTCTTTAAAAACTCTGAGGGAATGTAAGTTCCCTCCTAGAACATTGTGCCCAACCAAATTATCAACCAAATGTGACGGTAAAATAAAGATGCTTTTAGACATGCAAGAGACCTCAAAAACTAACCCCTCAAACATGCTGCTGTTGCCTTTTTTTTTTTTTTTTTTAAATAAGCTACTGGAGAAAGTGTGCCTTCGAAATGAGGACAGTAAGGAGAGATAACGACATGGGAACCAGGGATATACCACAGGAAAGGAGCCAGGGAGAACAATTTATTAACAATTTCTTGCAACTATCCAGGGAAAATATAAATTATACAAAAAGAAATCCAAACAAATCAGAAAAAAAATGAAATGACTCAATAGAAAAATGGACAAAGCCATTCAGTCAATTTAAAGGAAAGAAGTTAAACAGCCACGAAATGTATCCAAAAAATGTCCAAATCTACCTATAATTAAAGAAACTACATCAGGTGCTTGAAAAGATTTAGTATAGTTAATGTTAGCCAAATGTGTACAAGAAACAAGTCCTTTTACACACTGTTAATGTGAGTGCACAGTCCGAAGTTTATAGAGGGCAGACTGACAGCATTTTAGGTACATACACTTGAAAGGTAGCATGATTTCTAACAGTTTCTACATGATACACTCCCTTTTATAAGGTATGACAGAAGACTATGCTGCAAGTAGAATTAGTTAGATATCTATGCAATAGCAGTGAAAGATCTATCAGAGGTGTTAGGTAGAAAAAGCAGAAAATAAGTCTTATTTATGTAGAACGTTCTATTGTATTCATATTTATGTGTTTTCATACACAATAAGTCTGGAAAAATACAAACTATAGCAGTTAGCAATAAAGGAGAACATTCAGACCAGACGTGGTGGCTCACACCTGTAATCACAACACTTTGGGAGGCTGAGGCAAGAGGATCGCTTGAGCCCAGGAGTTTGACACCAGGCTGGGCAACATGGCGAGACCCCATCTCTATAAAAATAAAATAAAAAATTAGGTGGGTGTGGTGGCACATGCCTGTGGTTGCAGCTACTAAGGAGGATACAATGAACAGTTATCATACCACTGCACTCTAGCATGGGTGACAGAGCAAGACCCCGTCTAAAAATTAAAAAAAAAAGAAAAAGAATGTTTGTGTGTGTGTGTGTGTGTGTGTGTGTGTGTGTATGCATACATACATACATATATACAAATGAATGCTCTCCTTCATATATACATATATACACACCTTTCATGTGATATTTTAAAAAACCATCTAGTCACATATTTTTATACTTTCCAAATATGTAAGAAAATAAAGTATTTTATCTTCATCGTATCCTATGTCATAGACAAACATATAATATGAAAGATTAAGCAACCATTATACAGTTTAAATGAGTTTATTTCCAATCTCCTTCATTCACTACTAATTTTAAGAAAATATATGTGGCTCTAACACACTCATCACTTCTCTGCTTTTCCAAGATGAAATAATGGCAAACAAAAAATATATCTAAATGATAAATTATTGAGAGTACTATACTCCAATTTTCATTACACAATAGTCACTGTACAAAAACCAGAAAAAGGTCTATATATAAATACATGAATATATAGACATGTACACATACACAAACATGTAAAACATACTACCATTCTGTTTTGTAACTTTCCACTCTCACTCTACATTGTGAACGTCTATGTCAAATTATTTTAGACTTTCAGAAAGTTACTAGCTAAATTAACATCAGAATTAACTCTAAAACAGCACATAGAAAGGAACAAATCAAACTGCCATTCCTGCTGCTGGGCACAGGATGTGTCATGAGGAGCACAACATACCTCGGACCTTTCCTGGGAAGCGGGCAGATCCTCATGGGATGTCTCCACCACCTGATGCAACTTCTTATGAAGTTCATCCATTTTCTGTTTTAATAGCTGTTCTTCAAAAGCATTTGCTTCTTTCCTTTTCATATAATGTCTGTCTTCATTTACTTTAGGAAAGATAGAAATGGTTTGCATGCAAAATTTAAATCCAGGTCATCATAGGAATACATGCAAAATGAGGAAAGGGTTATATTTTAGGGGGCCGATTTTTTTATTAGTCTTTCTCATATTTGGTTTTAGAAGTGAAACTTGTATTACCTTTTAATTTTTACCTGCCCACAGCTTGGCTACTACATGTTTAGGACATGTAAATTACTAAAAAAAAAAAAAAACTACATGCTGATCAAAAATAATAATAATAGCACAGTATAATAGTAAAGATTTTTGTAGCCATCATATACATGACTGTTCTTGTAAACAATCATGATTGTGCAAATCATTTTAAAATAAATTTTTATTTGTTTTTATAAGATAAAAATTTCTAGAGACTTTCTAAGTAGAAGTGAACTGCACTAAATGATCAGGGCTTCAAGCATGCTGTGGTCAGTCCCATTTCCAACAACTGGTTAACAGAGTCATGCCACAGGCAAGTCAAAGAGTCTGGCTTAAAACTTCTGGTCACAGCATGTGAAAGAAAAACACATCTATGCCCAGCACAAAATGAGTCCTCTGTGTTAACTGACTTGTCTTCTCTGTTGTCAACCGAGTATGAAAAGTAATGAACAGAAAAGAAAGGCCCAGAATGGCTATAGCCCAAATAACTTAGATAGTATAAAAGTCCTGAGTGGAATAAAGGTTCAAATAACTGACCTAGAGGTTTAGAATTACTATATACAGATAATACTGAAAAATTTTTAAATATTTATTTCACTAAAGCTAAGATGACACTGGTATGGATATCTAATTTAGTACTCTTTCAACTATGAGTTTGCTGCCAAGACATCAATTTAGTCCTTGGACTAACTTGGCTGCTACACTAGTGGTTAAGCAATTTCCAATTCAGAAAAAAAAAGTGCAGCTTGCTGCCAGCGCAGTTTTCTCGGGGCAAACGCAAAATGGGTTAATAATGATTTCTGGGCTTCTGATAGGATGAGATGAAGACTTTCTTGCAGTCTTTCAACATAGTCAATTATTCTTTAAAAAAGTAATTACTCAGAGATGAGGATTTTTTTATGTGACATAAGAATAACTAAAAATACAAGATTGCAAGTACCCCATTGCTCATGCTTTCTCCGTTGATTGTATTTCTGGGCTCTCAATTCTTCAAAGGAAAATTCTGATTCCCCACGAATAAGCTTCTCCTTGCAATACATAACAACCTGCTCAACATCAACTTTGGATGCCAAAGATGAGTGCACAGAATATTCTGATTTAGAAATCGTGATCACTCTTCGTTCCCTACAATGGGGGAAAATACATTATTTACAACAATGTACCTAAGAGCACTTAAAGGAAACTAATAATAGATTAATGCACTGATTATACTTGCATATTTGACTCTTTATCACAAGCTGAAGATATCACTCCAGAAAGCTCTGAACCCTAAAAAACAGAAAACAAACATGAGCATTCACTTATCTGAGAAGAAAGCTTCACCCAAATTACTTCACAAAACAATATGAAAATGCTTGAGGGGAAGAGGGACCTTAATCCCAAGTAGATTTATGTAATTTTAAATTATGATTAATATCAAAAGATTGTTTGTATCAACAACCTTACAATAACTATTGTAACTTAATCTAATCAAAGAAAGAGGTTTTTTTGGTTGTTGTTTTGTTTTTAATAAAGTCCTACTCAGCAGTAGAGAAGAACCATAGCTGATTTCCCTTCAATTCATAGTCTAGTAGCTAGAGTATAGTGTCTGAACATTATGGGATTGACATTCCCAACTGCTGCTAATTTTTTTTTTAATTAAAATTTTCCTCAGGTACTACTCTGCCCTCAAGAGTTCTCAAATTCCTTCACTAAACAAATATTTGCCAGACACCTCCATGTCACACTCTGAGCTAGGTCTGGGAAATGTGACTGCAATCAAGACCCATCTCTACTGTCTGGAGCTTAGACAGGACAATAGGTGGTCAGGAGGGTGGCAAGCATGTGTAGGACGTAAAATGTAAATTGGGACAAGCTGCACTACCTGTCAAAGTCAGGAGCGCATATTCTACTTCTAAGAATGTATTACATTAATGAAACCTGTACATACACCCTAAGCACACAGGCGTTTCCATTGGCTTTTGCTTCAAGGAGGTCCTTGATGAACTTTGAAAGAAAGTTGTACTGTGGAGGGTAACATGGGAAACATAGTTGGGAAACATGAGGCTGAGGGAAGAAGAGAGACTTGAGCATTTTCCCATGTTGATACACCATGGAGGCAGAAGAGATCTCCACAGGGCAAAAACCTTGATGAGGATAAGGACAAGCACAGATAGAAGGCCACCTTTTCTCACAGGGAAGGATGCAGTTACATTTATTGGTTGGTGGCAGAAAACTGATAGATGTCACTTGATGGCATCTGCTATCTGTTGAAATAGTATTTTTGAAGTTCCTGAGAGAGAGGCTAGAGGTAGCGAGGTCCCAAGTTTGAAGAGACTGAAAAGAAGTCTAAAATCACTATAGTTTGGCGCTAGAGTGAACCTGGAAACATAAGAGATACACAAAACATAAAGAGTGAATCAGACACTGGAAGCATGTCCCATTGCCTGGGAGTATGACCCATTGCCTGGGAGTATGAGACCTCCCTGTTACTTGAGGTAACAGGCAGCAATCTTTGAGGCTCTGAGTTTTGAAAGCCAGGCTCAGAAGCCCCCAGGTGGATCCATTCCCAGTAGGGATTTCCAGAGCCTATGCAGAGGCCAGCAGAACAGAGGAAAGGACATTGGTAAGGGAAAAGCTGGTGGGGAGAGTAAAGACAGGAGGCCGTGTGGTGAGGGCCTCTGGGTTAGACAACAAATTGTATTTGAGGTGAGCTGTGTGGGAGAATAACAGGCCCAGGAAGTTGCCACAGGAGCAGGTGGCTGACATGGAGCTCAGAGCCATGAAGAGAAAGATCAAAGAAATGAGATGTCAAAGTGGATGTAGAAGGCAGCCAGGCTGGCCATTCAATACCATTCCCAGTTTCCACACAAGCTACAAATGTCATTATTACCTGATTCTTAGAAATGCAGGCCATGTTATTTCCTGGATTTGATTTTGATGTTATCATTTGATTTAAAACCTGAACATTATGCAGAGGTTCTGAGGTTCTAGCTATGAGGGAAAAGAGGATAAAATACGGAGAAATTAAGGGTAAAACCGTAAGTAAAATTATCACATAATAAATTCCCCTGATCCTTCCAGTAGGAATCATAAGAAGTAAATCAACTCATTCACACTGTCTCAGAAATTTCAACTAAAACGTTTTTAAAATAAGTATTATACAATTTTCTGATCAACTCAACATGCCAGGAAGTACCCAAAAGAAATGTAAAACCTAACTAATAATTTTAAACAACCAGATAGGATAGGCAATGCTTATTGCTGAAATGTGATACTTAGTTCTAAGAAAAAGAAATGGCTGTATTTCTTTAAAAGTTGCATTAAACACATTTGATTCCATTCAAAATAGATGGAGTCCAGATTAAGTATTTTGGTCAATTTTGAATTAAAAAAAAATCCTACAAATACAGTGAAATTATCAATTTTTTTTTTGCAGGTTTGAGCTTTTAAAATGCTAAGACAAAGCCTCTGCTCTTTGGGGCTATTTAGTGGGCATTATGATGATCAGAATGCTTTCTCTGTTACCTGAGAGTGCAATTTGGTTTTCATTAAAAATTGGATGGGTTTTTTTTTTTTTTTTTTTTTTTTTTTGTGGAGACGGAGTCTCACTCTGTCGCCCGGGCTGGAATGAAGTGGCATGATTTCAGCTCACTGCAACCTCTGCCTCCCGGGCTCAAGCAATTCTCCTGCCTCAGCCTCCTGAGTAGCCAGGACTACAGATGCCCACCACCACACCTGGCTAATTTTTGTATTTTAGTAGAGATGGGGTTTCACCATGTTGGCCAGGCTGGTCTCGAACTCCTGACCCCAGGTGATGCACCCATCTTGGCCTCCCAAAGTGCTGGGATTACAGGTGTGAGCCACCATGCCCAGCCGGGTTTGTTTTTTAAAGAAAAGAAAATACTAGTACAAATCCAAGACTAAATGGACAACAACAGGCATTTTAGAAAGCCTGATTTTACCTTGAGCTGGCAAATGGGTTTCAGTGAGGCGTGTCTGAAATAACCTAAATGACAGCAGAAAAGGCATCAATGTAGATTATAAACTTACAGTACATAGCTGTTAGAGTGAAAACTAAATACCATAGACAACTTATTATAAGCTAGTAAAGTCTGACGTCAAGAGAGAATGTACAGTTGCATTTTAGAGTTGCTTCGAAATTAAAAAATAAAATTCTGGAAATATTTTTATATCCAATACATTATCTGTATTACAAAAATTCCTCCTTTTGCTTAGTTTATGTTAGTATTTCTCAAATTCATATAAAAATGCACCCTCTTCTCCACGTGTCAAGTCTGCAAATGTTCTAACACAGGATGTTTGACCTCCTACTTTAGGTTCTTTATACATTTGGAACATAATGAATATATTTGGAAGAAAGAAGTGAAAGTACAAAAGTACTTAGATTACTGCTTCAAAAGGCAGACATCATTGTTCATACTCTGTGAGAAGTTCTCAAATATGTCATTTCATGGCATATTTCATTTTCAACTCTACCTGTCGGGTAATGTGCAATTCCCATGCCTGACATTTCTGAGCGATGCGAGCCAAAGTGCACACTATAAAGCAACCAAGTGGTAACCCTTGTTGGCTCTTAAGTCAAACAAACCAATGGTTAAGAAGCCATTTTACGTGATGAGGAAAGACTGAAAATTACATATTAAATAATTATTGTTAGTTTTCTTAGGTATGATTATCGAATAAGGCTCTGTAAGAAATAAGATTTTAGAGATGTTTACAATAGGGTTTGGGGAAAAATATTTTGCTGTTATGGATCGGCTTTAAAATTTGTCAGCATTGAGAAACACAAAATGTTAATTATTAAAAGTTGGTGATAGATAAATGGAAGTTTATTATACTAATTTTTTCTTTTTTATGTGTGTTTGAAAAATCTCAATGACGTTTTAAAAAAGCATGAGTACTACAGAAAAACTGAAAAGATGAGTATATTAAAGGCTGGCAAGGGGTGCAGTAGATAATAGGTCTCAAATTCTACTAATGAGAGGGGAAGAGTAAACAATTGGTATAACCTTCAAGTAGGTAGTTTGGTTACATGCACCACAAGTGTAAAAACTCTTCATATACTCTTTGACTCAATAGTTTCAATTCTGAGAATCTATGAAAAGAAACTAAGTAAAAATAGGAAATATACTAAAAAATAATTTTATGATGAAGGAAAAAGACCTTGACGCAAAGCTGTATATGTACATAAAGCATGCATGCAATCCTGTAACAAGAAGAGAAAAAAGCGCCAAGGAAAATGCCAAAAGGTTTTCTTTCGTTTTCTGTATTTTCACAATTCCCTAAGTGAGATATGTTTAATCATAGAAAAAGTTTTAAAAATGTGAACAATGTTATTAAGAAATATATTCATCACAGGCCAGGCGCAGTGGCTCACACCTGTAATCCCAGCACTTTGGGAGGCCGAGTGAGGCAGGAAGATCACTTGAGGTCAGGGGTTCAAGACCAGTCTGGCCAACATGGCGAAACCTCGTCTCTACTAAAAATACAAAAATTAGCTGGGCATGGTGGCACGTCCCTATAGTCCCAGCTAGTCAAGAGGCTGAGGCAGGAGAATCTCTTGAGCCCAGAAGTGGCAGGTTGCAGTGAGCTGAGATTACACCATCGCACTCCAGCCTGGGCGACAGAGTGAGACTCCATCTCAAAAAAAAAAAGTATTTATCATGGTGCTGTTTATAAAAATCAAAATGTAAACAACTTCAATGTCCAATTGGAGAGTGGATTATGACACAACACTGTGACAGATTTCACAACTACTATAGAAGTAGTTTAAAAGCTCATAATTTCTTAAGTATTTCTTTGTATGTATAACTAGACATACAATATGATTTGCTGTTAAAATATATAAACACAAAGATACCCACACAGGTACAGGAAAAGATACTAGAAGGAAATGTGCCAGTTATTGTTAACAGTAATATTTCTGAGCAGTTTTTTTCTTTACACTATCCTGTATTATCCACATTGTCCAAAACTAGAAGGATTTCCCTGTACAAATTGCTAATGATACAATTTTTAACAGCAAACATTACTTTTCAAAGTCAGAATCATCACAGAGAGTTTGACTTTGTAACTACCTGTATTGTTGTTGCAGGAACTCTCTGGGTTCAGCCTGGTTTTGAATTCCTCTCTGAAGGACAGCACTGGCATGCTGCAGCTCTCCTTGGGCTTCCAGATGCCCCGCCCAGGCAATGTACAGAGGGGATGACAGGGTTCCAATCCCATGGTTGTACAGAAACTCAAAAAATTGATGGAGGTCACTGTTGTACTCAGCCTACACGAACCCAAAACAAAAAGACATAAGAATAATGGAACTGCTAGTCTATGTCTGGTGAGGAGTTAGCCAGCTAAGCTGGGAGCCCCTAGGTAGCTTCGGATGGGAGCTGGTCATCAGCAAAACCAAGGCAGGTTTAGAGGGTTGGACTTTTCAGCCCCACTGCTGAACCTCCAGGGAGGGAAGAGGGACTGAAGTTTAAGCCAATCACCAATGGCCAATGATTTAATCAATCATGTCTGTGTAAGGCACCTCCATAAAAACCCAAAACGATAGAGCTTAGACAAGCTTCTGGAGAGCTAAATACATGGAGGTTCCTGGAGGGTGTCACACCTGGAAAGGGCAAGGAAGCTCCACACACCTTCCCCAATACCTTGCCCTAAACATCTCTTCATCTGGTGTTCATCAGTATTCTTAATAATATCCTTTATAATAAAACATTAACCGTAGGTGTTTCCTTGAGTTCTGTGAGCCACTCATGCAAACTGATCGAACTCAGACCCAGGGAGAGGGTTGTGCGAACTCTGCTTTGTAGCCAGTCAGGCAGAAGCACAGGTAAAACAACCTGTGGCTTGCAACTGGCATTGTAAGTGAGAGGCAGTCTTGTGGAACAGAACCCTTAAGCTGTGGAATCTGAAGTTATTTTCAGGTAGTGCTGGAATTGAATTGGAGACACAACTACAGAGTTGATTGACTGGTTGCTGGTAGAGAGAAGTCCGCACATACTTTTTTTTTGGTGGGGGAGCGGGGGGTGGGGACAGAGTCTCACTCTGTCACCCAGGCTGGAGTGCAGTGACATGATCTGATCTCGGCTCATGGCAACCTCCACCTCCCAGGCTCGAGCAATTCTCCTGCCATAGCCCCCCGAGTAGCTGGGATTACAGGTGCCTGCCACCATGCCCAGTTAATTTTTGTATTTTTAGTAGAGACAGGATTTTACCACGTTGGCCAGGCTGGTCTCGAACTCCTGAACTAAAGTGATCGACCTGCCTTGGCCTCCCAAAGTGCTGGGATTACAGGTGTGAGCCACTGCGCCCAGCCCCTACATACTTTTTAATCACTAGTGGCACAGAAGTCTGTTGAATCAGAGAATGAACAGATTTTCCTCTCTGTATCTTCAGAACTAGAAACAAGGAATTAAAAGCCTAAAATGATCTTACAATCTAAGTTTAAAAAGCAAAAGTACAACATGATTATAGATTTGATTATACATCTTAAGTATACTTACAAATTTTAAACAATAACTGATGAATCTTGGGTCATTGTGGTATTTCTTCTTATCTAAAAATTCCTTCATTAAATGTTCTAGTAAAGTTATCAAGTATTCTTTATTCTCAGGAAAATTCTCTTCTACCCACTGTATGTATCTAGAAAAATATGGATAATGTTAATTTTCCATGGGGCAGTGTATAGTTTGTTTAAGGGAAATAAAATAACTAAATGCTGACCTTTCCCATTCACCAAGAGGGTCATTGCCCTTGTAGCTCTGCATGTGGGCTTCAAGCATCCTAGAAGAGAGAAAGGTATGCACATGGGATATTAGGGATAATTTCTACAAGCAAAAGATATACTTCATTTTATATATACCATTTATGTGCATTAAAACAAAAATCTTAAATATCAATCATTTTATATATACACCATTTATATGCATTAAAATGAAAATCTTAAATATCGATCCAAATAGTATTTAAAATTTTAAGAAGCATTCGCTCAGACATAGTCAGAAAACTCAGAAGCAGCCAGTGTTTTTCCATAAGTCCCAGCTCTATCCCCAAGAGTCTCCTTCTCCTCTCACGGAACCCCAATGTCACTACCACCATGAGGGGCAGTTGCCAGAAGTTTGCTCCTCCTCCTAACAAGAGGATCCAAGCATGGCACTGACTCAGACTCCTGCCCTTCCAGCAGGATCCAGGCATGGCACTGACTCAGACCTCTGCCCTTCCAGTGGGATCCAGGCATGGCACTGACTCAGACCTCTGCCCTTCCAGTGGGATCTAGGCATGGCACTGACTGAGACACCTGCCCTTCCAGTGGGATCCAGGCATGGCACTGACTCAGACACCTGCCTTTGCTTCCCAGGAGCATGGCTGAGACACGGCTGGAACGAGTCAAAGAGGGATTGTAAACGGGTGTGAGGCAGCCCAGAGTACCACAAAGTAGAGTTCCCAGACACAGTTTGTTTTCATTGCTTCAAAGTAACAAAGTCCCTGAGGAAGAGCAGATGATAACAGTGCTCAGAAATCAGCCACAGAGCTCCCAGAGAACTCTGCATCCCCCACTTCCATATACTCAACTACAGCTGAAAAAAAGCAGCCAGGCAAAGCAAAATTCCCCTTGGGGAGAGCTAGAAGGGCTAAACAAAAAGAAACATGCAAAGTAATGTCAGGTTACATTAAGTACTCAGAAGAACAAACAAAATAACATATAATAGGAGAAAGGGTGAGAATGTGATGAGTTACTATTTTTAGATAGGCTGGTCAAGGAAGCCCTGCCTCTCAGAGGCGGTGACATGTGATCAGTGCCAGACAGCCACGTAGCTATCTGAGGGGGAAATGGTCAAGGCTGAGAGAACTTCAAGAACAGAAAGCAAGCCAGTGTGGTTCAAGTGTGATGAGCAGGAAAAGGTGGGGGTGACAAGACCTAATTTGCATTTTAATGTCCCTCTGTGTGAAGGAGGTAGAGGTGAGAATCGAAGTGGGAAACCAGTCAGGAAGACTCCGAGGTTTTCTATCTGAGACACTATAAGATTTTTTTTTTTTTTGAAAAAACGATGTAAAAAGCAATATGTATTTTTATTTTTATTTTTTTAGAGATGGAATCTTGCTCTGTTGCCCACGCTGGAGTGCAACAGTGCAATCATGGCTCGCTGTAACCTCGAACTCTTGTGTTCAAGAGATCCTCCTGCCTCAGCCTCCTGAGTAGCTGAGGCTACAGGCACATGCCACCATGTCTGGCTAATTTTTTATTTTTTGCCGAGATGAGGTATCACTATATTTCGCAGGCTGGTCTTGAACTCCTGGCCTCAAGTGACTCTCTCACCTTGGTCTCCCAAAGTGTTAGAATTACAGGCATGAGCCACCATGTCCTGCCTAAAAAGCAATATTTACTTCTAGCTATCACCTCGGTATATGAATGAAATCAATGTTTCTTATGACTCAAAATCCAGAAGCCACAAAAGAAAAGCTAAATAAAGACAACTATATATAAATAAAAACTTCTCCATGGCAAATAACCAAAACAAACAAAAAAACCACAAAATAGTCAAAAGAGAAATGATAAACTGGAAAAACAATGAGCTTTTAGAAGCTGAGAAAAAAACTATTAACCTATTTTTTTTTAATGAGCAAAGGGCATAATAAATTATTTCACAGAAAAAGATACATGGCTCACAAACATGAAAAATGTTCAGTCTCTCATAACAGAAATTCACTTCGCTGAGAAACAATTCTTCACTCATCAGATTGGCAAAACTAAAAAACATGTGAAAAGATTGTGTAGGTGCAGCAATAAGAAACAGGCTCTCTGTCGCATCTTGCTTGTAGGTGGGCATGTGCTCAATTCCTGCCAAGGGAATTATCTACCAAAACTGGACTGATTTGCTTTTGATCCAACAAACCGCTTCTGCAGATCTAGAAGACACATACACATGTGTATCCGCAAAATGTTATGTACAAGATTTTTCACCGTGCCACTATTTGAAACAGATTGTCAACAACCTGTGTTGACTGCTTAGATCAATTAGGGTACATGAAGTATTACACAGCTGTAAAAAAAGAATAAGAAAGAACTTTATGTATTGGTAGAGATCTCCAGGGATATTGTTAGGCAAAAGAGCAGCGTATATATATACTGTTATATTTTATGTGTGGTAAAGGCAAAAAATGTATACAAACGTGCAGACATTTAATATATTATAATAATGTAAATATTTATATTTCCAAAAAGAAACTAGAAAAACGGTTACATGTGACAGAGTGGGACAGTAGTCAGGTACAGGAGTTCTCGGTAAATACTGTTCTAAATCTTCTTTTAGTCATATAAACGCATTGCTTATTTTTAAAACTAAAAAAAATAATAATTCTGAAGTTTGAATGTCTCTCATGTCTTATAGCAGAGGGACAAATCCCTATTTCAGAACCTTTCTTCCAAAATATGTCTAGTAGGCTCGCCCAAGGTAAACATTTCATATTCTAACACCAACCACATTTCTCTAGTAAAATGACCTAAATGCACTGTAATAGTAAAACATCCAGTTCATTAAAGCACATTAATCTTTAGTAAGTCAAAACAGGACCAGGAATATCTGCTTTACCTTTAAAAAAGGGGCGGGGGACTTCTGAAAGAAAATAATTTGCTGGCTAGGTTGAAGGTTACAGAAAAAGTCTTAGAGCAAATGGATTTTTGTTTTGACTGCATTTAACAATCTCGGTCTTCTGATCGCAAAGAACTGATAAAACGGACCAGTTTTACTTCCTGAACCTATGACTTAATTGTTTTAAATGCCTTTAAGTAACAGTCTGGGTAAATCATCTAAGTCATAAAACAAAGGCGTGGGAACTTTAAGTAAAAAGTGAGTGATGTTAGCAGGTTGGCACACATCACTCAATAATGAGCAAAGCTATTTTTTTTCAATTTTTTTTTCTTAAAGTACCCTGTATTCAAAGACTTTTAAAAAATAGCAGTGAGATTATGGATAGGAGAGCAACTTTAAATTCGTTCCCTACTGTAGTCGAATTGTTAAATACGTGACTTTGAAAACGTATCACAAAATCTAAACACAAGGTTCAGGATTTTTGTTAGGTTGAACTGTCAGGAGGGGATTCCTTACAAAGAATAAACGAGAGCTCTGAGGGCCTAACGAATTATCCAGATTGCTCCAAACGGCCACCGCGGCGCAGATGGGCGGACAAGCGCCGGGCCTCAGCGGAACCCAAGGTGCCGGAGCCCTCCCCGGCTCTCAAGCAGCCCACGGCCTTGCTGGGTGGGACACATTCCAAACCCAGGAAGGGGGCGAAGGGGGCAAAAGAAGGCAGGTCTGGGGCGGGCCGGGCCCGAACCCCAGGCGCCCCAGCCCCCTGGGCTTCCCCACCCCACCAGACGGACACTTACTGAAGGACATTTTCCGGGGTGTCCATGGCCAGAGGACGCTGGCCGGCAGCGGCCAAACCTGAACCGCAAACTAGAAGCCGCCGCCGATTCGAATACCCCGCGCAGCCGCAGTCGGCTCGCCGAACGTTTCAGGGCGCCTGCCCATTGGTGGCGGCGGCAGAAGGTTGGCCAATCACCGGGGCCGTTGCTCGGAGGTCAAGTCCCACCTCCCTCCCTTGAGCCAGTAGCTCCTCCCACTTCCCGTGGTTTTCGGTTGAACCGAAACCTGGCCGTTGGCTGAGCGAGCGCGGGGTGTTTGGGATGCGGCACGGCGAGGGGGAGCAGGCTTGGCTCGGGCGTAGGGAATTGGTTTTTTTGTTTTAGCTATCCAGGTTGTGACTGGTTTACATAATTACACGATTAAGCCATCATTGTAGGAAAGGCTTTGCAGGAGAAAAATGTCTTAACTGGAGGTCTTTGAGACAGAAAAACCCTGCCTCAGCCCTTGGGTCCTGAGAGTCGCGTTTCTTCTCCCCTTCGCTTAAATATGTAAACCAGAATCATTATGTTTGGTTCATGGAACGGAGGAAAAAAATCCGTGTGCAGGGTCGAGACTGTCGTGGCGGAAGCCGCAGCACCCGGGAGGCAGGTGGGGAGAAAAAACGGGACCTGCTGCCGGGGACCCCTCCCGCTTTCTGGCAGTTTTCTATTCAGCGTCCTCGGCTGTGAGAAAACATCCCAGATGCTGAAACCAATAGTCTTAGCCCAGAATCTCAAACGCCGTGGCAAAGAGGGAGTGACGACGGCCTGTGGAAAAACCTGAGGAGTTTTGGGCTTAGCGCCTTCATGTAGAGGGGACGTGGAGGCGGGGAGGGCGTTCTAGGGTCGGCTGCGTAATTATACGAGGCACTGGAAAGTGATGGGTTAGTGTCCTTGGAGTAGACCCCTGGGTTTTATTGAACTGATCTGAAAGGCTGGGCCCTGAGCCACACAGGGGACCTGTCAAACAGCTTCAAGCGGAAGATGGGGCTCACGGGACTGGACTCTCTCTGCAGCCAGCTGTAATTAACACAAAAGCAGAAGAGTTTGGGTAGATTATAGAATGCCAGCTTTGAACATCTTTTGGGGGACAGGGCACTCTGGGAGACCAAGTTCTTAGACACCATAAAATCAAAAATAGACACCTCTTTGTAGAGGAGTCCAGATGTCTAAAGAGGAAATATGTAATAGGCTGATGTTTCTTTTGTTTTTTGTTTGTTTGTTTTTTGAAAAGTTAAAATACTAAGTTTATAAAGTGAAAAAGTTACAGTAAGCTAAGGTTGACTTATTGGAAAAAATGTGCTTATACTATGGAATGAGACCACCACTTCTCCTGTTGTCCCTCCCAGCTTCTTCTCCACCACCTCCCCTTTTCCCTAGTTTATAAGACAGGAGAAAAGTGAGACAGCAAAAAGTTAGAAAGAAACAGAAGTAAGATAAATAGCTAGACGACCTTGGCGCCACCACCCGGCCTTGGTGGTTAAAATAATAATAATAATGTTAACCCCTGACCAAAACTACTTGTGTTATCTGTAAGTTCCAGACATTGTATGAGAAAGCGCTGTAAAACTTTTTGTTCTGTTAGCCGATGCATGTAGCCCCCAGTCACGTTCCCCACGCTTGCTCCATCTATCACAACCGTTTCACATGGACCCCCCCCTTCAAGTTGTAAGCCCTTAAAAGGGCTAGGAATTTCTTTTTTGGGGAGCTCGGCTTTTAAGATGCGAGTCTGCCAACGCTCTCGGCCGAATAAACTTCTTCCTTCTTTAATCCAGTGTCAGGAGTTTTGTCTGCGGCTCGTCCTGCTACAATATGTATATCAAGGGTTTCTTGTTGGTGTCTGACACAGACACAGAACCACTGATGCCCAAGCCAGTGCTCTCTACACACAGAAGCCTCCAACCTCATCTTGAGAAACGGGGCCATGAGGCCACCCCAGACACCGAGGGCTCCATGGAGGCTGGGGGGTCCGTGGGACTGGGCACATCCCAGCGGGTCTTGGATCCTGGCCTTTCCCCTTCTTGATGCCAGGACCTACTGAGTGCTCGCAGGTGTGCAATGCTGGGCTGCGGGTGCTGCTTGTGTGGCAAGAAGCCTCGGGGTGCCTCCCTCCTTCTCACACCTTTCCCAGGAGGCATGAAACGGGGATTCATGATCAACCCCGGTGGCTGCTCATGTTGAACTGGTGAAGCTCCCTCCCTGTTGTCTTCTGGGGACATGGAGGGCAGGGCTGGATCCCCTCAAATGAGCTTAAGTGGCACTGCGGACAAGAACGCGCTGCATGGCCCTCGGAATCCTGCATGTGGTAGCCTGACCGGCACCTCAGCCCCTCCCTCATTAAAGCAGCCTATGGAGGGCTCAGCCCAGTGGGCTCAGGGGCTGCTATGGAGAGGGTGTCTGTTCCCTGGAGGATATTCTCAGGGCTCCTTCACTTGCCCTTAGAGATTTCCACCATGAAATACAAAGGCCACAACAGATCAGGTCAGGCTCTTCAGCATCCTAATCCTCCTTGAGCTCGCTAGGTTTTATTTCTTCTGCCTCTTCAGGGTTTGTGTCTATTGCTTTTTGCGCAGGTGCCGGGAGAGGACTTGTTGGCATATGCTGACGGTCGTCTGCACACTTGGGCTCTTCCATATCTGCTCCAGAAGCTGGAGCGTCTCCGGCACTTGCAGAGTCTTTGTCATTCTGGGTTTCAGAAAAGTTGTTGTCCTCAGAGCTTCCATTCTCCTGGTCTGCCCAGGTGGCCTTCGAATGCTGGGGAGCATCCTCAGCTGAGCCTTTGTTGCTGTCTTCCAGGGGCTCCTCTGTCGCTGATGTTTCTTAAGAGTGAGCTGGGAAAGAGTTAGCCTAGTCTTCTCTGCCCCCTGGTCTTTAATAACTTTTTACTCCACATCTCAAAAGTGTTTCAAGAGCCACTTGACGATACAGAATAAAGAGCTGTTCACGCTAGAAGGAGGTTGGGTGGATGTTTCTGCTTCCTTGGCCTCTTGAGTTAAACACCTAAAAAAATAAGGCTGGGCACGGTGGCTCACGCCTGTAATTCCAGCACTTGGGGAGGCCGAGGTGGACAGATCACCTGAGGCTAGGAGTTGGAGGCCAGCCTGGCCAACATAGTGAAACCCCGTCTCTACTAAAAATACAAAAATTAGCCAGGTCCTGTCTCTACTAAAAAACACAAAAATTAGCTGGGTGTGGTGGTGCGCGCCTGTAATCCCAGCTATTCTGGAGGCTGAGGCAGGAGAATCGCTTGAACCCAGGGAGGCAGAGGTTACAGTGAGCTGAGATCGTGCCACTGCACTCCAGCGACAGAGAGGGAGTCCCTCCCAAAAAAAGAAAAAAGACATGCGCGGTGGCTCACGCCTGTAATCCCAGCACTTTGGGAGGCTGAGGCGGGTGGGTCAAGAGGTCAGGAGTTTGAGGCCAGCCTGACCAACATAGTGAAACCCCGTCTCTACTAAAAATACAAAAAATAGCCGGGCGTGGTGGCACGCGCCTATAATCCCAGCTACTCAGGAGGCTGAGGCAGGAGAATCACTTGAACCCGGGAGGCAGAGGTTGCAGTGCGCCGATCGCAACACTTCACTCCAGCCTGAGCGACAGAGCGAGATTCTGTCAGAAAGAGAGAGAGAGAGAGAGAGAGAGAGAAAGAAAGAAAGAAAGAAAGAAAGAAAGAAAGAAAGAAAGAAAAGGAAGAAAGAAAGAAAGAGAAAGAGAGAAAAAAGAAAAACAAAAAACCAAAAACCTAAACAAAAATTTAGCTTGTGGAAATCCCGACGCTCACTGAGTGCGGAAATTTCTTCCAGTGTGTTGATGGCTTTGAATCTACCTGAGTCTCCAATTTGTGGGGTTTATTACTCAAAGGGTAATAAACTCTGAGGTCTTTAGATAAGCGCTGGATTCCGCTAACCATCACAGGAACTAGGACACTTTTGGTTCCATCAACTCAAGTTTTCATCTGCTTCTGATAGTGGCTCAATCAGTAATCAACAGGAAATGTTGATGGAGAAGCCATCACGAGCTAGGTGCAAATTATAACCTTGTCTAACTCAAACAGAGCCTGTCCTGAAGGGGTTAGTGATTTAGTCTGGGAAATGAGGACACAGAAATAAAGAATTGTTTAAAGGTGGTATATATGTATATTAAGAGCCAAATGAGTTCAGACTGTATCTGCTAGGCCAGCAGTCCCCAGCCTATTTGACACCAGGGACAGGTTTCATGGAAGACAATTTTTCATGGTGGGGTGGGGGTGGGGGCAAGGGGTTGGGGTGGGCAGTGGGTGGGATGGTTTCAGGATGAAAATGTTCCATCTCAGATCATCAGGCATTAGATTCTCATAAGGAGCTCGCACCCTAGATCCCTCGCATGCGGCAGTTCACAATAGGGTTTGCACTCCTATGAGAATCTAATGCCCCGCTTATCCGACAGAAAGTTGAGCTCAGACGGTCACCCGCCAATTACCTTCTGCTGTGCGGCCCAGTTCCTAACAGGCCATGAACAGGTACTAGCCCATGGCCTGGGATTGGGGACCCCTGTGCTAGGGGTATTCAGAGGAGGAAGAGGTCATGCGGACCTGTTGGTCAGACAAAGCTTCATAGGGAAGGTGGGGCTTGAATTGGGCCTTGAAGGGAGGGGGGATGGATATGGGTCTGGCAGAGCCTTGGGGAGGTCATTCCACGTGTAAATCAAGATTTTAGAAGGAAATCACTCTTGAGGATTCATGAGCATTAGAGGTTCTTTTTCGAAAGACTGGTTTGCTGTTTTGATGTTAAATCTTGAATGCGACTAAGAAGTTTGTACTTCATCACTTTAGTAATTAATGGTCTTTTTGAAGCAAATAAGCATGTGATCATAAGGACCTCATGATAGTTACACTTAGCTCTACCCTGTTTTCTAAAAGCCATAGAGACTGTCTACCCTCCTTCATTTCTGTTACTAGGGGTTCCTCTCCCACCACACTTGTTTATGGGTGAGGTATTAGAGATACTCTTCTACACTGCCCTTAAAAAAGGCACACTAACCCCTTGTCAAACTCCAATGCCAATCACCGCAGGTATATCCAGGAGTAATAGAAATAAAATACTAGCATTGTCAGCAGTAATTAGAAACTGACATTTTCCTAGGAATAATGTCCTGCCTTACTCAATGGCTTTCCTTTATTCTCACTTATGGCAGTCCCCCTCTGCCATTATTCTTAGAGGAAGAATTAAAGTGATCTGCCTACACAATGTGTTCATCTTAATATCCCTATTAGGCTAATTAACATAAAAATCTAAAGAGTCTCAATCCTGAACCTGGTAGTGTTCAGGATTTACTGGAGACAGGGAGAGAGATGGGCAGAAAAGGCAGAGAAAAGTAATTTGCAAACTTCGAACTGGTGTTGCAGGCAGAGAGAATGGAAGATGAAGGAGAGAATCAGATCACATGGAAGGCCAATTCTCAGAACACAATGATGTCCTTAATATATAGGAAAAAGAAAAGAATCCAAGATAATTTGAGAGCCTAGGAGAATTAATAGAAACAGGCCATTGGTGCTGGGAAGGCTGCTACTTTGGTTTTAGTACGTTGAGTTGGGAGGGTTACCAGGCCTTTTTTTTCTACACAATAGGCCCCGTGAAAGAACAGACAACTACGGTTCACAGGATTCAGAAGCTTATTGAAAGAAGTTTCAGGTTCCACTTCCTAAGCCTAGAATGATTTTTTTGTTTCCTAAGAGCTTCACATTATCTCTACATGCCAGGGATAAATGAAGAACCTCTGAATATTTTGATACTTTGATAAAGAAAATCTGTAAACCTCAAAGAAATACACACTGGCAATTTATATGTATCAATATAAGCAGAAAATACCAAAGGGCGGGCAAATGTGTTGCTCATTTGTAAAAAATTCACCAACTGGAAGCTCGTGCCACTGATAGCACTCTGATTTCTCTGTTCTCACCCTTGTCTTCTTTAATCTTCTTCCTCTGCCATTTTGTCTCAGGCCTGAGCTGAGAGTGCAGCAGTTGGCATAGAATATCTGAAAGTCTATTAAATGATAATTGTTGCTTCATTAATTTGTCCCTCCCTCTTACTTTTGCTTTAGTGTTTCTGTCGCCTTGTCTCCTCAAACCTACCCCAGAGTGTGAGAGGAGAGGTGTGCTTTGGTCTGGCTCAGAGCAGCAGATCCAGCTATGTCTAAATATATGCCTTTCTTGCATCTGATGCAGAAATGTGCAGCTGTTAAGTCTGTCTTCCTTTCCAACTCCAATTCCACTTATAATTTTAATACTAAATGTCCATCTATCTAAAAATGACTCTGATAAATTTCTCTATGATGAAGGCCAATAGATAAAATATCTGCATTTGTATATGGGCTTTCAAGGTCTTGTGATTCCAACATCATAATTCCAAACTTAATGGAGAAGGAAAATCAGGCCACATCAGTGTATCTAAGATCCAACCTTGATTTTCCTAAGAAGCAGTAAGTGGGGCAAAGGATCTAAACTCTCAATCTGGGTATCAGCTTCCTGATCTGTGAAATGAATGAAGAAACCTGTCCCTTTGTCTTCTTAATGGTCCTTTGTCTTCCACTATCCAGTAACCTCATAAGATTTTCCACTTAATTCCTAACATATCTTGGATTGCCACATAATATCAAAGTTAGTGCTGTGTTTCACAGAGGAAAATGATTTTCTCTAGGTTCTGCAGATTTGATCTAAGCAAATAGTCACAGATACTTGTATCTCTTCTTTTCCCTGAGAAATTTAGAGACATTCAAAGTAGTAGTACTAGATGTGTGGCTAGCACATAGTGCCCTGAAACATTATATAAGGTTGGAGATTTATAATTAGAATAGTTTCAGAAAACAAAGGAGTGATTTAGGAGACTATAGAATATTAAGAATAAAGTCGACATGCAGAAAAGGAGATGTATAGCTCCATCTTAGACATTTTTCGTGTGTGTGTGTGTGTGTGTGTGTGTGTGTGTGTGTGTGTGTTGTGATTTTGGAGGGTATCTATGGAACCAAAGCCCTGAGTCTACCCTGTATCACTGCAGACTGGGAGGAAAGATGGAGGGGAGATAGGGGAATGGGAACCCAACTCCCTCAAGAACCCTCCCCAGTAATCTTTGATAGATTGTGCAGTTCAGCACATCATCCTGGTATTTATATGAAGGGCTCAAGTGATCCCTAAATGTTAATTCCATTCTAGGTGTGGTAATCGTATTAGTCCATTCTTGTACTGCTATAAAGAAATACGTGAGACTGGGTAATTTATAAAGAAAAGGTTTAATTGGCTCATGGTTCTGCAGGCTGTATAGGAAGCAGAGTGGCTTCTGCTTCTGGGGGGCCCTCAGGAAACTGACAATCACGGTGGAAATTGAAGAGACAGCAGGCATGTCTTACATGGCTGGAGCAGGAGGAAGAGAGTGAGAGAGGGGTGGTGCTACACACTTTCAAACAGCCAGATCTCATAAGAACTGTATCATGAGAACAGCACCGAGGGGAGGTGCTAAACCATTCACCAAGGATCCGTCCCCACGATCCAATCACCTCCCACCAGGTCCCACCTCCAACACTGGGGATTACAATTTGACATGAGATCTGGGTGGGAACACAGATGCAAACCGTATCAGTAATAGAGACCAGAGGCCATATTTCTTTCCCTTTCCTATTGGAGGCAATTTGATTGTTCAGAAGCTAAGCCTTGAATCCTGAGCACTGATATATGGCTGCCTGTATTTCCTCCAAACTGGCCCACCTTAACTTTGTGCACTTCTTCAGACTTCCTCCCTCTTGTCAGCTACAGGGTTCCTTAGCTTCTGTTCTTGAACTTTGGATTTTTTCATTGCTGTGTAAGTTGTGCTGACTTGGATTCTGGGGCAGACTGTCCTAATACTTAGGAAACTGGATGCAGCAAACTTTAGTCTTGGAACTGAAAGCACACATGCAACATGTCACTTTCTTCTTTAAGGGCATTATTCTAAATCTGTAGTCTCAATCCCCTCCAATTAGGCTCCTAAATCCTAGTTTAGTGGGATGATCTCTATGGGCAATGCCAGAGACCAACAGCTTTCCCAAGCCTTCCTCTGCCTTCAGGCATTGAAGACAAAGGTTGTTTTCCTGTCTTCTTCACAGCTGCTGTCACCTTTTCGATCTCTTATGACTTACTCACAAAATAGGATGGATGAGAATAGTCTCTTCAGATCCCACCATTTTTCCTTTGGATTCCTGAAAAACAGAGGCTTTTATCTTGAAAGTTTGCCAAAATGGATATATTTAAAATGTTTTGTAGAGTTCAGGAGATGTCGGTTAATCTATATTTTGTGCTTTTTCCTTTATATGTTTTCCGAAGTCTTTTCTATCTCTTCTGCTAACTGATGATGAATCTTACTTTATCATTTGTTTCCTCCATGAAAGAATTGCTCTGTGCTCACTTTCAGTAGAGAGATGGCCTGTCAGGATGGACAACTGTTAGACTGCATAACTGGCCTCAGAACCAAAACACCCTGAGACCACAAATATATTTTTTTCTTATTTGGGAATTTATTTTACACATGCTTACAACAGTTAAATCACATTTAGTTCTAAGCATAACAAATCACCTTTATTGGGAAAGAAGGGAGGAGTTCTGGCTTCTCTGGAAGAATCACCATTCAAATCATATGTCAGGTGGCCAGGCATGGTGGCTCATGCTTGTAATCCCAGCACTTTGGGAGGCCAAGGCGGGCGGGTCACAAGGTCAGGAGTTTGAGATCAGCCTGGCCAACACAGTGAAACCCCGTCTCTACTAAAAATACAAAAATTAGCTGGGTGTGGTGTTGGGCGCCTGTAATCCCAGCTACTCAGGAAGCTGAGGCAAGAGAATCGCTTCAATCCGGGAGGCGGAAGTTGCAGTTAGCTGAGACCGCGCCACTGCACTCCAGCCTGGGTGACAGATTGAGACTCCATCTCAAAAAAAAAAAAAAAAAAAAAATCAAATCACATGTCAGGGAAGTGTTGAGCTCTGAGGAAAGAGAGCCACCTGCCACTAGGCCCTGGCCAGATTTATCTTAAAGCTGGTGGTTTGGGCATGTAGGCAGTGACAGCTGACCACATCGCTCTTGAGAGGTGACTGGCCAATCCCTTTCTTGATTCTGATAGAATGTGTTCTGTTTCCACTCCACCTGGATGTACTGCAATTCAATTCTGACACTAACTGCCCATAGTTAGCATCAGACTCTGCAGGTTTAAGAGCATAGTCCCCAGTAAGACTACTCTTACTTCAGATGCCAGCTGCAAGTTCAGGGGTTCTCAGGCCACCTGCACTTCTGACCAACTGGCCACTAAATTGGGAGTTTCCATGACCCCCTCAGGTTCACTAATTCACTAGAATGGCTCACAGAGCTCAGGAAAGCCCTAAGCTTATTATTATAATTTTATTATAAAGAATACATCTAAGATGAGGTCTGGGAGGGTCCTAGACATGGAACTTTCATGCCCCCCTCCCTGGGAAATTTGGTATGTCACTCTGCTGTCACATCAATGTGTTCGCCAACCACAAAGCTCCACTGAGCTTTGGTGTTCAGAGGTTTTATTGAGGTCTCATTACATAAACATGATTGAATAAATACTTAGCTACTTGATCGAAATCAGTCTTCAGCATATTGGAGGTCTGGAGAACAAGCCGATCTCACAGGGCTCAAAGCCTCAATCAACACTATTATCAGGTGCTTGGTCTTTCTGCTGAGCAGCTTCCATCCTGAAGCTGTCTAGGGGCCCCACCATGGTAATACAGGATTTACTAAGAAATAATTTTTAGGTAGGCAGAAAGGGTGAGGGTTCTCAGTGGAAATTTCTTTTAATAAAAGCAACTCCCAAAACGTTTCTTTCCTAATAGAAAAGCAGCTTGGAAAGCCAGGCCGGCAAGTATTGATATGCAAATGGAAGCGATTAGAAACTAGGTCCATCCAATTGGCAATTCCTCCCCTCTTCTCTTTGTCACCATGTGTGCCAGGTGTTGAAATGCCTAACCTTGTTTTCACTTTAACTCGTTACTTTGAATTTTGTCTTGCTTGTCTCTTTAATCACCTAGCCTTGCTTCTCATGTAAATAAGACTCTCTCTAGCTAGGAAGGCCGGACAAACTCCAACTGACCCCTTAATTTACAAGACACTAAGGGCTCCTCACCCAACCCCCTTTCGTAAGGAGTTGGCCTGGGTAAACAGATCCTCAGCATTTCAAAGGAGCCCAATTAACTGATAAGGTACTAACACCAACAATGTATGAAGTTCCCAGGATTTTTCTCCGAGAGATGACAACATAAAACCTTGAGTTCGTGTCCGGCATAGACCCTATATCTAATTATAATGAAAGATTTAGAACCTTGCTCCTGGTACCCTTGCTCTTCTTGTAACCATTTGTCTTTTAAGTTGTTTATCACTCTGTAACCATTTTGTTTCTTTTGATTCTTGCATGTTTTTACTTCTGTAAAATTATTACATTTGAGTCCCCCTCCCCTTCCTAAACCTAGGTATAAAAGTTAATCGAGCCCCTTCCTCGTGGCCGAGAGAATTTTGAGCATTAGCTGTCTCTTTGGCCGCCGGCTTAATAGAGGACTCTTAATTCGTCTCAAAGTGTGGCGTTTTCTTAACTCGCTAGTGGGTACAACAGTGTCATGGCCACCTACAGATAACACCACCTGTGCAGGACATCATGGCGACCTGCATTTGCATGTTAAAAGGCTAGGGTAGGAGGACCAGGCTTTTTGTGGGCTACATAAATGATACACCTGGTCAAACCAATCCCCTGGGCCCTAGGCAAATAAGACACCACCTCCTCCAGCCTCCCAATATAACTGATGACTTTTCTGCCACACAGGGGTTTTTCTCTCTGTTAGGAGCCCCTCTCCCTCTGTCTCTCTATGGGGGAGTGTGTTCCTTCTTTCTTGCCTATTAAACTTCCCGCTCCTTAAAACCACCCCACTTGTATCCATGTCGTTTATCTAATCAGCGGGAGACAAAGGATCATGGTGTTTCTCCAGTCATCAGATGGGGTCACCTCATTAGCATAACAAAGGCACTCCTATGACTCAGGAAATTCCAAGGGTTTTTGAAGCTCTGAACCAGGAACCCAGGAAAATGACCAGCAGTTTTTTTTTTTTTTTATTATACCACAGAGGTGATCTGCATGTTTGAACATAAGCTTACAATTTCATGAGCTTTAACAGCATCTCTACTTTTATAAAATCATATTCTCAGGACAGCAACCTTGTCCTCTTACCAAGTTGGAAAGTAATCATCATTCTTGCTCAGCTTGTATTGGCTTCTGGCCCTTCAAAGAGCTGGACACTTACTAATCTGGAAAAAGAGAGGTGAGCAAGTCTCAGACCTGTTTACTTAAAAACATCCAATCTCAGGGATAGTCCTGATGGAAGTTTATTTTATTATTATTTTTTGAGACGAAGTCTTGCTCTGTGGCCCAGGCTGGAGTGCAGTAGCTTGATCATGGTTCATTGCAGCCTCGACCTCTGAGGCTCAGGTGATCCTCCTACCTCAGCTTCCCAAGTAGCTTGGACCACAAGCAGGTACCACCATACCCCACTAATTTTTAAATTATTTGTAGAGATGGGGTCTCCCTGTGTTGGCCAGGCTGGTCTTGAACTCCTGGGCTTGAGCAATCCCCTCACCTTGGCTTCTCAAAGTGCTGGAATTATAGGCATGAGCCACCACACCCGGCCCCTCACAGATGTTTATACAGCTGGGCACTAATATACTTCTTGTGTGTGTATCAAAGTCTAAATAACATTCTTTAGCTTGTCTTTTTGGAAGCAAAGTCATAACGAGGAAAACTGAAGTGAGACTATAAGTTACCTGTAGACTAGTTTATCAGATGCTTAGTTTGGGCATTCATATGGTTAATCATCATATCTACTACACAGATGTGCTTCATGTTTAACTGCTGATTTCTCTTCCTCCAGGGAATGACAAAAGCTTCTAGCCACAGGTAACTAGAGGCAACGTTGTAATAGCCTTGGTTCATTTCAATCCCAGTCTTTTGTGCCTTCCTGTCTATAATTTCCCTGCCGGAGAGTTGTCTTATCCAGAAGTAATGTTAGCAGACGTACATGAAGTACATTACTTTAAAATGGTTGCTCAGCCTCAGTCAGCATTTACGTAAGTTGCCTTTCTATTAGACAGGACTTTCTGCCTTGCCTGCTGCTGCTGTTGCAATTACTGCTGCTGCTAGTATTCTGAAATTTTCATCTTTCATTGGTTAATCTTTGCAGTCCCCTTCCTTTTGCATATTAGTGCATGACATGACGCTTTTGAATATGAGATTGTCTTTGCATTTGTTGCTCTTTGCAATTCATGTGCTGCATTAGTCTGCACAGGGCTGTTTCCCTGGGATACTTGGTTCACTGGGCAATGTTTCTCTATTTCTGCTTCTCTTTTGGATAGGCCTTTGGGCTTCTGGTTTTCTGACTTCTTGGGCTTCTGTTTTTGGACCTATTGCCCATTTTGACTTCTTGATGGATAATCAATTTGAACCATTAACTTCCCTTGACCAGTTTATCTTTCTGATCATCTCTGACCTTTGGACCTCAGTGTCCACTTGGACTTTGCAACCAGCATTGTGGGAGGGACTTGTTATTTGGTTCACATATTTGGGGGTCAAATGAAATAAGAGGTAGGAAGATCAACTCTCCAAGAAACAGTGGAGATTGTTTTCTATATTCACATTAAATATTTTCTATAGTAGTCACTTAAAAGCTTCAAAGCAGACTTGCATTCTAGCTGCTTCTGCCATTGTCAGCATTTTCTCATTCTTTAGTTGCTTCCATATCATCGAATATATACTATGTTTATTGAACGTATGCTATGCCTGCCTAGACCCAGTTGGCTTGGTAAGGATTTTGATGACATTGAAAATTTGAAATCAATTCAAATCCCACAGAAATCTATTTTCCTTCCTTTATTCCCACATGATAGTCTCCTTCATTTTTCTAAAATTCAAGGTACATCTTCATCAGTATCTCTCATCCTGGACATTAATTAATATGTCATGATATAGTCATTGGTACATACTTGGAAGAACACTGGTAACATTTCAGGGAGGCTAATAAATCTATCCAGATATTTTGAGTTGCAGTCAACAAAAAACTCAAGTCAAGCTAGTTTAAACAATAAAGTGAATTTAATGGTTCATTTAACTGAAAAGCCCAGAGGTAGGTGGGTTTCAGGTACAGTTTGATTGAGACTCTAGCTCCCTTTGTCTGCCGTTCCCTCAACTCTGCTATCTCTATTCACTTTGCCCTTATGCCGATTTTCTTCATGGTAGCAAAACGGTTACAGCAGTTCTTGGTCTCATCTGTTTTCTCCACAGTCTCAAATGCACTGTGTCACTCTAAACTGGTTAAGTTTCTTGCCTTCCTCTAAAGGCTTCTCGGAATCACATGGGCATATGACCTAAGGAAATCAGGGGCTTTGGGAAGTAAAATGGGGAGTATGTCCTGGGGAGGCAACCAACAAGGTAACCGTGCAGTAAGTTCTTAGCATAGTTCTCTGTCACTTTGAAAAGAAAACTTAAAAACCACTGAAAATAAATGGGTGACTCTAGCAGACTGCAGACTACTGACCCTCAACTGCTTCAGTCACTAACTGGTGATTCCTCTTTAGTTCTTTCCAAGAACAACCTCCTTGTGACTCATTTTTAGAAGAATGACAAAAAGAACAGGCCTACCTGTAAGCCCAACAGAGACAAGGCTGGAATGACTACCAGATGCACCAGTCATGGGTGCCATCTTGTTTCTCGTGTGGTCACTGCACTTTCATGGCATTCGAAAACAAAAAAGAAAAGAATTAGTTGCAGAAAGCATAATTGTCAGGCCTCTGAGCCAAAGCTCAGCCATTTGTAACCCCTGTGGCCTGCACATATATGTCCAGATGGCCTGCAGGAGCCAAGAAGTCTGGAGCAGCCGAAAAACCTGCCTTAACTAATTAACCCACCTTATGACATTCTACCATTATGACTTGTTCCTGCCCTGCCCCAACTGATCAGTCGACCTTATGACATTGTTCTTCTGGACGATGAGTCTTACGATCTCTCCACCATGCACCTTGTGACCCTCTCCCCTGCGAACAATAGATAACCACCTCTAACTGGTAACTTTCCACTGCCTACCCCAGTCCCGTAAAGCTGCCCCTCTCCTATCTCCCTTCTCTGACTCTCTTTTCAGATTCAGCCCACTAGTACCCAACAGCCTTCTTGGTCACACAAAGCCTGTTTTGGTGGTCTCTTCACACGGACGCGCTTGACAATAATGACCTGTTGTATTTCTATGAGCTTTTCTTGCAGTTTCGCTCCTGGTGGGAGGGAAGCCTCCATCTTCACAGAGGTAGATCCTCTGATGGGCTAAATTTTGTCCCTCCCCTCAAATTCATATATATTGAAGTCCTAACCCCAATACCTCAGGATGTAACCTTATTTTGGAGATGGAGTATTTAAAGAAGTAATTAAGTTAAAATGAGGTGATTAGGGTGGGCCCTAATTCAATACGACTCGTGTCCTTACAGGAAAAGGAAACCTGGACACAGGCACGTATGAGGGAAGACAATGTGGAGAGGCAAGGAGAAGATGGCCACCTGCAAGCCAAGGAGAGAGGCCTGGAACACACTCTTACTTCATGGCCCTCAGAAGGAGGCCACCCTGTCAACACCTTGAGCTCAGACTTCAGCCTCCAGAGCTGTGAAAAAAGAAATTTTTGTTGTTTAAGCCCCTCAGTTTGGGGTAATTTCTTATGGTGGCCCTAGCCAATGAATACAGGTCCCAAATAACTCTTCAGTTTGGCCATATTTCCCTTACCTCTAGGGACTAATTTCTAAGTGCCAGTTGTTTTCTTGACACCAACCATTCAAGGTGGGTGAAGAGGGTCTGACAGGGCAGGACACCTAATGGGAGTTACCCAGCTGTTGAGGGGGACGCAGGTCTGCTGGTCAAATCATCTGTCCTCTATGAACTCAATTTCTTCCATGGGAGAAAGAGAAATGCAACTCCTCACAGTCAAGAGTTGGCCTGTCACTAGGCTGCGGTCGTGTCTTGTTGAACATAAACAACTTCACAGAATGTTCTCATGAAACAAGGCCACTCACAAATTTATACCTGCTTCCTGACAGCACCCAATCCACAACAAATGCCTGCTTCTCGGAACCCCCACACCCTGGCCCATATAATGACCTAACACAAACCCGAATCCTACAACCAGTCCTTCTAGTGCTTTCTCAGGGAGACGTGCTTCCCATAGCATGCTGGCTCCCTTGAGGCAGTGAGCCAATGAACCCTAACTCTGTTCGTAGTTGTCTTTGAGACATTAACAAGAGTTTTGACTTTATTTTACATATACATCAGTCAATGGGGTACCCTCGCCCCCCACACTTCAGCCAGGACAATTTATACGGTTTAATACACCTCTTACAACATTGACTCTTATTTTCATTATCATTACATGAACAGTTACTAACTTATTAACCTTGAATTTTTTATCTCTTCATTTAATTTGGAATTTCTTAATATAGAATGTGGTAGGGGAGAGGAGGGCTCCCTTTCAAAACAGCAACAGTGGCCGGGTACAGTAGCTCACGCCTATAATTCCATCACTTTGGGAGGCTGAGGGGAGACGATCACTCGAGCTCAGGATCTCACTGTCGAGGTTATAGTGAGCTATGAACACACCACTGCACTCCAGCCTGGGTGTCAGAGTGAGACCTTGTCTCTAAAAAAAAAAAAAGAAAAAAAAATAGCTATAAGTTATGATAAGAGTTGTTTAAGGGTAAAGTTTAACTGTATAGTGAGTTTATTTAGCTGCTTATGCGAGTGGAATGAATGCGATCCTCCCACCTACGAATAGGTCAAGAATGTGCTTAACGCCTTATTCCCAAGGTAATGCTGGTATGGGTTGGTTTAAACGGCATTCTGGATGCCCTTTAGGGTTTTCTGTGAAATCCTAATGAACGAGCCATTTTTGTGTAACCCATTTTTATCAGGCCCCATCAACCCAAGTGCTGCAAAACTAGGCTCATGGTCCCATCTGGGAAAAAATTATACTCCCAAATGTTGCCGCTGGGATTGACAATTGCTACAGCTGTTTTGGAAAGTAATGTCCGTATCTATCTACAAAACCAAACAAAAACAAACTCAGCCAGCCCTCTCCCAGGGACAGAATCCAAGCAATGAAGCTCAATGGCAGGCGAGGGGTGTGCAAAGGGTGTTCTGCCACCCCCGGGCAGTGACTCCATGTGGGAAACAAAGCGTGCGCTCAAACAAGCAGGCAGCAGTGAAGTTCTGAAACACTCTTACCCCAAAATATTTTACACATTAAAAAATTGAGTCTGGTTTACAGCAATGACTTGGAAGCACTTCTCCTCTGTTCAATTACATGTGAAAAGCAAGAGGCGGAAGTGAAAAAATAATCCCAACACTGTAAAAACAAAGGTCAAAAATTCACATTTCCATGTGATTAGGAGGAAGATAAGAAAGATTATTATTATTATTTTAACACTGGTTGGTTTGCTTGGGAGAAGGCAGAGGTGGGTAAAGGAGGAAGTATGAAAAACAGGGCGGAGTAAACATTTTAATAGTTATTAAACTTTTTGAGCAAATGCAGAATTAGAAGCAAGAGGAAGAGGAAAAGTGGGAGTGGGGTGGAGAAGAACTCAGCAATAAAGGTCTCCAAGCAAAAGAGAAAACCTCCAGGTAGCACCTTGGCAGCAGGGAACACAGAAAATAATCCTACCTAAACTATTCCTTCAGACTCACTACTAAGAGCACCACTTCCTTAGGAAAAATCAGAGATATGCTATCAGAACCCACTCCCTGTGCATCCTTTGTGTTTAACTGTATACAAATTTGTAGGGCAGCCTACATAACCAAGAAAGATCAGTCAGGAGAGAGTATTTCCCTAGTTCTATCCCGATGACAAGTTTAGAAACCTTACTTCCTTCAATGTTTCCCCTTCCCAACAGTACCCGGGAATCCCTAAGCCAGGAGAATGGCCGCATAGTGGAAGGAACTCTTCAGACCCTGCTACATCCCATTCTCTGCCTTCCAACACCCCCCCCGATAAGTCTGGGCCCATTGATCCCCCTGACAGAGCAGGAACACTGTCATCTTGGACAAACACCACCGCTTTAAGTTCTAGCTCCCTTTCTAGCCTCATGCATCTCAAGGGAATCACTTCTCTTCTAACTACAAGCAGCCAGAAAGAGCAGACGGTAAAACACAGATAAAACAGCTCGGGCACAGAGGGAGGTGGGGGGAAATTCTCTTGGGTAACTGCCAAACTTCACTGTCATACAATGGGCCCCAGTAAAACAGTAGGCCTTAATAAGCACATTCCTTTCCCTTCAAGTCCACTAAGATAGGGAAGCTAAAAGCAGACTCGGGGGTCTGCCTGCAGTTGCAGAAAGGTCTATGAAAACACACAACTCTCCCTCCCAAACAAGCACAACAAAGAGACACAAAAACAGTCCAAGCCTCTAGTAAACTCTCCCACCCTGAATCCTTAAAAACTCTTAGCCTGTAAGAAAGTGGGGCTCTAACCTAACTTGGCCAAAACCCCCTCCTAGGTTTGTTTTCTAAAATAAACCTGTCCTTGTTAACCATCAAGCCACCCTTCGTGTTTCTTTCCTCTTTCTTTAATTATCACACCTCCCACATCTGTGTGTTTAGTCACCACAGGAAACACTTGGTGCAGAGAGAAATGGAAGAGAAGATCCAAGTCAAGGAAGCAGCCAAGGGGCCAGGGCTTCATGGAGGAAAGAGCAAATCTTGAATTGTTCAGGATAGGGGATGGAACCAGGAAGCAGCAATGGGGTGGGAACTAAACTGACATAGGAGCATTTGGGGAGCAAGTCAAGAAGGCTCTGTTGAGTGATGTCATTGACAGAGTCGGGCTGGCAGCTCAGTGGTGTGCTGGCCAGAGAGGGGGTATGTTAAGCCAGCTAAAAGGAGCAAGGCTGACCCGGACAAACTCATATTTTAAACCCGACCTGAGTGGTCCTGGCATGCGATTTCCAAAGTGTCTCTGCTCTTGGAGTGAACCACCCTCATTCTTTATCTGAACTGGACCCCACTTGCAGAGTCAAGTCACTCTTCTCCCAGTGGTGCCAGATTCAGAACTGGACTCCTGCTTTGGTCTCCACTTGCTGTTTCTATATTGCATCCTTTCTCATTCCCAGGTCTTTCTCCAAAGCATGGAACCCTTTCTTGCTCTTAGATGCTTACCTTTATGGACCCAGAATCCTGTTCTAATTCCTAACCCAGAGCTGTGGTCCCTGGAAGCAGAGCTTGTGGCTGCCATTCTTTCCAAGTACCCTTCCCTGGATTCTGCTTTCGGGGTCTTGATGCATTTATGGGTAGGGGAGCATCCTAATCCTTCATCATCTTCAACTATACTTTCCTACTTCCACATTTCTGATAACTTGTTTGGAGTCTGCTGTCAACTCTGGACAAACACGTATTACGTCTTAGTCTGAGCTTCTGCCATTAGTCCCAGAAGTGGAGTTCCTTCCTAGGACGTGGATTTGGTACTAGAGCCCAGCTTTGCTTTCTTGCTTCATCATGCTGCCAGGCCCCCACTGTGGTCCCAGTCAGCACCCCCAACCCTGCTCCCACTGGAGAGCTGTCACTCAGTCAGCTCCCTCTGGATTGATGAGTGGCAAAAGGTCCCTAGACTGGGCCCCCTAAGGCAGGACTTCTTTAGAGGATTGTAGTCTCTACATAGTGATGGTTGTACTGTTATAAAGGGCCTGTTTCCTTTCATTCTCCCTCTGTCAACTCTTTTCTTTGAAGTAAAAATGGAACATTTATTGATTCATACAGCTAGACTTCCCAAGGGATCAGCTGGCTTGCAACTCAGCTGGACCTCAGGGCTTTAAACAATGCCACTAGCACTGCAGCACTGTGTCTCCTCCTAGCCCCAGCTCTGCTTAGTTTCAAGGAGATGGTGGAATTCGTGAGCCTTTGAGTACAGGAGCCCAGAAAGAGAAAGAGAGATTCTCTTTCCTATGTTTATATTGAAAAGACGATGTGTTTAGGGCAGGTGAGACACTGAGAGATATTTCTACTAGGATCGCGTGGAGAAGGCATGGTTCTTTTGTGGCAAGTGGAGTGCCAGATAAAGGAGACAAGAGAGTGGGCAAGAAAAAAAGAAATAGAAATAGAAATAGAAATAAAGGGGATCTGGCAAGATGGCTGAATAGGAACAGCTCCAGTCTGCAGCTCCCAGCAAGTCCAATGCAGAAGGTGAGTGATTTCTGTATTTCCAACTGAGGTACTTGGTTCATCTCACTGGGACTGGTTAGACAGTGGGTGCAGCCCACCGAGGGTGATTAGAAGCAGGGTGGGGCGTTACCTCACCAGGGAAGCGCAAGGGGCTGGGGAACTCCCTCCCCTAGCCAAGGGAAGCCACGAGGGACTGTGCCATGAGGGACGGTACTATCCAGCCCAGATACTACGCTTTTCTCACAGTTTTTGCAACCCACACACCAGGAGATTCCCTCGAGTGTCTACAGCAGGAAACAGATGCTGGAGAGGATGTGGAGAAATAGGAATGCTTTTACACGTTGATGGGAGTGTAAATTAGTTCAACCATTGTGGAAGACAGTGTGGCGATTCCTCAAGGATCTAGAACTAGAAATACCATTTGACCCAGCAATCCCATTCCTGGGTATATACCCAAAGGATTATAAATCATGCTACCATAAGGACACATGCACACGTATGTTTACTGTGGCACTATTCACAATAGCAAAGACTTGGAACCAACCCAAATGTCCATCAGTGATAGACTGGATTAAGAAAATGTGGCACAAATACACCATGGAATACTATGCAGCCATAAAAAAGGATGAGTTCATGTCCTTTGTAGGGACATGGATGAAGCTGGAAACCATCATTCTCAGCAAACTAACACAGGAACAGAAAACCAATCACTGCATGCTCTCGCTCATAAGTGGGAGTTGAACAATGAGAACACACGGACCTAGGGAGGGGAACATCCACACTGGGGCCTGTCGGGGAGTGGGGGTAAGGGGAGGGATAGCATTAGGAGAAATACCTTATGCATTCGGGGCTTAAAACCTAGATGACGGGTTGATGGGTGCAGTAAACCACCATGGCACATATATACCTATGTAACAAACCTGCACATTCTGCACAGGTATCCCAGAGCTTAAAAAGAAATAAAAATAAAGAGACATGCACTACTGACAGACCACAGGGTGGGGCAGCCTTGTGCATGGATAGCCTTACTTGCCTCCCCCTTCAACCCACATGCTTCAGATGGATGAGGGCGTAGCTAGAGAGCACAGGTAAGGCAGGGCTGATGGGTTGGGACCCATCCATCTCAGCCTCTGCCACCAGGCACCCCTGGCACAGAGAACCTTTTAACACTGCGTCCGTTTACTGTCACTTTGAATTGTCACAGCCCCACAGAGACCAGCCCATAGCTGGACACACCCTATCTCCCTAAAATAACCAGTTCAAGAGCACCAGACAGTGGAAGTGCTCGTGTCCCAAGGGCTTCCTGCGGGCCTTCAGCAGGACAAGGTTGTGGCCACTAGTCCTAGGAGCACAGTGCCCTGAGCCTAGGCAAAGCAAGCAGGCATTACTCATCTAAAACAGCATCAGGAAAGACACCGAGAAACCAGGACGACTTGATTTTGTATTTGTGCAGCAGCAAACTCTTGAGGGACGCTAGAGGTAGTAGATGTGTCTGTGTGACTCCCAAATATACAGCAGGAGCCGATTTGGCAGAGAGACCCCTTGCCAATGCCATGTTCAGAGTGGAGGTCGACTTGAGAGCCACTGATCTGAGCAGCATGAAGTCCCCTGACATTAGCAGCATGAAGTCCCCTGACTTCAGCCACTTAGGTGTGGATTGCTGAGGGTTCAGGGCAGACAGTGTTTGAGTTCGGGCTGGGCCCACCTGTTTTCCCTCCAAGTGGCATCACCAGGTCCAGTGGGGAAAACACTGTTGTGGGTCTACATTGATTTACCTATACTGCTCAGAGAAGCTTCCTGTGGGCTTCCATAAACTGGCTTGGGTTGGTTATTACTGGCTGCAGCAGCAATTGATTGCTCTTCCTGTACCTTGTTACCCTGGAGATGAAAATCCAGACTTGATGGGGAGAAAAGAGAAAATCTCCATCAGGAGAATCAAGTGGTCTGTTCTCCTCCTCCACTGCCATTGTCATAAAGCATGGGGTTGGCTGTGGGGTCATTTGGAGTGCAGCGGTCCAAGTATCAGGAGCAGCGTACTCTCAAAAAGACTCACGGATGTGACCAAAACTGCAGCCTCCAAGGGTTTTGAGGCCTGCAGGCTGGGAGTTCTTGGCCTAGAGCATTTCACCCCTCTCTTCATTGCTTTCCTGGATGTTCCCAGGGGTCAATCTGGGCTGTTTTTGAGGTGGGATAAAGATTTAAATTGACTCGGGGAGGAGGGAAGTTATCTAAGGGTATAAACACAATATGGTCAGGCAAGATGGAAACTACCTCCAAATACAAAGCAGCTGGATCTGGTGACAATGAAGACAGTGGTGCTTTTTCCACTGGAAGATGGAGGGCTCTGAGCAGGCTGGAGCCAGTCAGATAGCAATGGGGGGAACGAAGAGTTAGTTGTGTCCTGGGGATTTTACTGGGGCTATGTATTGAAATTAAGCCAGGAAACAGAGCCCACTAATTTGCCATCTTGGAGAGTCCCCAACGTGTTAACATACTAAAGGCCTGAGGAGCTCCTTGGTTAACAACTATGCAACTTTAAGTTATACAAATGTTTTGCTCAGGGAATGACTTTTTTCCGGAGAATACATTCCTCTTTCTCCTTGCAGTGTTGTCCTCCCCATCACGAATTCCTCTCCTTCTCCTAACTCAAGAACACCAATTTGGGAAGCTCTTGAATAGATAAGCTATCTTTTCTGGATTGCCAGGAAGTGGAAAATGGGGTGGGCGTGTGTGTGAGGGGAATTGGGCAGTGAGGAGTAAGTGAGGGAAAACTTTTTAGCATGGTTAATAGGTCAGGAGAGCAGCGCAAAGGTGGAAACCAAGCATGCCCAATCCCCAGAGCAGGACAAATGGGCTCCTGGGCCCTGGTGGAGGGTTCACTTTGGAAATGAGTAGGAGCAGTTTGGTCTCAGAAGCAATCAACATCCCCTCCACCCCAATTTTTTTACTCCGTTTCAGATGATTAATTTTCAAATACTGTACAAATTTTGATAGCTTAAATTGTGTATACAGTCAAATAAAAACTTGCATTAACAATTGGTGGGGCTTATGTCACAGAATCAGAGTATCAGGCTCCTTCTTGCTGTGGCTGTAAACTTGAGAATGGTCTGGGGTCTCCAGGAGTGAGGGTTTCCATGTAAACCATCACTATCCTTGGGGACACCGTTGACAATTAACTCATTAGAAAGATGTGCCCACTTTGCATATGGAGAAACAGCCCAGAGTCCAGTGCCCCGCCTCAGGTCAGAGACCAAGTTGGGGAGCCAGGAATTGAGAGCTGTCTTAGCCAGTTTGGGGTAGGGTGGGGTCTCAGGCCTTTGGCCCCTGTGACTCCAAGTATAAGACACATATGAAGCCTAGTTGGCTGGGGTTGGGATGGGATGGCAGGGTGAAAGGCCAGCATCTCTCTGCCTGCAAACTCCTCTCCATCCTTGACTCTGGGTCAGCAGGCTGGGGAAAATGGCCCTATGCTGGCTGCAAGGGGTTCCAGGAACTCCCTTGTGGTCATATCAGCAAGTCTGGTCTGCAATGGAACAGAGACTGAGAATGGGCCTCCTACCTCTCCATCGGGTGGAAGGCACCTAGGGGCTAACATGGGCACTCTTTTCCCCTGGTGCCAACACTGCACGTGGAACAGAAGATCCCTAGGACCCATGCCTGAGTCATCTGTGTTCTCCATAGTCGGCACCAAGCCAGATCTGGCCTAGAGCAGGAGCTTGGGGAACAACATCCCCTTTTGCGATGACCACTATTTGCCAGGCGGTGTGCTGGGATCCAGAGATCACAGAAAAAAGAGAGTCCCATTTTTCCAGACTCTCACAGGCTAGTGAGAGGGAGCATGAACCATCTTGATGTGGGTGCTGAGTGCTAGAACGCAGGGTACTGAGAAGTCCCTGGGACCACCCAGACCCTGCACTGCAGAGCACCAGGAGGGCCCCTAGGAGATGAAACCAGCTGGGTAGCACCCTTAGAAAACTGTTATGAGGGCAGATATTAATAGAAATCACCCCAAAGTAAAGTCCGGAAACATCCATGAAGATGAATTATGACTGGTTATCATAAAATGTATTAACCAATTTGAGGGTTTCTTCATTTATATGGTAGGAGACAATGTCCATTTCTCAGGAGTTGTGAAGATTAAATGAAGTGATGTGTGAAAGTATTATCAATGATTCTAATCTTTGGCCCAGTAGTAAAAGTACTTAATCCTCTTTTTGATTTTTTTCTTTTGTAACAAGACTTTTAAAAAATCTCTTTTATTTAACTGAGAGTCATACTTTTGTCTATTATAGTAGCTAAGTTACTATTATAATAGAGATAGATAATAGAATTGGGTAAATAACAAGTTCTGTTCATCAGTACAAAACACACACACACACAAAACATGTCACTTAAATACACACCCACAGGCCCTGGAAATAGTAATATCTATGTATTGACTCTTAGCTTGAATATTAATATTTTGCTTTTATTACAGTGTAACATACCTTCCAAATAGCATCCAGATAAAATAACCAATATTTTTCATAGTTGAACTGCTAAACATTAATCAGGATTTTACTACTATTGTTTTCTAAGGTTTGCTGGTATATTTTGTTGCCTATATTCTATAGTCTCAATTCCAGTTATATATACAAATTGGAATTATTTTTTAAAATAATTCCAGTTTAAAACAATAATTCTATTTTGTATATATAATAAATTGAGTGGCTGTTTTCATGAAGAGCTCTGTGTTGTTTCCCGAGAGTGGAATATAAAAGACATAGCTAGAAAGTGAAACTGCAAGAAAAATTATAATAGAAAAGCTGTTTTCTGGACCTTTATCTTGTGGAGGTTCTTTGGGATGGGAAGTGTCTACTCATAGCCTAACAAACTCCCTGGCAGAGGAGTTGTTAAGGGGCCTCCAGCCTTGGACAGGCTGTGGGAATAAGTGGCCTTTCATCTCTGCCAGGGGAAACCAGACCATTGCAGAGTCCCTCTGGCACAGGGTTGCCAGATTTAGCAAATAAAAATACAGGATTCCCGGTTACATTTGAATTGTTTCTAATTGCCTATGCATGTGTGATTCAGATAAAAGAAAAATACTGCATGAGATATAGTTATGCTAAAAAATACCCTGAAATAAAATAAAAATATGCTGAAATAAAGAATAAATACCTAAATTACATACCTCTCTCTTTAATTCTGTTTCTCTGATGATTTGGCTCCTTAACAATTCCTTCTTCTGCAGGATTTGCTTACAAAATTCTTTACAGTTAATCTATGTTCCATTTACACTTAGCTTCTGCAAGAATCACATGCAACTTATTTTGTGTTTTTTGTTCATTGAACATTATTATTATTAATGAGAAAACATGCTCACCATTAGCATTATGAGCCAATATACAGAACATGTACTGGCAGAAGGTTAACACTGGGAATCACTCCTTAAATCTGATTTAAATGCATAAAATCATTTATGGCTAACTTGCTTTCCCATTCCTTTGGATTACATCATCTCTCTTGATCAACAGCTTTTTAAAATGAGCATTGATCTCAATTTTTTATTCCCTTCATCAACACTACACATGATTGGTTCACTGATTTCCATGCTGGAAGAGTACTTAGTAACATTGATGTAAAACAAATTCTTTAAGGTATAAAATCCATTTCAAAAGATAGTCATGGCAAGTGTCACTTTTAAGTCATAGTTTCTTTTCCTTTTCCTAAGTAATATTTCATTTAAGAACAGACTTGACTCTTAAAGAGTTAACACTTTCAACACTTCTTTCTTTAATGTACTGAAGTTCCTTTAACTAAGTGCTTCAGTAACACGGTTTTCTTTTTAATTTGCATAATCCTTTAATTTGCACAATCCTATTGCTAAAGAGATATTGAAACTATCAACAAGAAAGAAGTAGGTTTCACTGGATGAATTACTTAAAATATCAAGGATTTGTGAGGCCTTTTCTTTAGAATTGAAGTATGACTTCAATGCTTCAAATAAAGAATTCTCTCAGCTACATTTTTAAAAAAGAACCAATAGCTTTTCGAATGCAAAAGAGTTGAAGAAAACTGAATGCCAACAAAATCACAAAAAATCTTTAATCACTCAGTTTGGATAGTGTAAATACAGAAGAGAACAATTTTATGACAACTTTAATACCAATAGGAAGACATTGGCAGCTTTGTAAGCAGCATTACACACAACATGAGCAGGACACGCAAGACCCTCCATTGCCTCATCCGTGCTTTGTTTCCACTTTGAGTAAACATTGTTTGCACCCCTACACAAAGATCCACCAAATTTTTATTTTATTATCTCCACCAAAAGCAGTAATTTTTTTGCTATTGTTTCCAAACTCTTATTTGCAAGGATTTTTCTGGTAATAAACTTACAAGCAGTCTTTTTCATGAGAAAAAGGGAAAATGTTGTCTATATTATGAAAACTTTGTGTTTATGGCCATGCTGTAAAGAGACGAGGCACTTAGATCTTTGATAATAGTCTCTGTAATTACAAATCGAACTAATACTTTTTTTAACTATTGCAGTAGAGTTTGTCCTAGCACTAGTAAGTTTGCTTACAGTTTTGGAAAACACTTCAGTAGTATGTTCACACCATCATTTAAACAGCAAGACTACTGATGACATTCAGTGTGGGAAGCCATTCCAACTTCTGTTGTAATTATTTTATCTTCTTTGTCTAAATTTCTCTTAATAAAATTTTTGTTGCTTATCACTTTCATTTGTCCTAGGAATCATACATCTCTGTTTAGCCTTTAGCTTTGCTTCGCTAGTTTATACAGGATTTTGTTGTGTAAAAGGGCCATATATGCAAATGCTGAAGGTGCCTAGAAACTAAAGTAGGAGGCAGACAAATTCAGTTTGTAGATTTGGGGTGATTTATTTGGGAAACTTATAGCCAGAAGTGTGGTCTTGGGCAGCCACAAAGCAGGTAGGTCTCTGCACTGCAACCCCCCAGAGCCAGGGCTTTACCTTGGGGAAAGCATATGTGCTCTAGAAGGAATGTGTAGGTGGTTACCGGCATCACAGCCTATGATTTCTGCAACAGCATCAAGGATTGTTTTAGAGGAAACTTACAGTGAATAGATGTTCCTAATAAAGAGTCATACATAAACTAGACATTTTGGAGGCATTCCTGGACTCAGCGTTAGAAGTTACATAGCAGATTAGCTTTTAAAATAAAGTCACTGTTGTTCCCGTTGATGTTCTGCTATTCTTGATGTTGAATGACCAATTGAAATATGCACAAGGAGCTTCAAAATAACTTATTCCTCGCTGAATACATGTTCATTATTCAGAAAATTTATCTCAAAATTTACACATGCATTTTGGCATTTTGGGGTTTAAATATACAGACAGTCCTGACTTAAGATGACTGGATGATTTTTCGACTTTATTATGGTGTAAAAACAATATGCCTTCATTATAAATCATACCTCAAATGTCCATACAAACATTCTGTCTTTGACTTCAGTACAGCATTCAGTAAATTACATGAGATATTCAACACTTTATTATAAAATGGGCTTTGTGTTAGATGATTGCCCAACTATAGGCTAATATGTAAGTATTTTGAGTGTGTTTGAGGTAGGCTAGGCTAAGCTATGCTGTTTGGTACGCTAAGAGTATTAAGTGCATATTTTTAACTTATGATGGGTGTATTGGGACGTAACCCCATCATAAGTCAAAGAGCATCTGTATACAAATAAAAAAGTTGACACTCAGGACCACTACTGGATTTGAACATATTGAGTTTGATGATCTCAAGACTGTATCAGTGCATCTCTCACAAGTCTGAACCTAAACTTTAAGGGTTGTAGGGTACCAAACTAACAATAAATCAAACTCTGTCTCATACCAAAAAAGGATAAACTTTGCATTTGCCTGAAAAGGAGAACTGTAGGGTAGACTCTCCCCCAACAGAGACAGGTGTTTTTATATAAGGTATTGGGCAGGCTGATATTTAGGGACTGGTGGAATTTCAGAAGTGGGAGTGTTTAGGGATTGCCAGACTTTCAGATATCTGAGCCTGGACATGAGAATAAGGATGCTATTGAACCACTGACTTTCAGAAGCATGGTCACTGGAGTGAAGTGGCTTGCTGACTGGCCATTTTCTAGAAGCGTGAGGCTGTCAGTGACGGGCTAATTTTCAAGTCTGGGGGATTTAGCATTGGCCGACTATCAGATACTTCAGCTGTCCTTGATTTGCCAATGTTCACGAGCTTGGCTACTGGAGGGAGGCTGTCACTGATTGGCTAATTTTCAGAGCACCTGTACTAATTTTAAGTTACCACTAATCAGCGGTGATTTCTTATTTATAACTTGGGACTCTGGCCAAAGAAAAGTCTTTCCCTGTTTTGAATATGAAAAATAAACAATTAATCCTCAGTACTCCCATTTGGTCTTCCTTTAGCTAAACCTGAAGGAGAGACAATGTGGGATTGTCCAGATTCTCACATTTAATATAAATGGGATCATATAATACATGGCATTTTGTGTCAGGCTTCTCCACGCAGCACAGTGTTTTCAAAGTTCATTCATATTGTGGCATGTGTTAGTACTTCATTGTGACTGACGTATTGAAGAATACTCCATTTTGTATGACTGAATAATATTCCATTGTGTAGGTATACCACATTTTGTATATTTACTCATTAGTTAACAGTTATTTGGGTTATTTCTACTTTTTGGCTATAATCAATAATACTGCTTATGAACATTTGTGTACAAGTTCACATTTTAACACATGTTTTCAATTCCTTTGGGTTTTACACCAAGGAGTGGAATTACTAGGTAATGACGTAATTCCATATTTAATTTTTTGAAGAACTAGCAAACTCTTCTCCACAGTGGCTGTGCCATTTTACATTCCTGTAAGCAATGTATTAGGATTTCAATTTCTCCACAGCCTCACTAATACCTGTTATCTCCCCTCACTCTTTTTAAAAAATTGTAGCCATTTTAGTAGACATGAAGTGATTGTGGCTTTGATTTGCATTTCCCTAATGGCTAATAATGTTGAGGCTCCTTTCATGTTCTTAGTGTCCATTTATCTACTTTGGAGAAATGTCTATTCAAGTCCTTTGCCCATTAATCAATCAAGTTGTTTGTCTTTTGTTATTGAATCGTAAGAGTATTTTATATATTGTGAATGTTTAGATATATATGATTTACAAATATTTTCTCCCATTCCTTGGGCTGTGTTTCACTTTCTTGATAATGTCTTTTGCTGTAAAAAGTTTTAATATTGATAAAGTCCAATTTATTTTTTTCTTTTGTTGCTCATACTTTCGGTGTCATTTCTAAGAATCCATTGCCACATCCAAGTTAATGAAGATTTAGCCTATGTTTTCTTCCAGGAGCTTTATAATTTTTAGGTCTTTGATCTATTTTGAGTTAATTTTTGTATATGGCATGAATTAAGGGTTCAACTCCATTCTCTGGTATGTGGTTATCCAATTATCCCAGTACTATTTGTTAAAAGATGAACTTTTCTCACTTTAATTTTCTGTGTCAACAATCAATTGACTATAAATATGTGGGTTTATTTCTGGACTCTCAATTGCATCCCATTGATCTATATGTCTATCGTTATGCCAATACCACACTGTTTTGATTAGTTGTTTATAGGAAGTTTTGAAATCAGGAAGTGAGTCCTTTAACTTTGTTCTTTTTCAATATTATTTTAGCTATTCTTGTTCCCTTGCAATTCCATATGAATTTTGGATCAGCTTGTCCATTTCTGCAAAAAAAAAAATGCTGCCATAATTTTAGTAGTGATTGCATTAAATGTGTATATCAATTTGAGGAATATTGCCATCGTAACAATATTAAGCCTTCCAAATTAGTAGCACAGGATTTGTTTCATTTATTTAGGTATTTGATTTCTTTCAACAATGTTTTGTAGTTTTCAGTGCACAAGTCTTGCTTTTTGGTTAGATTTATTCATAAAAGTATCTTATTCTTTTTGATGGTTTTATAAATTGAATTGTTTTCTTAAATTTCATTTTTGGAATGGTATATAAAATACAGTAGATTTTGTATATTGATTTTGTAACCTGCTGCTTTGCTGAATTTATTTATTAGCTCTAATAGTTTTGTGACTGATTAATATTTCCTATATATAATATTACATCAAGCTGGGGCAACATAGCAAGACCCCATTGCTACAAAAAATTAAAAATTAGCTGGGGAAGGTGATATGTACCTATAGTCCTAGCTACTCAGAAGGCTGAGGCAGGAGGATCACTTGAGCCCAGGAGTTTGAGGTTATAGTGATCTGTGACTACACCACTGCAACTGCACTCCAGCTTGGGCAATAGAATGAGACTCTGCCTCAAAAAGAAAAAAAAAATGGTATCATCTGCAAATAGTTATAGTTTTACTTCTCTCTTTACAAGTTGGGTGACTTTTATTTCTTTTTCTTGCCTAATTGTCCTGGCTAGACAGTTCAATAAAATGTTAAATAACAGTAATGTGAGCAGACATCCATGTCATGTTCCTGATATTAGGGTGAAAGCTTTCAGGTATTCACTATTAAGAATGATGTTAGCTGTGGGTTTTTCATGGCTTCCCTTTATTGGGTTGAGAAAGTTCCCTAGTTTGTTGAGTATTTTGTTTTGTTTCTTATTATGAAAGCAGGATGGATTTCATCAAATGCTTTTTTCCTATATCTGTTGAGTTGGGATGATCATGTGGAGTTTTTTCTTCATTCTATTAAAACGATGTATTATATTGACTGATTTTCATATGTTGACTCACTCTTGCACTCAAGGGATATATCTCATATACAATTTTTTAATATGCTGCTGGATTCAGATTATTTGTATTTTATTGAGGATTTTTGCCTCTGTATTCATAAGGGATATTGGTTGCCAGTTTTCATCTTTGTGATGTCTTTGTCTGGCTTTGGTATCAGGGAAATACTTGCCTCATAGAATGAAGAAGTGGTCTTTTTTCTTCCAAATTTTGGAAGAATTTGAGATGGATTGGCATCAATTCCTCTATAAATGTTTGGTAGAAATCTGCTATGAAGCAATCTGGCCTTGGGCTTTTCTTTGTTGGAAGATTTTTTAAATTACCAATTCAGTCTCTTCATCTGTTGTATTCAGATTGCTTATTTTTTTTTCTTCTGTCAGTTTGACTAGTTTTGTGTGTTTCTAGGAATTTGTCAATTTCATCTGTTATCTATTTTGTTGGCATGCAATTGTTCATAGCACTCTCTTGTAATTCTTTTGATTTCTGTTAGGATGGTAGTAAAGTCTCCACTTTAATTCTTGATTTTTTTCTTCTCTCTCTCTCTCTCTGTCTCTCACTCTCTCTCTCTTTTAATCAGTCTAGCTAAAAGTTTGTCTTCATTTTTTAAAGTAGAGATGGGGTCTCACTATGTTGCCCAGTCTGGTGTCAAACTCCTGGCCTCAAGCAATCCTCCTACCTCAGCCACCCAAAGTTCTGGGAATGCAGTTGTGAGCCACCACATTTTGCCAGCCAAATTTGCCTATTTTATCAATCTTTTCCAAGAATAAACGTTTGGTTTTGTTGATTCTTTCCATCATTTTTCTGTCTTCTATTTCATTTATCCCTGCTCCAGTCTTTGTTATTTTTTCCCCTTCTGCTCTTTGGGTTTAATTGCTTTCCTTTTTCTAGTTCCTTAAGGTTGAAGTTCAGTTGATTTGAATCTTTTTTCTTTTCAATGTGGGCACTTACAGCCATACATTTCTCTCTGCCTGCTGCCTTTGCTGCATCTCATAGGTTTGGGAATGTTTTGTTTTTCTGAAAGTATTTTCAATTTTCTCTTGTTATTTCTTTTTGATCCATCAGTTATTTAAGAGTGTGCCATTTAATTTCCACAAATTTCTGAATTTTCTAAATTTCCTTCTGCTATTGATTTCTAAGTTTATTCCATTGTGTCAAAGAAGATACTTTGTATGCCTTCACTTGTTTTACACTTATTGAGGCTTCATTTGTGGATTAACCTATGGTCATCCTGGAAGTTGTTCCATTAGCACTTGAAAATAATGTATGTTTTGCTGTTGTTTAGTGAAATGCTATATATATGTCTGTTCAATTCAGTTGGTTTAAAGTGTTGTTCAAGTCTTCTGTTTCCTTGTTTATCATTTCTTTAGCTGTTCTTCTTTTTTTTTTTTTTTTTAGATGGAGTCTTGCTTTGTCACGTCACCCAGGCTGAAGTGCAGTGATGCAATCTCGGCTCACTGCAACTTCTGCCTCTCGGGTTCAAGCGATTCTCTTGCCTCAGCCTCCCGAGTAGCTGGGATTATGGGCACCCGCCCCCACACCCGACTAATTTCTGTATTTTTAGTTGAGACGGGGTTTCACCATGTTGGCCAGGCTGGTCTCAAACTCCTGACCTTAAGTGATCCACCCACCTCGGCCTCCCAAAGTGCTGGGATTACAGGTGTGAGCCACTGCACCTGGCCATGGTTAGTTGTTCTATTCATTATTGAAAGGAGGGTGTTGAATTTTTCAACTTTTATTATTTAACTGTCTATTTCTCACTTCAATTCTGTTAGTTTTTGCTTCATATATTTTGAGACTCTGTTATTGAGTGCATATGTTTATACCTGTTATATATCTTAATAAATTGACCCTTTTATCATTATATAAATGCCCTCCTTGCCTCTTGTAACAATTTTTGTCTTAAAGTCTATTTTGTCTGACATTAGTAGCCACTCCAGCTCTCTTTGGGTTACTATTTTCATGGAATATCTTTTTGTGTCCTCTCATTTTCAACCTATGTGTGACTTGAAACAAAAATGAGTATCTTGTAGCTGGGGTATAATTGGGAAATGTTCACCCATTCTGCCAATATCTGGTTTTTAAATGAAGAGTTTAATCTATTTTTATTTAACGTGATTACTGATCATTACTTCTGCATTTTATTTTTGTTTTCTAAATGTCTTACATATTTTTTGTTCCTCAGTTCCTGTTATTCCCTTCTTTTGTATTAAAAATATATTTTATTTCTTTTTTTGGTGTTGTCTGTCAGTGTACACAGAAAGATATTTTTTACAGTACCATTTTGATTCCATTTTCATTTCTTTTACTATATATTTTTAGTCATTTTCTTAGTGTTTGCCCTGGGGGTTACGACTAACATAATTTATAACAATCTGGATGAAATTAATATCAATTTTTCCTTTTTTACAAATTTTTTGAGACAGGGTCTTGACTGGAGTGCAGTGGTGCGATCGTGGCTCACTGAAGCCTCCGCTTCCTGGGTTCAAGCAATTCTCCCACCTCAGCTGGGCGAGTAGCTGGTACTACAGGTGCGTGCCACCATGCTTGGCTAATTTTTGTATTTTTTGGTAGGGACAGAGTTTCACCATGTTGGCCAGGCTGGTCTTGAACTCCTGACATCAAGTGGTCTGCCTGCCTGAGCCTCCCAAAGTGCTGGGATTGCAGGTGTGAGCCACCGCACCCAGCCTCAATTTATTCTTGATAGTGCACGAAACTTTTGCTCCTATATATCTTTGCTTCCTCCTTTATTTTGTTACTGTGGGAGGAGGTGGAACTGGGTTCCTTACCACTTATATGTCTTCAAAATAACCAGTGATTCCTATCAGTATATATGTGATTGTTATTAAGAAGAATAGAAGTGGAGAGGGGAATTAATAGGCTCTGGGAGGTAAAAGTTTCTGTGATTATTTACTCTAAAAGCAGCAAAGCTGTAATGAGATATTTGAGGTTGCTGTTCCTAGGTAGTATCTAGGATTGAACTTCATTCCAAGTAATTAAAAATTTTACTTTGAAAATTAGGCAGGTTCTGGGGGCCTATGACTACTCACTGGTTCAGTAATTCACTAGAAGAACCTGCATAACTCAGCATCAGATTCTACTCACCGCTAAGGTTTATTGCAAAAGATACAGTGCCAGAACAGAAAAAAAAAAATACACGTACAGGTGAAGGCTAAAATGCTCAGGAACAGGCTTTTGTCCTTCTGCATGGCTTACACACACACATGTTTTCTTTCCAGCTTTGAAGAGCAGAGAACTCAGGCACAGTTCTGGTGCATACCTGCTACGCAAGCACTCGTGTTGTGAGCCTCAAACCAGGCACCAGGTGTACATCATAGAGGTTCATGTTTGCTTTAAATGGTGTTGATGGTTTAGTATGTCCTACCCCAATGTGCTGGGCACAGAATGACATCATTTGTGAACATTCCAAGGTTTAGTTCTTAGATCCTGGCTCCAGACATCCTCAGAGATAAGCTAGAATTGAGCAAAACAGATTTGCTGCACTGACTCTTTCCCTGCAAGGGGTTACCGTAAAAATGGAATATGAAATGCCTACTTAAGTACAGTTCACAGTTGCGCAGTGTTCTGTATGTCTTAGGGGGAGAGCGTACAAATATAACTTAAATAAACATCCTTTGAAGCAAAGAAAACTGAAAAAATGAAGTCATATATATGTAGAGATTTAGTAGCAGATGAATTTTCCTGGCATCAAACAACTGACTGCATTTGTCCATGATCAGAAAATAGCAAAATTCCTATTTCCCCTTGTTGCAGTGAAGTTGGGCTTTCTGTTAATTTCTGACCCTCTGGGTAGAAATCCCTAAATAAATGGGAAGACAAGGAAGCACCTGAGCTCTAAAGGAATCTCTTGAGATTGTCTGAGTGGAGTCTGGGCAGTGATGACAGTGGAAAGGCAGCAGTCTTGAGTCCATTCTGAAATTTGGCCCTTCTTGGAGCTCTCTGGCTTGAGCCTGGTGCAGTTGCCCTGATACTAAGGGAGCTGAGCAGTGTCCTTGGAGACGCTGCACACCTTAGGCCAGAGCAGCACAGCATCACACTCCACGTAGGCTTGATCTCTGCCTCCCTGTCACAACGCTGCCCCCAATACCTTTGGCCAGATGTCTCATTCCTGGGGGAAAGCCACCTCTCCATTCTACAGGAGCAACACTGCTGCGACCATTTTCCCTCCTCACCCTGCTGGTCTGGATAGGGTCCATCACAGAGCTCTTGCCTCTGGCCTCCACTGGACCACAAGGACAAACTCAAAGCCCTCCACCTGCCATGTGCAGTCTGTCACCACCACCTTCCCCCTTCTCACTAGGAGGTCAGGCAGGAGCTGGGGAAGACCTGTGTTCCCTCTTCTCCCACCCCGGAAGCACTGTGCTCTTGTGGACTCTTACTCTTCCCCTCCTAGACCTCTGTGTTGGTAACCAGCTTCCAAGCTGGGCCCCACCAATTCCTCCCTCCTGGTAATCCTGCCCGTGTGTAGTCCCCTCCACACTAAGTCATGGCTGGCCGTGTCACTGGCAGAATCCTGAAGAAATGAGACTGTGTGACTACTTAGGCTACATTATAAAAGATATTGAGGTTTCTGCTATGCCGTCTTAGGATCGCTCACTTTGGGGGAAGACATCTGCCACATGATGAGGACATTCAATCAGTCCTAGGGAGAGGTCTGGGTGGTAAGGAGCTGAGGCCTCCAGTGAACAGCCAAGATTGGTTGGCCAGCCACCTGCATGAGCCACCGTAGAAGCTGATCCTCCAGCCCCAGTCAAACCTTCAGATAACTGCAGCACTATCTGATGTCTTTATTACCACCTCATGAGAGACCCCAGGCCAGAACTGCCTAGCTAAACTGCCTCTGAATTTCTGATGCACAGACACTGTGGGAGATAAAAGATGTTTATTGTCTTTTAAGCTACCAAATTTGGCTAATTTCACAGCAACAGGTGACTGACCCTTTGCCTTATCACACATGTGCTACAGCTTCTTCCTCCTCCTTGGAGCTGCTCTGCTCCTGGGCCCAGTCAGATGCCCAGTCTGCATCCCCAGGGTGTGTCCTTTCTTGATCACTTTCGCTAATGATCCACTCCCTGCTCTTCTTCTTCATCCAACTCTTGTAAAACCTTGGGAGTCCCTGTACAGTTTCTTCCTCTGTCCAAAGTCCCTCTTTGGGGTGGCTGAGAAATAAACAGTCTTAACTGAAACACTCTGATATTACCCTTCTCTTTATATCAAGGGTCTAATAATAACAGTTAATACTTATTAAACACTTGTTATATGCCAGAATCTTTGCTATGTGTTTTCAAAGAATTGCCTCATTCAGTCCCTAAAACAATTCCAAGTATACTATCTTTACCTTCAGTTTTTCAGATAAGAATATAAAAGTTTGGGTAGGTTAAGTACCTTGACTCAGGTGACACAGCAATACACTGTGGCTGGAGCCTCCTTCCTCATGAGCTCTCCTTAGGTCTGGTGTGTCCTGAGACACATCTGAGATGTCATCCTTTTGAAAGTATATTCTCTGTTTAATTTTCTTTGGCGTGGGTCTGCTATCTGTTCAATACAATTGACACCGATTCTCTAGCCTCATCTGTCTTGGAGTTGAGTCCATGGTGACCACAAGGAGATTTTCTGCCCCTTGAACAGAGGATTACCCTGTGTGGGATGCAAGGCCTCTTAGCCAGTCTAGCTTTGTCACACAACAGCAGGACTGGTAAATGACTCACCTTGACTGCCACAAAGTCATATGGTCATATGACCTATCATCAGCACACACACACATTCCAGCCCAGGTGGGGACTTGACAGATGGTGTGATCTTCAGAGGCTGGCTGTAATGCTTCTTACATTTCCTGACTACTGTTTTATAGCATCACACAGGTATTGTGGGGAGCTGCTGCCACGGACAACTTCAGACTTACTGAAGTAGCTTTTTCTTTTAAGCTGCACATGAGTGCAGTCCCTGGAGTTTTTGCCCACAATATCTTTCTCAAAACAGGGGTCCATGTGTGAGTAGACCTTCTACAGATGCGAATGAAACCAGTGTCATTGTTGCTGGTGTCATTATGTCTATAGATTCAGGATGTTAGAGGGTGGCTCTGTGGTCTTTTCTGTTCGAGGTAAAACATAAACAGCAGGTCCTGGAGGGTCCAGTTGGGACTTGTCTTATGAATGGTGTGAATCATATTGGAATTTGGAAGCCTAATGGCCACCCAAGCCCATGGGCTGGGCAGTCGCTTCCCATGCATGCTCTAATATTCAGATGTGCCTGCAGATTCTTCAGTGTCTTCATGGCTCATGGCACTTGAGCACCCTTGTCTAAGGGATTCCAGACTTTCCTAGGTGGAAGGAATAAAATCTACCCCATATAATCAGTTCCATAGAATGCTGAGGGGTAAATATACTAAGATGGAAGCAGAGAGAGCCATATAGGAATATAGGATCCCCACATTACATCCAAGATCAGTGAGTATTTTAAACCTAGTTGTGATATATTCTCTTCATCCCTTTTTTTTCCTTGTGTAGAGCCTAGGAAGATTGTCTTCCTAATGCCTTTTTGTGTCTTTAATTAGGATTTATGCAGCCTAATATCCTGAAATCCCTTTCACTTTGTTCTGTTGTGATTTAGGGTGTAGTTCTTTCTGAAGTATTTTAACTTGTTTGTTTTGAAGTTTTTATGTACTCTTGTTTGCTTTACTGCTCCTTACTGTAAGGATGCCAAGATAAGAAAGAAGTTGAATTGTGGAGAAATACTGAGATTTTGCAAGCTTTAAAAAGAGTTCACACCCTTATTGAGCTGAAACACTGCACCACTTACTCCTGTACCATCACTGATGTTAAATCAAGTTTAGCCTAAATCTGCCTCCTTACATATTTTAAGTTTGGCCTAAAGGTTTCTCTGTACAGTGTGAACTATAACCTAAATGTAGTTGTAAACAGACTGTAGCCTCCTCTTGTGCCAACCACCAAGTCTTGGCCAATCAAAGGTGGCCAGCTGTTCAAACCGTGTTCAAATAAAGCACAAGCCAAGCCGTAACCAATCTGGCTGTTTCTGTACCTCACTTCCATTTTCTGTACTGTCACTTTCCTTTTTCTGTCCATAAATCTTCTTCCGCCACGTGGCTGCACTGGAGTCTCTGAGCCTACTCTGGCTCAGGAGGCTGCCGGATTTGCGAATCCTTCTTTGCTCAGTTAAACTTTGTTAAACTTAATTTGGCTAAAGTTTTTCTTTTAATGTTGGCCATCATGAAACCAATAAAATCTGCTGAGAACCTAACAACTAGATTTCTTTTTGCCTTTTTCTGTTTTGTTTGTCTTTCTTTTTTGATCTATTTTGTCTTTTCTCCGTTTTCTGGTTCTTCTTTCCCTCCTGGCTTATATTTCTAGCATCATAAGGGGAAATATTTCTTTTTCTGGTAAGATATTAGAAATTTGGCCTGTTTAGTCTATCTCATGGTTTTCTGTGTTCTAAAATATCTTTCAGTTTTCAGTCACAATTTGAAAGCATCGTTAGCCCTGGTTATACAGATGTGCCTAGGATGTGACTCAGGTAAGCTTTTCTGTATTTGCTCTATTTCACTTCTGAAGCATCTCATTGGTAATGTCCAGCCAGATCTAAAAACCTCTCTCGCTGGGCGGTCCTTCCTGAAGACCCCTTTGGTTTTCAGAATTAGTGGTGTTAGCCTACCCAACAGTCATATGCCAATTCTCCTATTCAAAAGATGCCCCTTGCTAATGAATTTATTATCTCTTGGCAAAGTCTGATGAATTAATTTCATAACCATCTCTCTCCAGAAGCTGTCTGGTGAAATCTCCTATAATGTATGGTCCTTGGTAACTCCTAAGCCCCTTCTGCCCCTCAAAGAGCCACAACCTGGCTTATGAACAAATGGCCGCAGCTCTCCTGCTAACCACCATGGATTTCAGTGGGTCTATCTGGTCTCCATTCCTGGTCTTCCTGAGAAGTAAGGTCAGGAGCAGCAGGGGCAGTTGGACTTAGGTCTAGGGCTCTGTTTCTGGTCATCGGGGGAGTGCTGCAAGACCCACCAGCTCAAGGTGCTAACCTGAGCCTATCACCTCTGGATGAAATGGGGTAATGTGGATGGGTGATGTTGGACAACTGGAAGGAGGACTCAGGTAGCCCCAGCCAAAACAAAAGAGCTGAAGAATAAAAATATGCTGTCTGGCTGACATTAATGGCCAATATTTAAAAAACTTACATATCCCCTTGCCAGTTTATAGCTCTTAGATTTTTAAATATTTATTTTTTTACATACAAAAATACTTGGGGTTGTTTATATTAACAATTTGAAAAAGATCCTATATACAATGTATAAACAGACAAGAAGGAAACCTACTAAAATGTTAGCGATTAAAATCTCTAGGTGGTGAGAGTATAAGCGAGTTTATTCTTTACAGTTTTCTTAGGTTTCCAAATATTCTCCCATATGAATGTGATATTTTTAGACTCAGAAATGAATATACAAGTATACAAATTTCCATTTTCATTGTGACTATGGTGAGTTTTTTTGTGTGTCCTTATCCTACATTCCTTGAAATTTTCTCTAAAGAGATTTGTGTTCTTATTGAAACAGTAAATTTTATAAAAATAACTTTGTTTATGGTGTGTTTCATTGTACAGATATTTTTCCATACTGTTCTATATGCTTACATTTTATACATACATACACATGTGGGTACTTTTAGTTCTTTTTCCAGTATGAATACAAACCAATATACTCTATATCATTTTTTCTTACATATTGGCTTTAAGATATTTTTCCAGTCACTTTTAGGTCTTCAATCTTTCTGGACATTTAGAGAATATGATGTTTTAGGAATCTGGCTTTATTGTCCAAATGGATAGCTAATTATACCAACATCATAGATTGAAAATACCATATTTTCTCCACATATGTTAAACCATTAGTAGGCATAAATCTTTCTTTGACACAAAAAGCTGAAGTATACGGTAGAAAATGAACATATATGCCACATATCTTTGGTATTAAACACATATGACTACAGATTCATTTTTTTTGTAGAAAAGAAAGGCTCTCACATTTTTCACACTTTCACAATCCTAATGGTTCATCTTTTCTCCTGATGACAGTATGTACAGTCATCAAATGCCCTTGACCTTCCATGCCACAGCCTCCTTTCTGTTCCAGAGGGACCCCTGCCAGCCTTCCTAAAGAACACTCTCTTGAGAATTAATTCAGGAAATTTTACAAAACTGAAAATCACTCAGTGCTGACTCAATTTTTCCTAGAGTGTTGAGCATTATCTATTAATAAAATACTTAACTTATGCCCTGTTACGTAAATGTCTTCAGTGACAATAAAAAGGTTTCTTCTTTGGGAAAATTACACTGGAACCACAAGCAGTTTCCCTAAACTTTATCTCTTTAGACACCTTAACTTGTGAATACAGTCTAACCAGATTTGTTAACTGTAGACCTAAACTGCCTTGTTGTTGATATAGCTGATAAAGAATTATGGGAAGAACATTTCCTGCAACCTTCAGTTTCTGTGGGGTGGGGTGTAGGTGACAAGCAATCGAGAGTAGGTGATGCATGCATTTCCTAACTGGCACGCAATCACATTGCATTCCAAGACTACATTACTTATAGGGTTCTGTTTTACAGATGCATGGCTGCTATGTAAAAATAGAATGTTTTATAATTCTCACCAAAATATTCTTTGAAACAAACAGTTGCATGAGTCAAAATAAATCACAAAAGGAGTTCAAAAACATTTTGAACTGATTGATAATGAGAAAGCAGCACATCAAAATTTGTAAGAGGCAGGTCGAGCAATGCTTAGAGGGTAATTTTATAACTATAAAGACGAAAGAATTCTGCCTTCAGACTGGAAATTGCAACATCAACTCTGCCCTGGATCCCAGCCTGAGGGCCTGACCTGAAAATTTTGGACTTACCAGCCCCCACAGTCACGTGAGCCAATTCCTTAAAATAAATCTCTTTCTTTCCATACACATGCACACCCACTCTACTTGTTCTGTTTCGCTGGAGAACTTTGACTAATGCAGATTTTACTACAGAGAGTGGTTCTAGGGAAATAGTCTTAAGGTTGAATTTCTGAATTTGTTCTGGGGTTTCTGGAATTGGTTCTCTAATCTGATCAGATTTAAAGGTACTAATGACTCTGTTTCCAGCAGCAAAGAGAACACTGATAGTTTACGGCATTATGTGATGATAGAGATATGTAGAATATCACTACTGAATATGCTTAATCACATATTTATAAGACATAAAACTATGAGTGACCATGTATTTGATACCTTAGAACATTTTTGTTAAACTAATGAGGATGAGATTGGCTGGTTGCTCTTAATGTCATTGGACAACATGGAGAGAGAAAAGGATGAGCTCAGGGATTCAAATTTTCAGTTTAAGCCTTACATAAATGATTTGAAATGTATGTCCTGAAAGAGACTCTTATCTCCTGTAGCTGCATGGCTGAGATTGCTGAAAACCATAAAAATGATGGGGTATTTTACCAAAGTTCCCCTACTTATTATTAGCTGTATAGCTTCGGTTTGGGGATGCAAGTCCATTCTCTGCATGTTTATTTTCGAATTGCTATGCATTATCTAACCTAAAGATAGCATGTAAGGTTAAAAAAAAAATAGGGACTTTTGCCTTGATTTCACCTCTTACTGGCTGTGTGGGCTCTGGTCCAGCTTAGTGAAACAGCTTCCTCATATAGTCAAGATGATGAAAATATGCTAGACTTATAGAATTGTTGTAAGAAAGAAATTGAGGGAACATTTTGTCAACTGTAAAATATTAATACAAAGCAAGTAACTGTTACTATATGATAAAATTAATTTGTAGTACCTTGCATTAGAGGGCTTGTTAGAGGCAAACACATACTCATGGTTTTGCATGTCAGCCAGGCGCAGTGGCTCGCGCCTATAATCCCAGCATTTTGAGAGGCAGAGGTGGGAGGATCACCTGAGCCCAGGAGTTCCAGACTAGCCTGGGTAACAGAGGGAGACCTCGTCTCTACCAAAAAAAAAAAAAAAATTAGCCAGGTGTGGTGGCACATGCCTGTAATCCTAGTTATTCAGGAGGCTGAGGTGAGAGGATTGATTGAGCCTGGAAGGTTGAGGCTGCAGGAAGCTGTGATTGCACCATTGCACTACAGCCTAAGTAATACAGCAAGAGCCCATCTCAAAACCAAAAAAAAAGAAAAGAAAAAAGAAAAAATAGTTTGCATGCCAAAAACATTTGTAAGGCACAGGAAGAAGTTTTGGAATAGAAACTGGCCCAACCATATGCCCAGTTAAAAGTCCCCAAGATCCCAAACGCCTCACCATGTAATTAGCACACATTCAAAAGCTTTTGGCCACACTGTTTGGACAATTATATAAGAAATAAAAGCAACTCTCATCATTCCCACTCCTTTACCCTTGTCTGAAATTATGATTTTTAAAAATCAAATCTTTTTTCTAAATTTGGAAATAATATAATCTTTATGGCTTCAATCCCTACTATAACTTCCCCACAAAACAAAAAAATTTATAGCTTTAATTTGCTTATGCAATGAAAGTAGAGAAAAAAGTGATTACTTTCTCACTGGTCTGAAGCTGATATCAGGAGGCTGTTCATCCTGCCAAAGAAATTGCAGTGCAAAACCAGCCCCACACAGAATTGAACAGATAATCCAATGGACACTCCTTAATCCAAGTGTCCTCCATGGGCCCCACCCCTAACTGTAGCACACAGTTTTCCCTGAATCCTCATAATTTGGCTATGAGCAAGTATAAGCTGTTTCCAATCCATTCAGGCAACCCAGGGACTCTCCTTGTCTTACTCTGATGGGCTGACTGGATGACAGTATTGTCAGGCTACATGGCTCTCTCCACTGAGAGCAGAATGGCAGGGGTCCTTGAGATACCCATTCTCTTACTCCATCTGTCCTCACCAGAGTGTCCCATGGCACGTGTTTTGCAGGACCAGGTGTGGCATGGTGTGCTGCCATGGGATAGAGTGAGCAGGACTGGGGTCTAGGGGACAGAAGTAACCTGGCACCAGAATGGTCGGCTCCAGCTTGCTTCTTTCAGCCCAGTTTCAACACCCTTTTACTTGGCACAAAGATTTGAGCGTTTTCAGGTGGCCTTGAAGCTACCAAATTACACATGTGACAGGGTGAGGGCCTTCCCTCCCCTACCACTTCCCTGCCTTGCACCTGGGAGGAAGGGGGTCTTTCAATATAGCAAGCAGAGTGACCTCCCTTGAGGTGCGGTCAGTGGAGAAAGCAGTGCTGCCATGTAGATGCTCCACTCTACGGATTTGGAAAGGACCAGGCATGCCCTTGCAGAAGACTGAGAACAGTGGGGTGCGGGCACCAAGTGGATGGAACCCAGAGGGAGAGGACAACAATTATCTACCCATCCAAGGCAGACTGGAAGACTCATCGGTGGGCAGGGGCAGGGAAGGCCCATTGGACCCAATCCCCTCGGCTCCACATCTTTCTGAGCAGCTTTGTTTCCTTCTTGCTAATGCACCTTGTCACTCTGTGGTAGGGTTGGCAGGCTTTCCATGCCCATGTCCAAATAGATCCCAAAGGCCATCTGCCACCCACCCCCACCCCAGTCTCTAGAAGCTCAGCACTCAGTTGACCCTCAGGAAATGTGGGCCAAATTCAATTACTAACCTGTTGTTACCCATGAGATCATAGCCAGCGATGCTGTTGGGAGGATAAAACCTTGACATTTCACCGATGGCACATATCTAGGCAGGCCCACAGCCAACAGTTCCCTGGCAGTGCCTGGACATAAGGGTGAATGCTCACAAGCCCGCCAGCAATCTACTAGCTCACCTGATTCCCACCCTCATGCCGACATGCCAAGAACCTGACCTTTTGATCTTTACTCGTCTGATAAAGAATGGTATCTCCAGTTTGGGTTGAAAACTACATTTCTCTTACTGTGAGTGTGGTTTAACATCTTTTCAGATATACTTGTATATTTCAATTTATACTTTCACTGTTAACATTGAAACTGCTTAGTTTTATTGTATTTATTTTTGTGAATTCTATTTATGCTACATGAGATACTGCTTTCCATTTGTGGTAGTAATATCAAGTTTCCTTCAAAAATAAATTTTTACTTAGGTAAGTTTATTTAAGTAGAACAAGTGAACTGATTTCAACATAGATAGAAAACTTCCATTCGAAAATATGTATTGGGTACTTACCATGTACTAGAGAGTGTCCTAGAACCTTGGGATATAGCTAGAACCTTGGGATATAGCACACACAGAAGAATCCCTGCCTTCATAGACCTTAAGTTCTAGTGGGGAAGAAAGCCAGATACTAAAGAGGAAAATATATAAATGGCAGGAAGAGCAGAGATTGAAATAGGAGACTGAGCTTTTTTTTTTTTGAGATTTGTAGTCTCGCTCTGTCGCCCAGGCTGAAGTGCAGTGGCACAATCTCGGCTCACTGCAACCTCTGCCTCCCGGCTTCAAGTGATTCTCCTGCCTCAGCCTCCCGAGCAGCTGGGATTACAGGCACGCACCACCATGCCCATATAATTTTTGTATTTTTAGTAGAGACGGGGTTTCTCCATGTTGGTCAGGCTGGTCTCAAACTCCTTACCTCGTGGTCCGCCCACCTCAGCCTCCCAAAGTGCTGGGATTACAGGTGTGAGCCACCGCTCCCGGCCCAGAGCTCTTTTTTTTAAATCTGGTTGTCAGTCAGTCTTGTAATGCCAGTAATATATAAGAGATCAGGAAGCCAGGAGTCAGGCCCAGTGAAACTGATGTGTTGCTTACTATACACTGGCATTGATAGTATCATCCAAGAGATGTGACTTCATGAAAACATTCAGTTCTCATGTTAATTTCCTTTCCTTTCCCTCTGTGATCTGAAAGACAAACCAGAGCTAGAGTCGAGATGATGGGAAAGCTTTCTCCAAATGATGAACCTGAATCCTGCTAAATGGTCTGTTGAGAGGCCTGGTTTGTGGAAGGCATACAGAATCACACAAGTGTTTGTATACTGGCTCCAGAGCTTGACTGCTTTCTTTCTCCCAAGCTCCTGCTTCTTGCATTCTAGTTGTCTGACTTCAGGAATTAATCTCTCTGAGCCTCAACAGACTCTACTGAAATTGGGGATAATAATTGTCCGGCTGTGAGGATTCAACCAGAACATTCATGGAAAGCAGTCACTGCAGAGTCTGGAAACATTGTAAATTTAGCTAAGCAAATGTTAGTATTAACTATGATTGCCTATAATTAATTTCCTTCTTAGACTTTATGTCTAAACCTAAAATGAACTTGGAACAGGTGAAACACTCCCCAAAAATAAAAGTGTCACTTGTTTCAGAATACAAAATAAAAAAAGGAAAAGTGATGGACTGGGTTGACTAATGCCCTCTCCAAATCCATGTCCTTCCTGGAACCTTAGAATGTGAACTTAATTGTAGATATAATCGTTAAATAAAGATAAGGTCACACTGGAGCAGGATGGATCCCTAATACATTGTGATGTATGCCCTTTTAAGAAGGGAAGAGGAGACACAGAGACAGAGACACACAAGGTAGAGGTTGGATTTGTGCTGCACAAGCCAAGGAATGCCAAGAACTGCAGCAACCACCAGAGGCTGGGTGGGAAGCATGGAACAGATTCTCTTTCTGAGCTCCCAGGAAGGAACCTGCAAATACCTTGATTTGGACTTCTGGTATCTAGAACTACGAAATTTATTTTACATTTCTGTTGTCTTAAGCTACCTAGCTCAAGGTACTTTGCTATAGCAAGCTGACATGGTTTGGATCTGTGTCCCCAGTCAAATCTCATGAGGAATTCTTATCCCCAACGTTGGAGGTGGGGCCTGGTGGGAGGTGATTGGACCATGGGGATGGTCCTTCATGAGTGGCTTTAGCACCATCACCTTGGTGCTGTTCTCATGATAGTGAGTGAGTTCTTGTAAGATCTTGTTTAAAAGCGTGTGGGACCTTCTGCTTTTCCCTCTTCCTCTTGCTACAGCCATGTGAAGCTTCTTGCTCCCCCCTTTGCCTTCCACCATGATTGAAAGTTTGCTGAGGCCTCCCCAGAAATGAAGCAGATGTCAATATCATGCTTCCTGTACAGCCTGTGGAACCGTGAGCCAATTAAGCCCCTTTTCTTTATAAATTACCCAGTCTCGGTATTTCTTTATAGCAATGCGAGGACGGACTAATACACAGCCCTAGGAAACGAATACAAATGATAATCCATGTTTTTTAAAAATAGCATTTCCTCCTCCTTTAAGTCATATGGTATCCTGGAAAAAACATAGGCTGGAGAGTCAGAGGGACCTAGCTTTTAAAGATTTAAAAGGTAAAAGGTCTTAACTTCTTTGTTTCTTTTCTACCAAAATCTTGGAGTCTAATGCCATTTATTCAGTTACTTACTTACTTTATGTTACAGCATACACAAAAAGTTTCAAAATAATAACAACATTACTACTAATAATAAGACTAGTGAATACGTTATAAAATTTCTCTGCAGTTCTTCTTTAGGCTATATTCCTAGTGAGCTATGCAGTGAAAGTAATGTATTTTAAATGAATTGAAATAACTTTTCCCTTGTAGTTATGCCAGCAACCTGAAACAGAGTTGAATAAATTTGTTTCAGTTTCTTTTTCATCTTTAGTGACTGTATTTTTTTGTTAGGTTTAAAATTTTAAGGTTATGTAAAACATTTACCGAATTCCAAAGTCAAAAATTTAAAAACAAGGTCAATTCAGGGAAGGGTACCTTCCATCCCTATCCCCTCCAAAGTTCTATTGGTAACAATTTTAATTAGCTTCTGGTTTATCTGCTCTATTTGTGAAAATATAGGTAAATGTACACACACACAGCTACATAATACATATATTCCTCCTCTCTCTCACACAAAAGGTAGCACATTTTATACACTGTTCTTCACTTGCTTATTAGACAACAGTACCTCCCAGAGATGCCTGCATGTCACCATACAGAGAGAAACCTCAGAGTGACACAGCGGGGTCCATGGACTCACATCGAGCAGCTTTATTTTGGACTAGGAATGTGTGTCTTGGAGGAGGGACATGGGAAAGAGAGCTGGCCTCAAAACTTGCTGGTCTTGCTCAGGGAAGGGCACCATCATAGTTTACAGCCTGATTGTTTCCAAGAATGGGGTGCATGGGAGTCAGCGTGGGAGCCCCTGATGCCAGCCTGTCTGTGTGGGGATTCAGGGGGTGTGAGTGTGTGTCCCCAGCATGGGCCACTGGTGCCTGGTGGGGCCAGTTGAGGCTGAAGTGAGCCTGTTGGAGCCTACTTACAGGAAGACTTTATCCCGGGGGAGAAAAGATGGCAGTTACGTTAGGGGTGACTCTGGAACAAAACTGTGGCTGTGTGGAGGGGAGGGCATTCCTGAGGACCACATGGTGGCTGTTTCAGAATTTGTTCCTTCCCCAGGCACATGTCTGGCACTTGGGGTCAGAGAAGGCAGTAAGTAAAAGCTGCTAGAATTTTCCCATTGCAACCTCTGCTCTAGAACCCTGTTCCCAAAGTGATAACATAAAAGGAAGCCATATTTCCTGGATCCTGTCCCCACATGCCAGCCTTTCATCCCACCCAGGGGGCTCCTTGTGGATCAGACAATGCCCAGTGGGGAGCCAGTGGAACTGCTGGTGAGCATATGGGAGAAACCCCTCAGGGCCCCTGGAGGTGTGTCAGTGCAACAAGAAGGAGGGACTTCTTAGGCTGTGTGGGAGGTGAAGAAAAACCAAAATGAAAGAAAGAAGAAGGAAGGAAGGAAGGAGGGAGGGAGGGAGAGAAGAAAGGAAGGGAGGGAGGGAAGGAAACAAGGAAGGAAGGAGGCACAGACGGAGGGAAGGAAAGAAAGAGGGAAGGAAGGAGGGAAGGGAGGAACAGAGGGAGGGAAGGAAAGAAGGAAAGAGGGAAGGAAGGAAGAACGGAGGGAGGAAGGGAGGAAGGAAGGAGGCATGGAGGGAGGAAGAGAGGAAGGAAGGATGGAAGGAAGGGAGAAAGGAAGGAAGGAGGGAGGGAGGGAAGAAAGGAAGGGGGGGAAGAAAGAAGGAGGCAAGGAAGGAAGGAAGGAGAGAAGGAAGGAAGGACAGAGGGAGGGACAGAGGGAGGGAAGGAAAGAAAGAAAGAGGAAGGAAGGAAGGAGGGAAGGAAAGAGGAAGGGAGAAACAGAGGGATGGAAGGAAAGAAGGAAAGAGGGGAAGAAGGAAGGAGGAATGGAGGGAGGAAGGAAGGAAGGAAGGAAGGGAGGCTTATCAGGGGCCTAAGTCTTGGCATAGACAGGTGAGGCCCCGGCCAGGTAAATCTGAGCTATTACCTTTACTGGGACTCCTGAAGTGCTCAGACTGGGGAGTACTGAGAAGCATGGGGGACAGTGTAAATTAGTTTCCCAAATCATCCCATTTCTCCCTCCTCAAGCCCTACACAACAGCCATGCCCTGCAGTGTCCTCACCTGAAAAGAAGGGACTGACTAGACAAGCTCCAGGGTGCCCCCGGCTCTGACGTTTTACGGTTCCATGATTTCTACAAAGGACACTGAAGTGCCCCCGAGAACAGACTGTGCCTCTCCACAGAACCGTGAACCATGGATTGTAACGTTCATGCCCCAGGCCTCCATAAAAACAGCATCCATAATGTTTGCCAAGGCCCCCAGGTTAGTCCTGTCTCGGTAGCATGATGTGCGTGTGACTGAAGAGTCGTGTGAGCCTGGGTAGGCCATTTGGAGGCCTGGGTCCTCTGACATTGAGAGCCATGTGCCCTTGGGCAAGTCAGTTAACAAAAGGAAAGCTGCCAGCCAGATGCACATGGCCACATTAAAATCCACAGAGCCACCGTATGTGGGAATGCTCTCTCTTGCTGAGGGGTCAGCCTTTTATACCAAGGCCAATGGTCCAGAAGCAGCAGAGTGAAGCTCGCAGCAGCTTATGGCCCCACCTTTTGTACTGAGGGCCTAGGACTACAGAGAGCCCCTGGGCAAACCCAGATGTCATCGCCAGGCCACTGTGGATCTGTGCATCCTTCTCAGAGGCCGGTGACTGCTGTGGCTTCCTCAGGCTCCTTCTGCAGCCCAGCTGCAGGGATGCCAGTTGTCAGCCCAGCCTGCCTCTGCAGGCCTTCCTTCCAGCAGCTCCTTAGAGAGGATTTTCTTAGCCTGGCCCCAGGGAAGCTCATACATCTACCTTGTGTCCTTCAACCTCTCATATCCTATTGATGGTCTTGAAGGAGAACCCCCATAGAATGTTATTTGGGGTATTACTGTTTAGAGCAGCCTAGAGGTCCCTCCAATTCTGGAGAGGATGGCAGTCCTGTCCTGTTATGCTGCCTGCAAGGGTGAAGCCATTAGGGGAGAGGGCTGGGGAAGGATTCAGGAGGTGGGAGATGTGGCTGTGAAAAGCAGCTTGCAGGGGGCAGCTGGATGGGGCGGCGGAGAGGGCACCACCTCCCTACCAGACCCTGTGGCTGCTTTGCCACATCCTTACATAGTTCCTGTGGTGCCTCTCCCTACCCCAAGGGGTGGTTCAGATATATGGGCACCTGACCCCACTCTAAGCTGATACCAGTCCTTTCCCAGAGTTAGTGCAATTGGAAATGAGGAAACAGCAAGGCCCTTTCTGATGGCAGAGGCTGAGGAATGTGAGGCTTGGGAACTGTTGGCTTCTGTGCTTTCTGGCTGGTGGAGGAGTTAGAGCCCTGACACCTGGGCTTGTGGAGATGGGGGGTGGGGGGTGGGGGGCAGAGAGAGAGAGAGAGAGAGAGAGACAAAGAGAGAGACAGAGACAGACAGAGACAGACAGAGGAAGGCTGGTGGATTTTGGAGTTGGAGCAGCTGGCCCCAGTTGTCTGACACCAGCCACACTCCTGACCTTCTGTAGTTAGGACATGCACGTCTTCCCTGAGTTTCATGAGCCAATACATTTCCATTTTGTTACAGAGAATTCAGATTGGATTTTACTACATTCTTGCATTGCTTAACGATGGAGATATGTTTTGAGAAATGTGTTGTTAGGTGATTTCGTCATTGTGCGAACATCACAGAGTGAACTTACACAAACCTAGATGGTACAGCCTATTACACACCTAGGCTACAAACCTGCACAGCATGTTACTGTATTCAATACTGTAGGCAATTGTAACATAAGAGTAAGTATTTGTGTATGTAAACATAGAGAAAATATAGTAAAAATACAGTGTAAAAGATAAAAAATGGTACACCTGTACAGGACACTTTCCATGAACGGAGCTTGTAGGGCTAGAAGTTACTCTGGGTGAGTCAGTGGGTGAGTGGTGAGAGAATGTGAGGGCCTAGGACATTTCTGTACACTGCTGTAGACCTTAGAAACACTATAGTTAGGCTATACTAAATTAAAAAAAAAACCTTTTTCTTTCTTCAATAATAAATTAACCTTAGCTTACTGTAACTTTTTTACTTTACGGTAAGATTACTGTAACTTCCTTACTTTATAAACTTCTATTTTTTTAACTTTTTGACCATTTCATAATAATATTTTAAAACACAAGCACATCAGCTATGCAAAAATATTTTCTTTATATCCTCATCCTGTATTTTTCTATTTTTATAATTTTTTATTTTTCAATTTTTAAGCTTTTTTTTTTTGTTAAAAATGAAGACACAAAGGCACATTAGCCTAGGCCTATACAGGGTCAGGACCATCAATATGATTGTCTTCTACTTCTTTATCCTGTCTCACTAGAGGGTCTTTGGGGCCATAACACTCATGGAACTGTCGTCTCCTAGGATAACACTGTCTTCTTCCGGAATCTTCCTGAAGGACCTGCATGAGGCTGTTTTACAGTTAACTTTTTAAAAAGTAAGTAGGAGTACACTCCAAAATAATGGTTAAAAGTATAGTATAGTAAATACATAAACCAATAACATAATCATTTACTGTTACCATCAAGTATTATGCACTACTGTACATAATTGTATATGTTACACTTTTATACAACTGGTAGTGCAGAAGTTTTGTGTTTTTATTAACCTGGGCTCTATGGATCTGATCACAGTAGTTTGTTGACCAGATCGCCAGAAACAAGTGAGTAATATGTTGGGCTATGACTTTACGACACCAATGATGTCATGCGGTGATAGGAATTTTTCAGCTCCATTATAATCTTACAGGACCAATGTCATATATGCAGTCTGTTGTTGACCAAAACATTGTTATGTGGTGTGTGACTGTACTTGTAAGAGAAAGTCCTGCGTAACACAGATAGTCCAGGGAGCCACATTTTATTCTCTCTCTCTCTCTGTGTATATTTTTCAGACTCATTTGGAGTCAGTTGCCCCTTTACCCCTAACTACTTGAATTTGCTCCTAATGACAAGAACGTTCATTTAAATATCCACAGTACAATAATCAAAACCATAAAGTCAACATTGATACAGTATTATATTATCCATGTTGCTTAAATTTCACCAATTTTCCCAATAATGTAGTAATCCCCTGCGTAGCAAGATCAAGAACCATTGAGCCTAAGCCCATGGGCTGAGCCCTGGCTGCACAATAGTAGAGTCACCTGGGGTGGAGAGGAGCTTTTAAAAACTACAGATGCCTACCTCTAGAAATTGGATCGATTGGCCAAGTCGTGTGTATTTGTGTGTCTGTGTTCATGGTTACTCTGATACACACTTAGTGTGGAAACCATTGATCTAAGCCAGTATATGGTCACTTCCTTTTATTTCTTTCTCATTTGTCAGTTCCCGTTAGTTCTGGGTGGGTATACTGGGTTGAATAGTGTTCCCTAAACGTTCATATCAGAAAGTGACCTTCTTTGAAAATAGGGGTTTTGCAGATGTAATCAAGTTGAGATGAGTCATGTTGGATTAGGGAGGGCACTAAATTCTACAACCAATGTCCTTCAAGAGGAGGGAGATTTGAAGACATAGAGACCCACAGAAAGGAAGGCCATGTGATGATGGGGCAGAGTGTGAAATGATGCTGCTATAAGCCAAGCAATACCAAGGATTGCTGGGAGCCAGCAGAATCTAGAAAAAGGCAAGGAAGGATTCTTCCCTAGAGCCTTCAAAAGTAACAAGGCGCTGCTGAACATTTCAGATTTCTAGCCTCCAAATCTGTGAGATAATTAAATTTCTGCCGTTTACCTAACCAAGTTTCTGGTAATTTGTTACTGTAGGAAAATAATATAGTGGTCAAGGGACCTAGTTAAGCCAAGATGGCCCAAGGGCAATTTTACTGGGTCTTTTGTCAGCTATTCTTTCCTAGTAACAAAAGATTCACAGGAGTGTGGTAGTCTTTAGCGTTGGCTGGTGGGGGCGCCTGGGAGGATTACACTTCTCTGGCTCTTAGAGAGAGGTGTGGCTTGTAAACAGATTCTTGAGGTATCTTCCAGGACAGGCTAGATTACGCTTGACACTTCTGGGTGTACATTTACAAGTCCGTGGGTGATCCAAACCGTGCTCTCATCCTCTGACGCAGAGACCAGTGATGCTTCAGATGGGGGTTGCTCAGATGGACAAGGCCCGGGAGTAAGATGGCTTACTGGGAATCCACAAAACCTATTTGTTACAGGTTTCAAGTGAGACTCTTGATTCTATTCTTGCCACAAGGGGCAAGGGAGTAGAGTCTGAGTTTCCTGAATTTTAATGGGCTTTTGTTACTAAATATTTCTCAGTTTCATCTTTTACTAATAGAAGTCGTGAAGCAGTTGCCTCTCCCAACCCTAAAAGTCCCTGAACTTGTGGACTCTATTCCCTTCCATCCCTGCTTGCAAACTGGTTAATTCTTTTGTAAGCCCATCTCTTTCTTATAATGTCTTGCCAAACACAAGCAAAAGCAGCCAACATGCAATACTAACCTTGTGTTTTCAGCAACTTCTCTTGGAGTGATAAGTTCCAAGTTAGGTCTGTCTCCTGTCAGTGGCAACTTTGTCAAATATTTGCCTCTTCATAAAAGGGACCATTTTCAATTTTGGTCAACAACAATGCTTTGGTCGACAGCATCCTCCTTGCCCCTCCCAGCCTCTAAGCCAATGTACCTATTTTAGTTTTTTATTTAATCAGCAACATTCTTTTAGTATCTTCTATGATTGGCTACGTAACAAATGACCCTCAAAAAAAATCTTAGTGGTTGGCCGGGTGCGGTGGCTCATGCCTGTAAACCCAGCACTTCGGGAGGTCGAGGTGGGTGGATCACAATCACCTGAGGTCAGGAGTTTGAGACCAGCCTGGCCAACATGGTGAAACCGTGTCTCCACTAAAAATACAAAAAATTGCCAGGCTTGGTGGCGGGCACCTGTAATCCCAGCTACTCAGGAGGCTGAGACAGGAGAATCGCTTGAACCCAGGAGGCAGAGGTTGCAGTGAGCCAAGATCATGCCATTGCACTCCAGCCTGGGCAACAAGAGCAAAACTCCACGTCAAGAAACAACAACAACAACAACAAAAATCTTAGTGGCTTCTAAGAACAGAGGCCTTTCTTTTTTCTCACTCAAGCAAACACTCACTTGGAAGTTAACTTAGTAACCTATCTTTTCAGTTTATAGGTCTCCGGATCAAGAGGAGCCACATCCTGACTTGATGCAAGGACCACTCTGTATCCCCCAGGGGCCTCAGACTTGATGTTGTGGAGGTGTGGGGCTTTGGCTGCTTCCCTGGAAGGATGGAGAGTATATTTTGCCTGTGGAAGGGAGAGTGTGACCAGAAGGGCAGATTGAATAGTCACTAGCTCTGCTTACAGATGATTTTGGGTGTTGACCTCCTGGGCATGTCCAGGGTGGTACCTCCCTTCCCCCATCGAGACAGGAGTGAGCTGCTTTGTCCAGTGGATTGTGAGTAGAAGTTATGTGTGTCTCTTCCAGCTGGAAGCTTTAAAAGCCAGTGTGGCCACACAATCATGGCTGTTCTGTCAGCCAGGACCTGGACCGAGGGGACATGGAACAGAACCCCCAGGTAGCATGAGTGAGAAATAAACTCTTGTCTTTTTAGGCCCTAAGATTTGAGGAAGTGTATGTGAAGTCGTTTCGGGGTTGTTTGTTACCACTACACTATTTTGGCTGATATAGAAGGAAATACTCCTCTTCTGCTTTGCACAGGGTGGTGCTTGGAGCTGCAGCATCCATCTTACAACTGGTAGAAGACAAGTTAAAAAAAAAAAGGTAACGATTACATATAGAGAAAGGATGGCGGATGGTGGAGCAGAAAGATGCAAAGGACCTGGGTCCCCAGGGTAGAGCCATCAAATTCACCCCTGGGGCTTTCCTACCACCAAGCTTCCTGTGATGTGAGAAAACAAAGCCCCTTTTATCATGGATGACTGGGTATTATTACTCGCAGCTGCACAGGTGTGGTAGACAGAGGAATGACTCGCCAAAGGTGCTCATGTTTTAATCCCTAGTACCGGAGAGTGTGTTTCTGATATGGCAAAATGGACATTGCTGGTGTGATTAAAGTATGGATCTTGTGGTGGGAAGATTATTCCCATTGACCATGGATTATTCCCATGGGTCCCATGTAAACAAGTCCAAGGGAGGCAAGAAGGTCAAAGTCAGTAGAAGATGGAACGATGAAAGCAGAGCTTGAAGTGATGCATTTTGAAGACAGACGAAGGGGCCAGGAGCTAAGAAATGCAGGCAGCCTCTAGGAGCTAGTAAAGACAAGGAAATGCATTTTTCCCTGGAGCTGTGAGAAGGAACCCAGCTCTGCCAACACCTTGATTTTAACCCTGTAAGTCCTATTTTGGACTTCTGACTTCCAGAAATGTAAGAGAATAAATTGGTGCTATCTTAAGCCACTCACTTTGTGGGAATTTGTTACTGGAAACGAATACAGATGGCATCCACTAACCTCACGACAGCAGACCACACCATCATCTCCCCAGCAAAGTAGCCTCTGGAAGGGAACGGCTAACATTTCCTTGAGTATTTAAAAGGAGAATCAACAAGGTATATGAGAATTAGGGAGCAGAAAGGAAGGAACATTTTCCACTTAGGTTATAACTCATTTTCCTCCAGCCACAACAAAAAAAGGAGTGTCCTGGGAAATGAGTATCGTGTTCCGGTCGATCACCTCGTCATGAATGCAGCTTCCAGCTACCCTGGACTGCAGTGCTGTAGACCTGGGACGCCTTTAGATTACCGTGATATTAGAGTTCACAGTAATGCCCAGTGCGGGGAAGAGGTGAGATACAGCTGAGGAGGGGCCAGAGCTGGAGCCAGGCTATCTTGGGTCGTGGGGGTCAGGCAAAGTGGCTGGCCGGGAGATCTGCTGAGTGGGTCAGCCGGTCAGTCCTGAGCAGCCGGGCCTCTGGTGCCCAGGTCCACGTGACTGGCACCCTTTCTAGGGGTCTAGTACTTGTTTCTTACGGCTCACAAATCTTGAGGGACAGTTGATAACTGGAGGGTAGAGTTTTCGCTTCCTCGGAAGGGCAAGGGGAGGCCACCGTAGAAGCGCCCGCTCGCGCCGGACCTCCCGCCCGGGAAGCCAGGGCAGGGCGGGGCCGGGGAGGGAGGGGAGAGGAAGGTGAGGAGGGAGGAGACGGGCCGGGAGGGGTGGAGAGGGAGAGGGCGTGCGCCTGGGGCCTCACCTGCTGGGAGCTGGAGGAGGCGCGGAGCGAAGCCGGCCCTGCCAGCCACGCGGAGAAGCAGAGGCAGGTGAGCGCGATGCAGCCGGCGCCGGGTCTGGGGCTCGGGGACTCCTCCCTGCACCGCTACCTGGACGGCGACTTCTGGAGCCTCAAGAACGAGCTGCGCGGACTCCTCGGCGGCGCCCGCTCTTCCGGCAAAGGTACCGCGCTGCGGCCGTCGCCCCTGCCCGCGCCCCCGAAGCCGCCGAGCGTGTCCCCTCGGTCCCCGGAGCGTCGCTGCGGACAACGCCCTGGCGAGGGCGAGGTGGGGTGTGCGCCGCGCCTGAGAGGCGGGTCCCTGCCTCGCCGCAGGTGACGGGCTCCCCTCCCCAGGTGTGTGGGCGCAGCCGGCCGCCGCCGACCTCTTCGGCCCCCTGAGAGGTGCCCTCTCCTCCCGAGCTCCCTCCCCCACGAAGAGTCGGGTGCAGGGCTGGGCCCCGCGGTGACAGGCGCGGTGTCTACGAAGACCGTGTGGCTGGAAGATCGGCCTTGCTGGTTTGTTGAACCTGTTTCTTGAGTCCCCGCCCCGCGATGTCCCACCCTTGGTGGGGAGAAGGGGACAGAAAACCGCGATGGGATGGGCGCACAGGGATGGAGTGGCCCTGTCCAGGGCGTGTCTGGGCGTCGGGGTGGGACAGGCTTACAGGACCCCCTCGGAGTGCAGGTGTGCGGAATGGGCAGCTTCAGCGGGGCGGTTTGGTTATAAGAAGAACTCAGGTCCTCGATGTCATCCGATGCCAGGACAGCCCTGAGAAGCAGGCAGAGGGTTGAGTGCTTGAGCTGCACTGGAGATAGAGAGATGGTTCAGTCACCGGACAGTCAGGACCAGAACTCGGCATTCGTGTCTCCTGTGGGCTCTCTTTCTCATACCCATTTCAAGCAGTCTGAAAAGCCCAGTTGGAGGCATGCTTTGGAGTTCTAGCTTAAGAAAGGCCCTATTAAAAATGTCAGTATGTGCCCGTGGAGGATTAATTGGTTAGCCATGCCCACTTAGCCCTCGTTTAATTTATTTTGCGGAAATGAGAGGGAAGGAGATGGCTTGAGTGAACGTCAGGCTGTCCTTGGAGAATCTGGGGTTCCTGCACTGAGGTTACCTAGTGGGGAGTTGGGGGCGTTTGAAAGTTGAAAAGTGAGAAGTGTGGGATGGTGGGTATATCCATCAGTGTCTCGCCGACTTCTCTTTCCCTCTCTCTCATACATAGTTCTTTAAGTTATGGTTCTCAAAGTGTGGTACAGGGAGCCCTGGGGGGACCCAAGAGCATTTCAGGCGGTTCATGAGTACAAACTGTTTTTATAGTAATACAAAAAAAGTTATTAGCTTTTTCACTCTCATTCTCTCACTAATGTACAGTGGCAGTTTCCAGAGACCACATGATGTGTAGTATTCCAGCAGAAAAAATATAGAAGCAGACATGAGAATACAGCTGCTTTCTATTAAGACAGACAGTAAAGGGATTTGTAAAAATATAGAACGATGCTACTCTTCTTGCTAACTTTTTTTGTTTTGGAAAATAGTTATTTTCATAAAATACACTAATAGATTTATTAGTTATTTTCAAATGAATTAATAAACATTTGAAAACTTTTCTGTTTTAATTTCTAATACGGGAAATATCAGTGGATATAACCCACCCAAATAAAAGCTCTTTGGGGACCTCATAATTTTTTTTTTTTGAGACGGAGTCTGACTCTGTTGTCCAGGCTGGAGTGCTGTGGTGTGATCTCAGCTCACTGCAACCTCCACCTCCTGGGTTCAAGCGATTCTCCTGTCTCAGCCTCCGGAGTAGCTGAGATTACAGGCACCCACCACCACGCCTGGCTAATTTTTTGTATTTTTAGTAGAGATGGGGTTTCACCGTGTTGGCCAGGCTGGTCTTGAACTTCTGACCTCAAGCGATCCGCCTGCCTCGGTCTCCCAAAGTGCTGGGACCTCATAATTCTTAACAGTGCAAAGAGTTCCTAAAATCAATGTTTGTGAACGGCTGCTTTAAGTCATACTGAGTTCAGTCGCATCTGATTAGACACACATCCCCTCCTATATTCCTCAGTCTTTTCAGTTTGTTCCTGGGCTATCACCTCTTTGTCTTTCAGTTTAGATAACTGCAGTTTAAAAGACGGAACAAAATTGTAATAACCAAACTACTGATTTGAGGCAAGCAGAAGGGACTTCCTTGTGAATTCCATAGGGACAGAGGAAAGGCATGCCTGGATAAGGGGTCCAGTGTGGCAGTTTATTTCCTGTGTGACCATTGTCCTGGATTTTTTTTTCCCCCTTATTGACTTACATTTGTTCATCTACAGAATGCAGATAATATCAATGCTGCTGTGTTATGAAGCTTGAATGAAAAACTGTTGCGTGGGCATGGAGTAAACACTGGTTGTGGTGGGATACCAAAACACACTTGCACGCAAAGGGAAAAGCAAAAATCCCATTACCCTGACAAACACTTTTCCATTCTTTCCAGTTCTTGTTTATTTACTTTATAGTTCAGAGTTGTAGTAATGGCATGAACAACATTTCATATTTTTTCCCCAAATGGTTAAAGATTCTGATATCTATCTATTTGAAAGTTCATATTGTACTATCAGATTTTACCTTAGCCCATGTTAGAAGATGGCGATCTTGATTTCTGGATGTTTTAACATTCTCCTAATGTAAAATGTTATAGAACATTAGGAGATGAGAAATAAAACTTCCTCCTCTCTGAGGCAATGCCAGATCTCCTGTGGCTTGTCCCCACCTTACCCCAAACAGGTCTTTGCAGTTAAAGTAGGTGTAGGGGAGAGGGTTGTGGCAGCGTAGTGGTGAGTGCTGTGTGTACATAGTGAGAAGTTTGTACAGGGCCAGGCAATCCCAGGGCATAAGAGCTCAGGAAACAGTTTTCCTCCAAAAGAGGTTGTGCAACTTCCTACACACACTGGGTGGCCACTCTCCTCAGAGGAGGAGTTCATTCCCAGGGTGCTGGCCATCGGCTCCCAGGGGCAATGTAGGCACAGCCCAGGTTCCTCTTCTAAGGAGTGACTTTCTCTCTCCCAAGGATGAGCCTGCTGGGCTAAGTCCTCAGACTCCGGGAGCATCCTGGCTGCTGTGCCCGCCCCTGTCCTATTGTGCATCTGACCAGGTGTGCTGTTTGTTGTGACAGCAGGAGCATTCTGGGTGACTGGCGGCTCCTCATTGGGATTTGCAGGGAATGTTAAAAAGCAACATCTGAAATGAGATAAGCTTTTGAGATTTTTCTGAGTTTGTTTATTGGTGAAGGGAAGCTCTCTCAGGAGAGGCTGGCTGGCAGAGGTAGGTACAGCACACACCTCTCACCCGGAGAACTGAGAAAGCCCCCCCATAGGATTCTGTTCTCTCAGGGCCTTCTCACACCCTTCTTCTCCCACTTGTAGCTCCTGGCTGCTTCCTTCTCCCTTTCTTTCTCTTTGTCCCCTTCTCTTTCCTTCCCTAGAGCAATGCACATTTCTCTTCCTAACCTTTTCATGTGTTTAGCTTTTCCCCATGAGTATTTCATGAACACGTTCTCACTAGGAAGAGTCAAATAATTTGGACAACTTGAAAGTTTCCTAAAATGTTTCCTCCTACAGCCATTTTTTTTTATTGTGGCAAAATACACACTATATAAAATTGACCATTTAACTGCTTCTGAATGTACAACTCAGTGGCATTAAGTGCGTTCACATTGTTGTGCAACCATCACCACTGTCCAGCTCCAAAACATTTCATCATCCCAAATGGAAACTCTGTACCTGTTAGACACTAACTCCCCACTCCCCTCTTCCCCCAGCCCCGGCAACCCTCATTCTACATTCTGTCTCTCAGCATCTGACTATTCCAGGTACCATATAAGTGGATTCATTTAGAATTTGTTCTTCTATGACTGGCTTACTTCACTCAGTATAATGTCCTGGAGGTTCATCCATGTTGTAGCATGTGTCAAAATTCCCTCCTTTTTGAAGGCTGAATAATATTCCATTGTATGTATAGACTACATTTTGATTACTCTTTTTTTTTTTTTTTTTTGAGACGGAGTCTCGCTCTGTGGCCCAGGCTGGAGTGCAGTGGTGCAATCTCGGCTCACTGCAAGCCCCGCCTCCCGGGCTCACGCCATTCTCCTGCCTCAGCTTCCTGAGTAGCTGGGACTACAGGCACCCACCACCACACCTGGCTAATTTTTTGTATTTTTTAGTAGAGACGGGGTTTCATCACGTTAGCCAGGATGGTCTCGATCTCCTGACCTCATGATCTGCCCGCCTCGGCCTCCCAAAGTGCTGGGATTACAGGCGTGAGTCACTGTGCCTGGCCTACATTTTGATCATTCTTGTATCTGTTGATAGACATTTGGCCCCCAGCCACTTTGTTGTGGTTGTTTTAGTGTGTTTGGTTGTGTTAGTGTGGTTTTTCCGCATTTTTCTATTTTTCTTGGAGTTCATATACACATGTGCACATCATTTTGTTATATAAATAGGATCTCACTGTGTGTTTTATTCTACAGCTTTCTCTTTTGAAATTGAATTCTTATTTTCATTGATGAAATGTATGAAAATATTTAATGAACTTATACTGTGAGGTTTGTAATGAAAAACAGCCATGCCCTCCCTCAACCCTCTTCATCCCTCATTTCTTTTCCTTGTGGGCCACTACTCTCAATTCTCTTACTTCATTCTCATGTAATTTACTCCATATTCCTAAGTAACATGTCTAAAGAGCCACCTCTTGGTTATCTACTGGCTTACTCTTATAGAAAACGAATGTTTCTCACTACAGCACCATTTTCCTTTTCCTATTCTCTGAAAGTCAGTGTATCACCATTTTTACTTAAATCAGTATCCAGTGTTCACATTGTTATTGCTATAAAAATACTGTTTCCAGCCATGCCCCACAGTGTACCATATTTTATTTCCTTCTGTCACAACCTTTTTATTTCTTCAGAGATAATTGTCTCCTTTATCCATTTGCTTAGTTTTCTATAAGCCCATCACTCACTGACCTCCACACTAGACAGATATGAAACAGAACAGATACAACAGATTTATCACAGGACAGAGCAGTTCCACTCGTCCCACTGTGATCAAACCTGTCAGGTAATTGGCAGTTCCACCCCTCCTGCCCCTCATGGACACATTCATTCTGGAGGCCTCCTTCCACAGCTTCAGTCCGGATGGGCTCTTCCTGCGTCTTCACCACCCCCTTGGGAATTTTCCTTGCATTTCCTCCATGGTCAAGTCACTGTTTTCCCAGGCTTTCTCTTTCTTGGTTACCCTTTGTAGAAGCTTAGAGAGGACCACAGATTCATTAAGGCTACTCCTGTTGAGAGGTGTGGTTTGTGTCGCCTCCCCTTGATCTTGGGTAGTTTTATGACTGCTTTGGTCAACAGAAGATAGCTGAGATGACAGTGTGACAGTTTCCAGGCTCAGGCCTGAAGAGACTGGGACCTTCCACTTCCCATCTCTTGAGGCCCTGAGCTTCCATTTAAAAAGTGCTGCTTGCCTGTGGCTGCCATTGCTATGAGGAAGTCCAAGCTGATGCCTGTTGAGAGGCTGCATAGAGAGAGGTAAAGAGATGCTAACATTCCCAACTGCTTCAGCAGACAGCTATTTCTGAGATGGGAACTCAGACACTGGAAAGCAGAGAAAAGCCATCCCTATTTGTTTCCTGTCCACATTCCATGGAATAATAACACACTGTTGTTTTAACTTTCCGAGTTTTGGGTGCAGTCTTACATAGCCATAGATAACCAAAACAGTCTCTTATCTAATAGCTTCCTAAGAGAGGGTACCTGGGAATTAACTTTTCGAGATTTTTAAAGATTTTCATGTCTGAAAATGTTTACTGTTCAATTGACTGAAAGTTTTTGTGGGTGTAGAGTTCTAGGCTGGAAATAAAATTTTCCTTAGATTTTTAAAGGTGCATGCCATAACTTTCCAATATCCAACATTGCAATGAACAAATCTGACCCTTTCTGCACCTTGATCTGTTATATATGACTTGTTTTTGTCCCTCCCTACTGGAAGCTTCTTTTTGGCATTGTTGTATTATAGAATTTCATGATGGGGTGGCTTGACATGGGTTCTTTTAGTGCATTGGGCATGCAGTGGGCCCTTTTAATATGGAAACTTGTGTTCAGTTATCTGTACTGTTCTGTCATCTGGAACTCCTTTTGCTCAGATGTTGTACCTCCTTGCCTTGTCTTCTAATATTTTTCCTTCCTTTTTTATTTTCCATCTCTTTGTCTTTTGGTTCTGTGTCCTGGTGAGATTTTCTCAACTTTTATCTTCCAACTCTTCTTGAGTTATTTTTAAATATCTGCTGTCATATTTTTAATTTTCAAAAGTTCTCTGTTCCTTTTTCAACAGCATCTGTTCTTGTTTTCTAGTTATAAAAATCTCTTATTTTTCAGAATAGTTGATAGTAAGTTTTGAAGTGTTCCCTTCTATTCTCTGCTTTGTCTCTGTTTTCTTTGAGTTCCTTTATTCCATTTGTATTTTTGACCTTTTTTATGTTTGAGGCTTTCATTAAATGTCAGGTCAGTCATGGATGTTTGTTCACAATATGGGAAATGTGAATAGAAGGCTGGTTGCAAATGGCGGGGTTTGTTGGGCCCGGGCTTTCTTGATCACAGAGTAACTTCCTTTGGCAGATCAGTATTGGTGTTTTGTTTAGGACAGGGTTAATTCCTCCAGTGATGAATCTTTTAGTCTCCTGAGAGGTGGATGGGTGGAGAATGAGGGGCAGATCCTAATCCTCCTTCCTGAGACCTTGGAGGCCCCAGGCTCTCCATGCACAACGTGAGGCTGGTTAGAAAACCATCCTCCTTTCTCAAGACTTGCATTTGTATACCTGATTTTGTTAGAACAAATCACTTGATGCCATCTTCTGGGAAATGGTCTAGGGTGTCCACAGCATGGAGGCCACCCCACATGATTGGCTGCACCCTGTGCATTGGTAAGTGGTGGCTCTCACTGAGGGGTCTCCTACTGGCTCCAGTGTTCCCCATGTGGGTCCCACAGTTAGCCTCCCATGCCACCCTCTCCTAACAGTAAACCCTCAGGCTTTGATGGACTTGGAGAGGGGACTTGAGGATGCAGCTGCTTTCAGAGGTGCATGGAGCCTCCACTTCCCAAGCATTTATACAACCCAGTGGCACCAGCTAGTTGGCTCCGTCAGCCCTGTAGACTTAGCATCCTCTGTTCTGCTAAGTGAGTTACCACTTGCCTGTTCACTGTCTAGGTGACAGTGTGTTGCTGCTATCCCTCGTGGAATGTCAGTTTCTCTTGAGTTCTTGGTTGGTCCACGTGGTTTTATGCCATAAATCATTTTATTATTGAATATCCCTGTTTAAATATGTTCTGATATCCAGAACTTGTAGACCTGTATTTATGTGTTAGTGTAGAAAGGATTGTCTCATTCTTTTAAAAGCTGCATCAGTAACAATTGTACCAAATTTAATTATGCCATGCCCCATCAAAGGACACTCAGGTCATGTTCAGTTTGTGTTATCTTAAACAATGCTGCAGGGAGTACCCTCGTATTCATAAGAAGAGATTTCTCTGGATTAGGTTCTAGAGGTGATGCCGATGGGACAGAGGTATCTGCATGGAAAACGCTGACCAATATTGCCAGATTATCTTCCAAAGGCTCCAGTTTTATTGCTCCCAAGACTATATCAGGCAATTTCAAATCCAGTTTAATTGTGGGCGTGTAGAGCCTAATCTAAATCCCAGTGTTCATCTCTTCATCATTTGAGATACTGTGTCAGGCCCTGGAGATGGGCCGGTGAGTGGTGAGGTGGGCCCTGGCTCCCAGGAGCTTCTGCAGCACATGAACCATGACTGACCTATGACACTGGCAGCCTGCAGCCCCACAGTCACTTTTGGCATTCTCTTCTCCCCATTAACATACATAAATATCCCAGACATCCTATTTTCTGCCATTCCCAGAATTTCAAGTCTCCAAAGGAGCACAAAAAGATTTTGGCAAATCATAGGTTTTTAATGTGTAAAATATGCCTTTGTATTTGTAAACTTGAATGTTAAGTTTTATGAGCATTTATTGGATGTAGGGTCCAGACCTCTAGATAGGCAGTTGAGAGAGCTAAGGATGCTCCATGATACAGCCTGGGACAGGATCCCTGTCAGCCATCATTTAGGGACCTGATAGTGGGGAATCCACTGGCCCTGTCCTTTGGAAGCTACAGTCTAATGTGGCCAGGTCCGGTGGGACACTGGGATGTCAGCGTGTTTGAATGTTGGGACATGGGGATTTTTCACAGTGACAACACTGTTAGGTTGTGGCTGACGTGGACAGTTGTCCTTGGTCCTGTCTAGGGGCCACAGAAATACAAGCTGTTCATGTTGGAGGGGATCTTGCCCTTTTTTGAAGGAGGAAACAAAGGCTTAAGGAGGAAGTGACTTACTCAAGTGTCATTCTCTTTTCTCTATTAAAATATGTAAATATCCCAGGCATTCCTGGGATGTGGAGTGGCTTGGAGTGGCAAAGCCAAGAATAGGACCTCTGGGCTTCCGATTCCTCAAGCAGTGATTTCCAGTGTGTTTATCTGGAGTATTATGGTGTTGCGTCAGCTTAATAGGGCTGCCGTAATAATGTACCCGGGCTAGGTGGCTTAAATAACAGAAATGTATTGTCTCAGAGTTCCGGAGGCTGAGAATCCAAGATCAAGGTGTCAGTGGGTGTCGGCAGGGTTGGTTGCTTCTGAGGGCTGCAAGGGAGAATCTGCTGCAGGCCTCTCTCCTTGGCTTGTTGGTGGCTGTCTTTTTTCCTGTCTTCACATGGTCTTCCCTCTGTACCTGTCTGTCTTCAAATTTTAGAAGGACACCAGTCAATATCTGAATTTTTAGGGGGAGCGGGGGACACTATTCAGCTTGTAACACACAGTGAGTGTGACAGAGTAAGAACAAGAAGTTACACGTGCACCCGCGTGTTTGTGTGTGTATAAAACAGAGTTTTATACATTTAAATAGAAACTCCCTACCTCTGACCTCAACTGGAAAGTCATTTCTTGAGAAGTGCTGGATCCCCAAGCCTAGCACAGTGGTTGTCATCGAGTAACATCTCAGAGAGCCTGTGCTGAGTAGATGGGCAGGTATGAAGAGGTAGGAAGTCAAAACCCTCAGGGCTGGGAGGGATCCTAAGGAATTTGGTTTAACCAATCTCTTATCTGTGGTTTCCTACCATGCTTTTGCACGCAAGCACTCAGAGAAAACACAAACTGGAGAATGGTGAGGGAGTTGGGGCAGGGGGTGGGCTGGTGGTTTTCCAAGTGTCTGCCTCCAGCGGTGAGAGAGGAGAGAGGCGGAGAGGTGATTGCACGTTTTCTTGCGAGTCTCACAAACCTGCAAGGGATAGAATTCTTCCAGTCCCTGTCAGACTCTGTGCCCCCTGACTGTGTTAAAATAGGGAGACATTTAGCACAGCTTTCAGTCCTGGAAGGAAACAGCACGGTGAGGAGAGGGTCCCAGGGATGGGGACAGCTATTGCTGTCTTGTCTTACACACATCCACCAGCTAAAATCGTGACAGTATGTGGATTTAAACACAAGTCATAGGAGAACAAAGCATGTTTTTGATATGGGTAATTTTGTAAAGGCTTTTTAAGTATTTGGAGACCATCTCCTCCCAGGTCCAGCATCAAGACAATTATTGTAGTGCTGCTCTGTACTCTGACATGTGACTTTATTAAGGGGCATTGTCAACCTCTTAGATCACTTTCCTCAACCTTAAATGAATAATTGTACACTAGAAAAAATATTGTTGACTATGTGTAAGGAAAATTTTCCTTCTTGTTCTTCTTTCCTTGGCAAGAAATTTTGGGGTGATATATTGTTATATTAATAACTTGCTTTCCTGGATGGGAGGAAAGTTTTGGTGTCCCTGACACCTTGGATCCTGATGCCATTGGGTGGCAGAGCTCCTGGGGCCCTTCGTCACCACACTTGTCTGAGTGCTGCAACCACTTCTACAACATGGGCCGTGAAAAGTGAAGGACAGAAGGTGGGTGAATTTGGGGAATTCTCTAGTTTTCTTTTCTATCACACCAAGGCTTGGGGCTTTCCTGAACTCTCAATAGTAATAGCATCCTAAAATTGTTTGAGTGCATACAAAGATAACTCAAAATGGATTAAAGACTTAACTTAAGACCTGAAACTGTAGATCTACTAGAAGAAAACACAGGAAAAAAGCTTCTTGACATTGGTTTGGGTAAAGATTTTTTGGATATGATCCCAAAAGCATAGGCGATAAAAACTAAAATAGATAAATGAGATTGCATCAAACTAGAAGAGGGGAGATTCACATAACATACAACTAACCATTTTAAAGTGTACAATTCAGTGGCATTTAGTGTGTTCTCAATGTTTTGGAAACATTGTTTCTATCTCATTTTCATCACCCCAGAAAAACACACTGTACCTATTAAAGAATCACTCCCTTTCACCCTTCACTTATTTCCCTGGCAACCACCATCTACTTTCTGTCTCCATGGAGTTGTGTATTCTGGACATTTCATATAAAAGGTTATAATAGGTGACCATTTGTATCTGGTGGCTTAGCATGCTTTTGAGTTTCATTCTAGCTGTGTACTTCCAAACCTATCAACTATGTAATACCAATACTTCAATTCTTTTTGTGGTTGAATAGTGCTGTGTTGTATGCATATATCAGGCAGATAATTTCCTATATTTAAAAACACAGGTGAAGTCTCTTACAGTTTGTTTTGTCCCAGGCCACATGGGAAAGTGGCAGTGGGGCTGAGCCTTTTGGCTACCCAGTCCCTACATTTTTTTCTAGAATATGTTCTCTTTTCTTAAACTTGCATAGTGACTGTTCTGATTTATTTTCCAAAAATTTACTAATTTTTCCAGTAACTAACATCATGAAATAAGGGTGCAAGGGTTTGGAAAAAAACAAACCCAAGTTCAGAGACTCAGGGAGGAGGGCCGGGTGGAGGTCATTCAGTGCTGCCAGGCCTTTGGTGGGACACGGGATCCTCGATTGACCAGGACTGAGGCTGGCGGAAGGACCAATGCACCATTCAGAGCACTTTGCACCATTTCTTTGAGATCATCCATAATTTCTGTGTCTCCGCCCAAGGCTTTCAGAATTTTTCCTAGCCCTTAGAACTCCCCTCACCTGCCTTCCCTTGTGGTGCCTTCCGGAGCTGCCACATCACCACAGGGATGATTTCTATTCTTGTGAATGTGCCTACACATTTCTCCTCTTCTGCTCCTCCCAGTGAAATCCCACTGGCTGACTTGGGGCAGCAGACAGCACCTTCTGTTCTATCCTGTGATTTCCTCTTGAAGTAAAATGCTCAGTCCTTTTAGGGGGCTCTCCTTCTGCTGGGTACAATTGGGGTGCTGCCTCTGGGGCCCCCCAGGCACTGACCCTGCACCCTGCAGCAGATGTCCCACACCTAGGCCCTGCCTCCTAGTTGTGCCCTGTCTGCAGCCAAAGAACTCTGGCTGATACCTGCTCAGTGGAGAAAGAGAGAGAGAGAGAAAGAGAGAGAGAAGAGAGAGAAAACGAGGGAAAGAGTGCAAGAGAGCACTATTCAGCGAAGTGCATTAAAACTCTTGCTTGTAAAAGGCCAAGAGACCCAGTGGTCCCACTTTACCCTCAAGGTGCTCTGGGCCCAAGGAACATAGTTGGTGGCATGATTTTTTATGTCTTATAATTTACTTGACTATTAAAGGTGGCAGTAATAAAGTTTAGAAAGGGAATTATTTTGGCAAAAAATGTAGAGAGGACAGAGTTAGGAGGTGGGATCTGCAGGGTTTGACATTATATGTTATGTGTGCTAATGTAATATGAGACATTCCCTTCTCAAAGGAATTTGAGGTGAAGAAAATGGTGAGCTGGTGGTAATTTCTTTTGCTTCCTCATCAAGCACAGTATCAGTGAGGTAAGCACTTGTCCTTACTTCACGTCCCCTCCCTACATTACCTACAACCTTCTCCCACAGTTGACCAGTCACTTCACACTCCTCCCACACTTTGCCATAGGACCTATCTTGTAAACCCTGGAGGAAGCCATTCAGGCATAGCCACCGTCTGGCCACAGGAGTTGGTTCAGAAACAGTCATGTGACCTGACTGTAGTCAATGAAATAGGAGGGGAGGAGGTTTTTTGGTGTGCCGGCAAAAGACACTTCCTTGCTTACTTGCGAGATCTGTCAGAGGGGCATACTCTCTCATCTTGGAGAGGGTGGAGTTTGAGTATGAAGCTAGCCCTGGTGCAGCCATTTTGTCATTTTGAGGGAGACCACCTCTAGGATGAAGTGGCCCATGGAGGCAGAGTAGACAGACACTAAGTTCTAGGACACACTTGAGCCTCAGAATCAAACCTGCTCTGAAGCCTGCCCCAAGTTTGCCTTGCCAGTTCCCTGAGGTAGCAACTGCCCTTTACCGTTCAGGTTAATGCGAGTTGGTTTTCTGTTGCTTGCAACCCTAAGCACTGTTATTAGCATAAGTAGTTGCTCCTGTTTCAGTTGCAGAGTCAGAAATGCAGCTCACATTGGCCTCAGGTGTGGAGGCTGGAATCCAGGTGCTTGGGTGGCACTTTCAGGAATCCCCTGACCTGCTCTCTTCCTGTCCAGACAGGCCCTGTCCACCTCGTGGCCTTCAGAGCTATGGCACATGTGCAACAGCTCAGCAGCCAGGCAGGAAGAGAGGGACCCTTTTTGGTTTTCAGCCTGACCAACCCAGCTGGCCATTGCTCTTCCTTGCAGTGGTCACTGGGGCCAGGAGCAAGGATTGGCCCAGTCTAGTCAGTGTCTGCCCACACCAGAAGGTGGGGGGTCAACAACCAGCATCATGTAGTTTGGGCAGAGGGAGTGGGTGTCTGCAAGGGAAAATGGGTGATGTAGCTCGGGGAAGGGACAGCAGATGCTTTCCCTTAGTCTCTGGACCATTCTAGTGATTGAAGTAATGTCACAGAAGAGAGCCCGGGAAGCCACAGGTCAGGCATTTCTGCCTTAAATGGGAAGTTAGTGGGGGTTCTACTACCTTCCTTTTCTGTGACTTTGATCTGAAGATCAGCAATATTTTTGTTTTTCTGGGTAGACGCTTGCCGACTGATTCCAAATGAAAATATTACCCGTGCAAGGAACCAATGTCTGACTAAAGAGATGAAGTGTCATCAATACCCATTCCTCACTGCTTCTGAAAGTGGCTGCAATTCTGAGGAAACCTGGACTGGTTTTCTAGCTAAAGTCATTCTTACTGTGTCTTGAGAGTGCAGAACTTTGATCTGCACCATAGTCAGGGAAAGCAGCCACCTCTGCCCCTTTCTTTTCCTGCAAGGGGACTGGAGAGTCTCCTGTCACCTCCTGTTAGTGTGTATCATTTTTATTTTTCTTTACCCTGTTGCACTGAGTGTTGATAGTATCTCTTCTCTTTAAGTCTCTTCTCTGTATCCTCTACCTTACAACGTCAAGGCTGGCAAGATTTATACTCTGTTCTCACTCTACAAGTAAAGCTTTGCCCATGGGTTGAGACCAGGAGTTGAGAATGGTGCTTACCCAGATTACAGCTGTAGACAGATGTTGACTGCAGAGCTGAGCAGGGGACTCCGATTGCCGTCCTTCTCTTCATAACAATGCCTTTACGGAACATATGCAAACCTCTGTTTTTTTTCAACAGTGTCTATGGGCTTATTGTGAATGCTGCAGAAATCACTGAGACCCCCAGATCCCTGGCTGTTCTCTCTGCCCCTCCTGATAGCCATGGGAGAATATTGACTCAACCTTTCCTTTGTCCCTAAGTGATCTCAGACCCCAAGATCCAACTACAATTCAGATTGTAGTTGGCCCTTGAGGGAATCGCCATGTCCACCTTCCTACTTCCCATTTACTTGTAAATGGACAAGTAAGTGCATGAGTGGCTCCCAGATTCCAGCATGGGACCCGGCTCCTGGGCATGTTGCCTGCCTCCATGAGGGGGCTTCCTCCACATGTACGTCGAATGGATTTGTTGTTGAAGACGATGAGTTTGCACCGTAGACGCCTGCAGAATTGGTGCACAGTCACGCTCCACCATGAAGGAAATAATGTATACAGTGGTCTCTTTCCAAGACAAAGTGCCTTAAATTGACTTAGGTCAGCGAACTACCGAAGAAACAGGATATACTAGGCCCCTGCTTAAATAGCGGATGCCTGCTTGTCGGCCTCCCCCTTTCCCCCTCTTCTCCCCCCGCCCTTTAGTTGCCTTCACCTGAACCAAAAAAGTTTAGTCTAAGATGAAAGCTTACTAGTCTCCAAAATAGCTCACTTTATCTGTTCTTATCAGCCTGCCCAGCTACTTAGGTCATAAGTCAAATGTACTTGAAGAGCCCTGAGCTAACTAGGATTGCAATGTACTGTGGGCTGAAATAAAATGCAGCAAAAGAACCCTAAAAAAGACATCTAAAGCCCCTACCCAACAATCAGTTGGTGACATCCAGGAAGATTGTGACCCCATAGTACTCAACCTATGAGGAACTGGGGGAGGGACCTGCACACTAGGGGATGAATTGCTTGTTGAAACTGTGCTGGGTCTGCCTGCCTATCAGACGCCTGATCTTACAAGACTGTCATTAAAAGTCTCACTTTGGCTGTTTTCTGGGTCTCTGAGTCCATTCTTTGGGTTTGGATGGGTGAGTTTGTTTCTAACAACTAGAGACATCCTTTGGGTGACCAATTGCATCATATTTAAACGACAGCCAGAAACAAGGAGCCTGCAAGCCAGCAGACTCAGCCATCCCATGGGCAGAGTGCAGCCTCAGGAGGGAGTCAGGCCTGGTTATATCCATTGGCCACAGGACTGGGTGCATCCTCTGGTGTGTTTAACAGCTGGGGCTGCACACCCACTTTTGTTTTCTCAGCTAGCCTCTCGTGTGCCATTCTAGCCACAGTGTCTCCTAAATTCACACTATAAAAATAACCGTCCTCGTTTCAAGCAACAAATTTCATTTCTAAGCTGATCACTTTCCTGGAGGTTGGGACCCTGTGATGACCTGAGTCAATCAGACGTGCCCTGGGGCTGGGCAGTGGAGTGACCTACCTCAGAATCCTGGCAGGGGAGGAAGAGCCACCAGCAGTGTCTGCCAAAACCGACATACCTTTACCTAGTGAAGAAATGTTTTTGTGTTTTTTTTATGGCTTGTGTTGTTGTCTTAGGAGGTTATATCTGTTTGCATCTCTGCTCATGTGGTCCTGTTTCTCCCTTTACTTCCTGTCTGCTCCCTTCCAGCCCTTTCTACCTTACCACCTCCTCCCCATTCTCTCCTCCTGGGGGCCTCCTCTCTCTGCCCACATATGCCCCTCTTATTGGCATCTGCAGAGGAATATGGTTCTCACTCTGTCTTCTTGCCACCCCTGCAGCTCATCCTGACAGTAAGTACAGGTAGTTGCTGCACTAAAGGTTTTCTTCTGCAGAAAACAACCATGCCATCCATCCCCTGTGAGGCGGCAGAGCCCTGGCCACGTGGGGCTTAGTGATAATGTGAAAAATTTCTCTCCCTGTCTTGGTGGGACACTCCTGCTCCTCTGTCTTCTATGCTAGAGTCTGAGCTCTCTGAGGAGAGGAATGGGCCAAGGTATCTTGGATTCTTCCTACTTAGCGTGGTGCAGGTGCCTAATGAAAACTTAAGTAAGGAGGCAAGGAAACAAGGAAAGATGGGAGAAAGGAAGGCTGGAGAGGGAGTGTCCCTTTTCCTCACTGCACTCCGTGGAGTGCCCAGGATGCAGGGGGGTGGATTGGAAGTGCCTATCAGGCTTTATCTCTGGTGCAGGGGATCTTTTCTTCCTCTGCCTCCCTTTTTCTATCTCCTGAGTCTTTCTTCCCTGCTACCTTTGTAGACTTTGCCAATTAGCAGCTGTACATTTCCCCGGCTGAGTGACTTCACAACTGAAATTAAACCACAGTACTTAGAAAGCCCTGTCTTCGCATTTTCTCAGTCTCCCTTGCTGGTTCAGAGCTTGCAGTGTTTGCCAGTTACCACAAGATGATTAAACAGTTTCTGTTTCCATTCACCATCAATTCATCAGGCTGTGCAGGTGGCTCCTGGGAGTGGGGTGAATGCTTTGGCGGTAGGAGGTTGAGCTGTGGGTGCAGCTGCGGTGTTTATGCAGCTGTGGTGTTTACTAGAAGGCAGATGGTTTCTTTGCTCTCCGCCTTTGGGGATTTGTTCTTCATGCCCACCTGTCATTTGTGTGACTGCTTGGCCGTGGTTTCACCTTGTTGGTGTTGGACATAAAGCATTTTTTATTCTTGCCGTTTTCAACAAGAAGAGAATGCTGTAGGGAATTATCACAGGCTGAATCGGAGGTGTTTCTGGAAGCAAACTTGCAAAAGGGACCAGGAAAAAGGGGCAGGTTATTAAAGCAGGAGCATGCTGTGAAAGCAGCTTGATTTTGAAGTTCGTGTTGATGCTTAATTCCAGAATGTCTGTGCTACCTGGAATCATTCTGTGGTCGAAGGGTGGACACCTAGGGTGTCCCTGGTCATGATGGCATTCAAATTTGGTATCTGAAGATGTGTTTTCCACTAGATCAAAATTGATTTTTGATTTAGATTTTGAGAAAACCATGCACAAAGACTGTTTTTAAAAATGTTTCAGCTTTTTGTTTTCATTTTTAATGCACAAAGGTCATTTTGTTGTTTGTGTTGCCTTGGCTATTCCTTCTTTTTAAAATAAACTTTTTATTTTGCAATAATTTTCAGTGTATAGAAAAGTTACAAAGCATAGTACAGAGATTTGCCATATATCCTCCCCTGTTGTTAACATCTTACACAACCATAGCACATTTGTCAAAACGAAGACAGCAGCATTGACAGGCCGGACAGGGTGGCTCACGCCTGTAATCTCAGCACTTTGGGAGGCTGAGGCCGGTGGATCACTGGAGGTCAGGAGTTCGAGAGCAGCTTGGCCAACATGGCGAAACCCTGTCTCTACTAAAAATACAAAAACATTAGCTGGGCACGGTGGCGGGCACTTGTCATCCCAGCTAATCTGGAGGCTGAGGCAAGAGGATAATTTGAACTAGGGAGGTGGAGGTTGCAGTGAGCCGAGATCGCGCCACTGCACTCCAGCCTGGGTGACAGAGGGAGACTGCATCTCAGAAAAACAAAGCAGCATCTATTAAACTCTAGACTTGGTTTGTATTTCTTTAGTTTTCCCACTGGTGGTCGATTTCTGCTCCAGGGTCCTATCCAGGATGCCACACTGTGTTTTGCTGTCACACGTCCTCAGGGTCCCCTGGTCTGTGACAGTTCCTCTGTCTTTCATGCTTTCCATGACCTGGCTGTTTTGAAGAGTACTGGTCAGGTGTTTGTCAAATGTCTCTCAATTTGGGTTTGTCTGTGTTTTCCGTATGACTAGACTGGAATTATGGGTGTTGGGAAGAATATCCTGAGCATCACATCGTATTAGTGAGTACATTCCATCGACATGGCTTATCCCTGGTGATGTTTGTAGTGCTTGTCAGGTTTCTCCACTGTACAGTTACCTTTTCCTTCTCTGGAAACTAGTCATTCAATCTGTCCAACATTCAAGTTGGGTGAGTGGGTAGGTGGGGCTAGTTAAGCTCCATTTTCTGGAGGAGAGAGTATCTACACAAATTATTTCTTATAGGAGGTTGATCTCTTTCCCCCATGTATTTATTTATTAAATCATTTACTTATATCAGTATAGACTAACATGTTTATTTTATATTTTGGGTTACAATCTAACAGCACATTTTTGTTGCTCAAATTGTTCCAGCTTTGGCCATTGGGAGTTTCGGGCTCATCTTATATTTTCCCTGCCCCTGTCCTAGAATCAGCCATTTATCCAAGGAGCCCTAGTTTCTTTTATTTGAGAACGGTATTTAGAAACCAACTTTTGTGCACAAAGTTCTTACTTAAGAAAACAATGGCCCTACCATAATTCCATTTCTGATCATCTACTTTTTTCCACTACTATATATATACATATATATACATTACATATTATACATATTATATATAAACATATACATATTATATATAAACAAATACACATATATTTGTGTGTGTATGTGTATGGGTGTGTGTGTGTATATATATATATATGTATAATTTTTTTTTTGAGACAGGATCTTGCTCTGTTGCTCAGGCTGGAGTGCAGTGGCACAATCCTGGCTCAGTGCAGCCTTGACCTTCCAGGCTCAAGTGGTCCTCCCACTGCAACCTCCTGAGTAGCTGAGACTACAGGTGCCCCACTAATTTTTGTATTTTTTGTAGAGATGGGGCTTCGCCATGTTGCCCAGGCTGATCTTGAACTCCTCAGCTCAAACGATTCGCCTGCCTTGGCCTCCCAAAGTTCTGGGATTACAAGTGTGAGCCACCATGCCTGGCCCCAACACTTTATATTTAAAAATTTAGACATGCGGCTGGGCGCGGTGGCTCACGCCTGTAATCCCAGCACTTTGGGAGGCCGAGGCAGGCGGATCATGAGGTCAGGAGATTGAGACCATCCTGGCTAACATGGTGAAACCCCATCTCTACTAAAAAAATACAAAAAAATTAGCCAGGCATTGTAGCGGGTGCCTGTAGTCCCAGCTACTTGGGAGGCTGAGGCAGGAGAATGGCGTGAACCTGGGAGGCGGAGCTTGCAGTGAGCCGAGATCGTGCCACTGCACTCCAGCCTGGGCGAGAGCGAGACTCCGTCTCAAAAAAAAAAAAAAAAAAAAAAAAATTTAGACATGCACAAAAATGGGAAGACCTTGACATTGAGGATCTTTATATCCACTACCTAGATTCTGGCATTAACATGCTACTATACTTGCTTTATCACGTATTTGCCCATCTATTGATCTCTCTATTCACCATATCCCATTTTTGGGTTTTTGGGTGCATTTCAAAATTACTAACATAAATATTCTTCCCCCTAAATAACTCAGTGTGCATACTGCTAAGAAGACTTCAATACATGCCAGATCTTTTTCATTTGCTGTAGAACTTCATACAATGAAATGCAAAAATCTTAAGTGTACATTCTCAGGGCTTTGCCAAATATATACACCTATGTAACCCAACCCCTATCAAAATACATAGAACATTATCATCGCCCCAAAAAGTTCTCTTATACCCTTGCCAGTCAACCCTTGCCTCCACCCTCCTGGAGGTAACCACGGTTGTGTGTGTTTTTCACCCCAGTATTGGTTAGTTTTGTCTGTTTTAGAACTTATTATCAGAATCACACAATTTGTTGACTCAACATATTTTAGTGGTATATTAATTCAATTTAATCTTGTATAACGATGAAAATGAATGAACCACAACTACAACAGATACTAAAGATGACTCTTAATTAGCCATTGCTAAGTGAAAGAAGCCAGACACAAAAGAATACATAGTAGATAATCCCATTTCTTTTCTTTCTTTCTTTCTTCTTCTTTTTTTTTTTTTTTTCCAGATGGAGTCTTGCTCTGTCTCGCCCAGGCTGGAGTGCAATGGCACGATCTTGGCTCACTTCAGCCTCTGCCTCCTGGGTTCAAGCAAGTCTCCCTAGCTGGGACTACAGGCATGTGCCACCACACCTGGCTAATTTTGTATTTTTAGTAGAGACAGGGTTTCACCATATTGGCCAGGCTGGTCTTGAACTCATGACCTCAGGTTATCCATCTGCCTTGGCCTCTCAAAGTGCTGGGATTACAGATGTGAGCCACCGCACCTGGCCTATTTCTTTAATATTCAAAATACAAAAAATACGTTGGGCATGTTGGTGTACTTATAGTCCCAACTACTTGGGAGGCTGAGGAAGGAGGATCGCTTGAGGCCTGGAGTTCAAGACAAGCCTGGGCAACATAATGAGACCCTGTCTCAAAATAAATAAATAAAAGAAGTAAAAAATAATTTATGAAGTTATAAGGCAGGATAGCAGCTAGCACTTTCGGAGAGAGAAAGTAGTGATTGAGGGGGATCTTGTATGCTGGTCCTGGAATGTGATTTTCCTTGGCTTGGGTGTGGATTACACAGTTGAAGTTACTTTGCGATAATTCACTGGGCTGTACATTTACGACTCATGCCTCTGTTCTTGTTGCATTGTATGTTGCTACAGTGCTTTAAAAATAAGATACTTGTCATGTCCGTCAATTTTGTGTGTGTGCATGACACTACTGTGTGTATTAGCTATCTACTGATATGTAACAAATTACTCCAAAATTTAGCAGCTTAAACCCCAATATATATTGTCTCACGCAGTGTCTGTGGGTCAGGAATTTCAGTGTCTTAATTGGGTGGCGCTGGGTCAGGCTCTCCCATAAGGTTGCATTTAGGATGTTGGCCCTGGCTTGACTGGGGCTGGAAGAGCCACTTCTACAATGGCTCATTGATATAGTTTGGATGTTTTTCCCTTCCAAATCTCATGCCTGATGTTGGAGGTGGGACCTAGTGGGAGGTGTTTGGGTCATGGGGGCAAATTCTTCATGAATGGCTTGGTGCTGACCTCCTGCTGGTGGTGAGTTCTCACTCTATTAGTTCACTTGAGAGCTGGTTGTTTAAATGACTCTGGCACCTCCTCCTCTCTTTCTTACCCCCTCTCTTGCCATGTGACACACCTGCTCCCCTTTTGCCTTCTACTTCTACCATGAGTAGAAGTAGAAACCCTCACTGAGGCCTCATCAGAAGCCGAGCAAATGCTGATGCCATGCTTGTACAGCCTGCAGAATTGTGAGCCAAATAAACCTCTTTTATTTATAAATTACCCAGTCTCAGATGTTCCTCTATAGCAATGCAAAGTGGACTAATACACTCATTGACAGGGCTATTGGAATGAGACCTCAGTTCCTCTCCAGGTGGACTATTTATAAGGCTACTTGAGTGTCCTCACATCTTGGCAACTGGTTTCCTCCAGAGCAAGTGACCCACAAGAGCACAGTACAATGTTTCCTAGGTTAATATATGTCATTTATTGTGTATCAGCAGTATGTTCCTTTTTATTGCTAAGTAGCATTCCATCCTCTGAATAGATCATAGTTTACCAATTCTATTGATGGACACCAGGGCTGTTTCTAGTTTGGAGCTATTATGAATAAAGCTGATAAGAACATTCTTCTATGACAATTTGTGTGGGCATGTAATTTTATTTCTCTTGGATAAATACCTAGGAATGTAATTGTCAGGTCATGGGATAGGTATCTGTTTAATTTTATGAAATCTATGAGATCTTTTTCCAAAGTGGTTGTACCATTTTACATTTTTATGACAAAGTATGACAGTTATAATTGCTCCACGTCTTTGTCAAAATTTTGTGTTGTCATTATTTTAAAAATTTAGCCATTTGAGTAGGTGCATATTATTATTTCATTGTGGCTATAATTTGCATTCCTATGATGCCTGATGATTTTGAGCACTTTCTCGTGTGCTTGCTGGTCATTTATATATCCTCTTGCACATGCACACGTGTGTGTGTGTGTGTGTGTGTGTGTGTAGTTCTGTGAATTTTTTTTTTTTTTTTTTTTGAGATAGGGTCTCACTCTGTCACCCAGGCTGGAGTGCAGTGGCATGATCTTGGCTCACTACAGCCTCAACATCCTGGGATCAAGCAATCCTCCCACCTCATCCTCCGAAGTAGCTAGGACTACAGACATGCACTACCATACCTGGGCCATTTTTAAATTTTTTGTAGAGAAGGGGCCTAGCTGTGTTGCTGGGCTGGTCTGGAACTCCCAGGCTCAAGCAATTCTTGTGCCTCAGCCTCTCAAAGTGCTGAGATTACAGGTGTGAGCCACCATGCTGCCCAGCCTAGTTCTATGAGAGTTTATTCCCTATGTAGTATTGTGTTACCAACACCATGATGAGGGCACACAACATCACAAAGAAACTCCCCTTTGTTTTCCCTTCAGAATCAGAATCCCCATAGTCCTAACCCCAGCAGCAACTGATATGTTCTCCATTACCTTAATTTTGTCACTTTGAAAATTTATAAAATTGGAATTATGTAATATGTAACTGTTTTGAGATTGGCATTTTTTCACTCAACACAATGCCCTATCCAAGTTATTGTGATCTATCCAAGTTGTGTGTGTCAGTGGTTCATTCCTTTTAATTGTTGAGTAGTATTCCATTGTATGGATGTGTCACAGTTTGTTTATCCATTTGCCAGTGGCATTTGGGTTGTTTCCAGTTTTTGATGATTGCAAATAAAGCTGCTGTAAACATTTATGTACAGGTTTTAAAAATAATTTTTGTAAACAAAGAATTTCTCCTAGGGTGTATACCTGGGATTGCGATTGCACATGAAAAGTCTATGTTTAACTTCATAACAAACTGTCAAACTTTTCTAGAGTTCCATTTTACACTCCTACCTCCAGCGAATGAGGGGTCTAGTTGCTCAGCATGCTTGTTAACACTTGGTATGGTCAGCATTTGTTTTGCCACCTTGCCAGGCTTCCTAGAGAGATCTCTCTCTCTCTCTCTTTTAGCTTAGAGGTTTGCAGGCTTATTCTTAGTCATGGGACCGTTTTACAACCTGAATCCTGCACAGAACACCAATAGGGAAGTCAGATGATGGTGGAGCTGCTGGCCAGAGCTAGGCCCTCCCTAGACCTCATCACATCTCCAACAGCTGTCCCCAGATGACCCTCACATGTGAGGCCTGACTCCCACCCCCAGAACTGATGCCATAAACCCAGGGCCGCTGCCTGCAGCCTGAGATCTAGGAACACTAATATTTGCCTAATCTCCATATCTTAGAGACCCAAGAAGACATAAAAGAGAAATTATAGCTGAGAACATGTCAAAAAATCATTGTTTATGATTTTATATGCCATTGTTATACAGATGGTATTTGAGGAAAACTACCAAGATTGTTAAATGTGGCGGTTTATATTTGAAGACAGAAAATACACAACTATGCATGTTGCTTAGGGGATTGGAGCATAAGGATGTTTCTAAAATCCTGATTTTTCCGCGGCAGATTGTCACCTGTTTGCTCGAACAGTGTTAGCAATTTAGATATTATTATTATGATAAACCGGTGTTCAAGCTTTCAGCTAGTTTCCAGAATACATTTTTATCCAGCTTTAATTTATTTATGAATTTGTTATGGCAGCAGTTCAAATGAGGAACATACTCCATCTAGTGGTTCTTTTTAACTATGCAATTTAAAATAAAATTTAAACATTTATTTGAAATAGGTGTTATTTTAACTTGGTTCAAAAGTCAGAAAGCATAAAAAAATAGAGTACTGTTTCCCATCTACTGAATTTTCCCACCTCCACCCCACATACCCAAAAGGTAAAAACTGTTAGTTTCTAGTGTGTCCTTAAAGAAATTAAAAAAAATACACACACATGCAAGCAATATGTGTATTGTTAATCACTATTTCTGTCCATATAACATTATTCTCATCCCTTGTAGGGCATTTTGGGAATGGGAATGAGAATAGACCTATAATTAGAATTGTCTAACATGTCTCTGTTGAGAAATTTATTTGATATAAGGAATTCGGGTGTTAATAGTTGAGAGCTGTTTAGTAATAGCCCACTTTTCTTAAGGCCTCTTTTTTTTTTCTGAAGCAGAGTCTTGCTCTGTTGCCCAGGCTGGAGTGCAATGGCACGATCTCGGCTCACTGCAACCTCCGCCTCCCGGGTTCAAGTGATTCTCCTGTCTCAGCCTCCCGAGTAGCTGGGATTACAGGTGCCCGACACCACGCTCGGCTAATTTTTTTCTATTTTTAGTAGAGACGGGGTTTCGTCATGTTGGCCAGGCTAGTCTCAAACTCCTGACCTCAGTTGATCCGCCCACATTGGCCTCCCAAAGTGTTGGGATTACAGGTATGAGCCACCGCACCGTGTCAAGGTCTGTTTATTTTATAGGTTTTGATCATTTCTTCAGTTCCTTTGGGCGATGTGTGTATTATCTGTGCATTAGTGGCCCTCATCTACTGATTTCTTGGATTAAAATTATGAAATAATTCTTCAGGTTTTATTTTAATACTTTGTGGTTTTATTTTTCTTCATGTCAATTGTTGATCTATTTGGAATTTATTCTAGTACGTGGTGTGAAATGGGGATCTGACTTAATTTTCCTTTCCAGTTGGCCACCCAGCTGGATGTTTCAGTAATGTTTGTTTTTCCCATGATTTGATATACCACATTTGTCTTACATATATTAAATTTCCATATATACTTACTTCTGTTTCTCAATATTCTATTTTATTCTATTGGTCTATCTGCCTGTTTTGCACAATTTGAGTTACTTAAGGCCTTATCACACATCTTTTTAAAAAAAATTTTACGGGAGATTTGCCCCTTTTATTTTTTCTTCAGCTTTTTTTAAATTCAGGGGTACATGTGCAGGATGTGCACATTTGTTACATAGGTAAACGTGGGCCGTGGTGGTTTGCTGTACAGATCATCTCATCATCTAGGTATTCAGCCCAGCATCCATTAGCTATTCTACCTGATGCTCTCCCTCCTCCAACCCCCCCCAAGACAGGCTCCAGTGCATGTTGTTCTCACCATGTATCCATATGTTCTCATCATTCAGCTCCCACTTATAAGTGAGAACATGTGCTGTTTTGGTTTTCCATTCCTGCATTAGATTGCTGAGGATAATGGCTTCCAACTTGTCCATGTTCCTGCAAATGTCCTAATCGCATTCCTTTGTATGTCTGCATAGTATTCCATGGTATATATGTACCACATTTTCTTTATTCAGTCTATCATTGATGGGTATTTAGGTTGATTCCATGTCTTTGCTAATGTAAATAGTGCTGCAGTGAACATATGCATGCATGTATCTTTATAATAGAATGATTTATATTCCTTTGGGTATATACCCAGTATTGGGATTGTGGGGTCAATTGGTATTTCTGCATCTAGGTCTTTGAGGAATCACCACACTGTCTTCCATGGTGGTTGAACTAATTTACACTTTTACCAACAGTGTAAAAGTGTTCCTCGTTCTCCGCAACCTCGCCGGCATCTGTTGTTTTTTCACTTTTTAATAATCAACATTCTGACTGATGTGAGCTGGTATCTCATGGTTTTGACGTGCATTTCTCTAATGATCAGTGATGTTGAGCCTTTTTTCATATGTTTGTTAGCCACATGTATGTCTTCTTTTGAGAAGTGTCTGTTCAGGTCCTTTGCCTACCTTTTAATGGGGTTTTTTTTTTTCTTGTCAATTTGTTTAAGTTCCTCATAGACTCTGGATATTAGACTTTCGTCAGATAGATCGATTGCAAGAATTTTCTCCCATTCTGTAGGTTGTTCACTCTGATGATAGTTTCTTTTGCTGTCCAGGAGCTCTTTGGTCTAATTAGATCCGATTCGTCAATTTTTGCTTTTGTTGCAGTCATTTTTGGTGTCTTCATTATAAAATCTTTGCCCATGCCTATGTCCTGAATGATATTCCCTAGATTTTCTTCTAGGGTTTTTATAATTTTGGGTTTTACATTTAAGTCTTTAATCCAACTTGAGTTAATTTTTATATATGGTGTAAGGAAGGGGTCTAGTTTTAATTTTCTGCCTATAACTTGCCAGCTCTCCCAGCACCATTTATTAAATAGGGAGTCCTTTTCCCATTCCTTGTTTTTGTCAGGTTTGTCAAAGATTAGATGCTTGTAGGTGTGCAGTTTTATTTCTGAGTTCTTTGTTCTGTTCCATTGGTCTATGTGTCTGTTCTTGTACCAGTATCATGCTGTTTTAGTTACTATAGCCTTGTAGTATAGTTTGAAGTCAAATAGTGTGATGCTTCCAGCTTTGTTCTTTTTCCTTAGGATTGTCTTGGTTATCTGGGCTCCTTTTTGGTTCCATATGAATTTTAAAATGATTTTTTCTAATTCTGTGAAGAATGTCAATGGGAGTTTAATGTGAATAGCATTGAATCTATACATTATTTGGGGCAGTATGGCCATTCTCTGATGGCTGTATTTTTGTGGGGTCAGTAGTGATATCCCCTTTATCATTTCTGGTTGAGTTTATTTGATTCTTCTAACTTTTCTTCCTTATTAGTCTAGCTAGTGGTCTATTTAATTTGTTCAAAAAACCAGCTCCTGGGTTCATTGATTTTTTGAAGTGTTTTTCTTGTCTATCTCCTTCAGTTCAGCTCTGATCTTGGTTATTTCTTGTCTTCTGCTAGCTTTGGGAGTTTATTGCTCTTGGTTCTCTTGTTCTTTTAGTTGAGATGTTAGGTTGTTAACTTGAGATCTTTCTAGCTTTTTGACGTGGACATGTAGTGCTATAAAGTTCCCTCTTAACACTGCTTTACCTGCGTCACAGAGATTCTGGTACATCATTTCTTTGTTCTCATTAGTTTCAAAGAACTTCTTGATTTCTGCCTTAATTTCATTATTTACCCAAGACTCATTCAGGAGCAGGTTGTTCCGTTTCCTGTAGTTGTGTGGGTTTAAGTGAATTTCTTAATCTTGAGTTCTAATTTGATTGCTCTGCAGTCTGAGAGATTGTTTGTTATGATTTCAGTTCCTTTGCATTTGCTGAGGAGTATTTTACTTCCAATTGTGTGATCAGTTTTAGAGTAAGTGCCATGTAATGATGAGAAGAATGTATATTTTGTTGTTTTTGGGTGGAGAGTTCTGTAGATATCTGTCAGGTCTACTTGATCCTGAGGTTGAGTTCAGGTCCTAAATATCTTTGTTAATTTTCTTTCTTGATGATTTGTCTACTATTGTCAGTGGGGTGGTAAAGTCTCCCAGTATTATTGTGTGAGAGTCTACGTCTCTTTGTAGGTCTCTAAGAATTTGCTTTATGAATCTGGGTGCTCCTGTATTGGGTGCATGTTTATTTAGGATAGTTGGCTCTTCTTGTTGAATTGAACACTTTACTGTTATGTAATGCCCTTCTTTGTCTTTTATAATCTTTGTTGGTTGAAAGTCTATTTTTTCAGAAACTAGGATTGCAACCCTTGATTTTTTTTCCATTTGCTCGGTAAATTTTTCTTTATCCCTTTATTTTGAGCCCATGTGTGTCTTTGCACATGGATAGGTCTCTTGAAGACAACATACTGATGGGTCTTGGCGCTTTATCCAGCTTGGCAATCTTTTCACCCATTTTATTGTCTGCAAAGATCATACTTCCATGGGTTTAGAGTTTTCCTGACTATTTTTGTTTGTTTCTTTTTATATTTGAATTTTAAAATCACTTGTTGGCATTGTTATTTGGATTATGTTTAATGTATGAATTAACATAAGGAGAATTGATTTCATTATGATATTGTCTTCTATTAATAAACATGGCACACATTTCTATTTGTCCAAGTCTTCTCTTGTATTCTTTAGGCATATTTAGATGAAAGCTTTTTCATCTAGGTTCTGTAAATTAAAAAAATTTATTCTAATGTATATTTTAATTTTGTTTTATTACTTTTGCAAGTGGGATCTTTTCCTTCATGTATTTTCTAACTGGTTTTTAATGTATCTGTATAAAAGCTATTGATTTCTTTTATTGTGTATCCTGCTAACTCTTATTTTTTGTAGTAGTTGTTAGTTGATTGTCTTGGGGGCTTCCAGGTGTACAATCATATTATAGCTAGTTAAATTTTTCTTTTCTTTTTTTTTTTTTTGAGATGGAGTCTCACTCTGTTGCCCAGGCTGGAGTGCAGTGGTGCAATCTCGGCTCACTGCAAGCTCCACCTCTTGGGTTCACGCCATTCTCCTGCCTCAGCCTCCCGAGTAGCTGGGACTACAGGCACTGACCGCCACCACGCCTGGCTAATTTTTTTTGCATTTTTAGTAGAAACGGGGTTTCACCGTGTTAGACAGGATGGTCTCGATCTCCTGACCTCGTGATCCGCCCGCCTCAGCCTCCCAAAGTGCTGGGATTACAGGCGTGAGCCACCGCACCCAGCCAATATTATAGCTAGTTATAATGCAATATATAGTGGCTCAAAATGACAGTTGTTTATTATTGTTCATGCATCTGTGCATGACTGGGAGGACCTTCTGGTCTTAACTGAACTCATTCATGTATTTCAGTTAGCCATGAATTGGACAGACAGCCTCTCTGATCTTGGCTGGACTCTCACATATTTGAGGATTGCCTAGAGGTAGGTTGGTTTAAGATGGCCATGGCCAAGACAAGTGAGCTGTTCTCACATATCTCTTACTTTATATCACCCGCAAGCATGGTAGTCTGAGCATATTTTTAGCTTCACTCAGGGATATTCCCATGAGTATCACAGGATATGATACTTTTTTTTTCATTAGTGTTCATGTGGAACAAGACAGATAGGGAAATGCATAAGCACTCAAGTGTTTGCTTCTCTCAAATTTACCAATATTTTAATGGCCAAAGAATGTCCCATTGGCTAGGTCCAGATTTAAGGGGTAGGAAAATAGACCCTGCCTCTTAAATGAGAACTGGAGTGTCAAAGGGCAAGAGTCAAGGAGAGGTGAAGCATAGGTGTTATCAATAAATCAACCTGCTACTTTGTATCTGCAAATAGTGATAGTGTTACTCGTTCCTTTCCAATTTTGATTTCTCTAATTTTTTCTCTCTCATAATTGCATTGGCAAATACCACCAGAACAATATTCAACAACAACTTCTTGTGGTTGTTGCTTTCAAAGAGCCAGCTTTTGGATTTATTAGTTACTACTTTTTCTGTTTTCTGATTACTTTTTTAAAAACAATTTATTCTTTTTTCTTTAATGTGTTGTTTTTTTCCTAGCTTCTTTAGTCAGCTGCTGTAGCAATTGCTGTTGACACCCAAGATCCCTTTACTAGGCTTGCATACCCATTGACTGGTTCTGAGAATGTTGATTAATATCAACTCCCAATTGAACATTTCTCCTTTGAATTGTCATTGATTATGGAAGTTACCTTCTCTGGAAATACCTGAGGTTATGCTTTCTCCTTAGGAATACCCTGCAATCAATGACTAACTAAGAGAGTGGCACAACTCTGTGATGCCATTTATATTCCAGAGCTCCCCATGGAATATAATTTGGCTGAGGCTAAATTTTATATGAGCTTACATCGTTGCAAGCTCCCAGGTGGCCTATGTGCTCTAAAGGCCTCCTGTCTGCATTGATGCCTGCCATCCTACTGTACACCCATACTGCCAGTTGCTGATGGTTTGCTTCCCCACCTGCATTTGTAAGGATGGTTTATTCTTATCCCAGAAACTCCAGACCAACTCTGGCCTGGCCAAATCAGCTAACTTCTCTGCTGTTTGATGGGCTAAACCATACCTTCTCTAGTGAGATCTGTACCTGTTCCAACTTTTTCCCGTTTTTAGGTGTTCTCTCTCAGCCTGAGGATACCATATGGAGTTTCCCTATATCTTATAGTGAACATTTTATCATAGTAATACTTTGTATTAAACTTTGTCTGTTTAACCTATTGCATGATTTCTTTCTTCTGATTGGCTCTAGACTGCTACATCTTGTGATTTATCAGTTTTTGTTTTACATATTTGAGGCTTTGTTGTTTGGTGTGTACACGTTTAGGATTGTTATGTCTTCTTTGTGGATTGATCCTTTTATAATTATAATATCTTTTGCTATCTTTGGTGATGTTCTTTTTTCTGACATCTACTCTAGCTGATATAAATATAACCATTTCTACTTTTTCTTTTTGATTAGCGTTCACATGGCTTAACTTTTTGCATCTTTTAGCTTTCAACTTGCTTATGTCACTATATCTGAAATGGATTTCTTGCAGATAGCATATTTTTAGACTTAAAAAATTCATTCTACCAATCTTTGTCTTTTAATTGTGGTATTTAAACCATTTACATTTAGGGTAATTATTGATATGTCAATGTTTACATCTGCCACTTTATTATTTATTTCTTCTGTTTCTTATTTCTCTTATTTTTTTTGTTTTCTTACCTTCCTGTAGATTATTTGAACATTATTTTAGGATACCGTCTTGATGTATTTATTGTGTTTTAGGGTATATCGCATTCTATATTTTCTTAGTGGTTGCTTGAGGTGTTATAGTACATACCTAATTTATCATAGTTTACTAGTATTGTCCTACCACTTTGAGTGAAGTATAGAAACCTAACTTTCATTTAGGTTCCTTTACCTTTCCAATTTTAAAATACCTTTTTTGAGTCCTTTTTTAAAAATTTGAGACAGGGTCTCACTCTGTCACCCAGGCTGGAGTGCAATGGTGTGATCTCGCCTCACTGCAACCTTCCCCTCCTAGGCTCAAGCAATCCTCCTACCTCAGACTCCCAAGTAGCTGGGACTACACATGCACACAACCACATCCAGGTAATTTTTTGTATTGTTAGTAGAAACAGGATTTTGCCACATTGCCCAGGCTGGTCTCAAGCTCCTGGGCTCGAGCAATCTGCCCACCTCAGCCTCCCACAGTGCTTGAATTATAGGCATGACCCACTGCCCCTGGCCAAATTGTTTGAAGTATTTCTTCAACCTACATTGAGTACCACATCAGATGGTTTTATAATTTTTGCTTTAGACATTAAATATTATTTCAAAAAGTCATGAATGAAAAAAATCCACTAAATAAATGGTGGGATATTCTATGTTCATGGAGAGGAAACTTAATGTTGTTAAGATTAAACGTCATCTCAATCAAAATCTTGGCAAGTTATTTCATGGATATCAACAAACTGATTTTAAAGCCTATAAGGAGAGACAAAAGACTCACAATAGCCAATACAAAATTGAAGGAGAAGAACAAAGTTGGAGGACAGCCACTACTGGCTTCATGACTTACTACAAATCTACAGTAATTAAAAATGTATAGTGGTGGTGAAAGAACAGACAAATGGATCAATGAAACAGAATAGAAAGTCCAGAAATGGACTCACATAAATATAGTCAACTGATCTTTGACAAAGGAGCAAAAACAATAAAATGGAGAAAAGATAGCTTTTTCTACCAATGATGCTGTGACAACTGGACGTCAACATACAACCCCCACCCCCACATAAATCTATACATAGACCTTACACCCTTCACAGAAAGTAACTCAAAATGGATCACAGGCCTAAATGTAAAATGTAAAACCATAAAATTCCTAGGAGATCTAGAAGAAAGTCCATATGACTTTGCATTTGGTGATGACTTTTTAGATACAACACCAAAGGCATGGTCTATGAAAGAAAGAATTGGTAAATTGAATTTTATTAAAAGGAAAACTTTCTGCTCTGTGAATGTCAAAAGGATGAAAAGGCAAGCCATGGATTGGGAGAAAATATTTGCAACAGACACATAGACACGTCTAATATAAGACTGTTATTCAGAATATACAAAGAACATTTCAAACTCAACAATAAGAAAACAAACAACCCCATCAAAAAATGGGCCAAAGACCTTAACAGACACCTCACCAAAGAAGATATATAGCAGGCAAATGAGCATATTAAAAATGCTCAACATCATATGTCATTAGGGCTACACACATTAAAACAACAATGAGATATCACTACATGTCTGTTAGAATGGCCAAAATCCAGAACACTGACAACACTAAATGCTGACAACAAGAAGTTTTATTCATTGCTGGTAAGAATGCAAAATGGTATAGCTGCTTTGGAAGATAGTTTGGTGATTTCTTACCATATGGTCCAGTAGTCATTTTCCTTGGTATTTACCCAAAGGAATGGAAAACTTACGTGCACACAGAAACCTGCACATGGATATTTATAGCAATTCTATTCATAATTTCCAAAACTTAGGAGTAACCAAGATGTCTATCAGTAGTTGAATGGATAGATAAATGGTGGTACCTCCAGGCAATGGAATATTATTTAGTGCTAAAAAAAAATGAGGTATCAAGCCATGAAAAGCACATGGAGACTTAAAGGTATTTACTAAGTGAAAGAAGACAATTCAAAAGTCTAGTTGAAATACTGCATTATTTCAACTGTGTGACATCCTGGAAAAGGCAAAACTATGGAGACAGTAAAAAGATCAGTGGCTGTCAGGGGTTGGGGGAGGCATGGCACAGATGATTTTTAGGGCAGTGAAGCTACTCCGTATGATACTATAATAGTAGATACATGTCATTATAAATTTATCCAGACCCACAGAATGTACAATTCCAAGAATGAACCCTAATGTAAACTGTGAATTTGGGTGATAATGATGGGTAATGTACGTTCATCAGCTGTAACAAATATACCACTCTGGTGGGGGATTTTGATAGTGAGGGAGGCTATACACATGTGGGGGCAGGAACTATATGGGAAATCTCTGTATCTTTTAATCAATTTTGCAGTGGGCCTAAAACTGCTCTAAAAAAGTCTATTAAAAACCCATAATAAGTAATCTAGTCTACTATATTTTTACTCATTCTGATGTTCTTTCTTTTCTGAAAGTTCTAGCCTTTTTCTCCTATCATTTCCTGTCTGTTTAAAGAACTACCTTTAGCCATTCTTTAAGTCAGCTTGCTAGCAAACATTGTCTTAGATTTTTTTGGCCTGATAAGATTTTTATTATTCCTCTTCTTCATTCTTGAAGGATATCTTCACTGAATATAAGATTTGCCATTGACAGTTATTTTGTCTCAGTACTTGAAAAATGTTGAGCCACTTGTTTCTGGCCTCTGTAGTTTCCAGTGAGAAATCTGCTGTCATTCCAATGGTTTTCCCCTATAAGTAACCCATCATTTCTCTCTAGCTGCCTTCAAGATTTTTTCCTCGGCCTTAATTTTAAGAAATTTAATTATGATGTTTCTTGACATGGGCTTCTTTGGGTTTAGCCAATTATTTGCTCAGCTTACTGAACCTGTAGGTTTATTATGTCTTTTACCAAGTAGGGGAAGTTTTTAGCTATTATATCTTATACTACTTTTTTGGTCCAGTCTCTCTTTTTTTTGCTTTTCAAAACTGAAGATATGCATGTTGGCTCTGTTATTATTGTCCCAAATGTTCCTGAGAAATATTTGTCTTATTTTTCAGTCTATATTTTCTTTGTTGTTCAGATTGGATAAATTCTATTGATTTGTGTTCTAGTCTAAAATAAAATATCTTAGATCAGGTTGCCTTTAGATAACAGAAATTTATTTTTCATATTCTGGAGGCTGGGAAGTCCAAGATCAAGGTGCCAGAAGATTTGGTGTCTGGTGAGGGTCTTGCTTTCTGGTTCATAGATGGTGCCTTCTTGCTATGTTCTAACATACTGGAAGGAGCAAGGCAGGTCTCTGGGACCTCTTTTGTAAGGGCATAAATCTCATTCATGAGGGTGAACTGCTCATGACTTAATCATCTCCCAGAGCCCCTACTTTCTAATATAATCACCTTGGTGATTAGGATCCAACATATACATTTTGGAGGACATACAAACATTTAGACCATAGCAATCTGTCATCAAGTTCACTGATTCTATTATTTCATCTATGCTGTATTCTTGAGTTCATCTAGTGAGATTTAAAAAATTTGGTTATCATATTTTTCAGTTCTATGAGTTCCATTTTATTCTTTTCTATAACTTGCACTTCTTTGATACAATTTTCTGTTTTTTTCCCCATTTATTTCAAGAGAAATTATGATTACTTATTGAAGCATGGTTATGATGGTTGCTTTAAAATCTTCATCAGATAATTCCAATGTCTGATTAATCTTGGTGTGGGTATCTGTTGATTTCTTTATCATTCATGTTGTGATGTTCCTTGTTGCTGTGATGATTCTTAGTAAATTCTTTGTATGTGTTCTGACAGTTCTTGGTATCATGAGCAATTTTTTATTGTGTCCTAGACATTTTGGATATTTTATTATGTTGCTCAAGATTGATTGAATATTTTTTAGCATGGGGTCCCTTGTTGAGGTATATTGGGATGTCCAGGTGGCCATGTATATTCAGCTTCCTGTTGAGCCAACTTTGTTGAAAATGTATGGAGTGGAAGTTCAGCTCCCCTCTTGAATCTCATGACCTCAGTTGCCTTCAGATGGGGATGTGAGATCATCCCCTCCCCACTGGGCTGAGCTGCCATCAGGAAGGGGGAAGTTGAAAGCTGACCCACATCACTTTGTTGTCACCGGTATGGGATGGAAGGTCAGTTCTCTTCTGGGTGCTAATGACGCCAGGGAAGGAGAGGGGTGAATTAAGTGCCAACTGACCCTCTCTCCTACCACCTCCTTTTTCCTTGTTAATACCGAGTAGGGGTGAAGTCTCAGCTTCCCATTGGGTCCTGCTGATGGGGTGTTGGTGTGAAGCAGGGTGTGACTAGATTTACCTCGCATCTTCTTGCTAGGCCTTGTTGTTGCTGGGTATAGATGGCCACTACTGGACTCCACTAATGCTACCCTGGCACCACCTGCTTTTGCTGGGCAGGAGATAGAAGATCAGCTCCCTACTTGGCCCACCAAGGTGTGCACCAGGTCGGGAACTCAGACACTCCATCTGCTCTGCAAGACAAGAGGTGGAAGGTTAACTCTCCCCTCAGCCTTGCAGAAAGGAATTGGAGTGCCCCCTCCTGCTTTTGCAGGGTTATGGGGTAGAGAGGAAGAGCAATGCCCCACTGAGACTGCAGGAGAGGAAGATGGGTGTGTTTTGCTCTGATGTTTTTCTGTTGTTGGGTGGGTATCTCCAAGAAGGTTTTCTATTGTTAGGCCATCCTTTTCATATCCTCTGGCTCTGAAATCTAACCTGAGTGAGGTCCTACAGGCTCAGGCTGTGCGTTGCATGGAAACATTCTAGGTGGCCAAAGAGGAACCTCTCCTCCTGTGTCAGTTTAGGTTCATTGAGAAGTGGGCACCAAGGTGGGGCTAGATGTGCAGGAGATTTAATGGGAGAAAACACCTGAGAAGCGTAAGTGGGAGGGAGCTGGATTGGTGGGGAGAACCCTCAGAACAAAGGCAGTCAGGTCTGGCTTCCTTGCAAAGAGAGGGGGAGGAAAGGGTTGAGCTGGGAAAGCCTCAGACACAGTACAGTGATGACAAAGTCTGCAGGCAAGTGGGCTCCCAGAGCAGGTCACCTCTTGGGCAGGCATGGCCTGACTCTAGAACCTTGTGAGGCTCAACCATCAGCTAGTAGCAGCCAAGAGATGAGCAGCCTCATGGTGAATGTAATTACCATCACTCTGTTATTCCAAAGGTGTGGCAGCTGGAAGCAGGTAATCTCGAAGGCAACCCTGAGTGGCAATCCTTATGGCCACCACAGTCCACCTCTTGCAACACGCATGTCACTCCCTTGCCCCTATCTCCCAAATGCTGCTTTTAAGTCATCTCAGACAATTTTCAAAGGACTGCAGAGCAGGAGGTGTTGCAGTCTTGTTTTAAGATGGTCTTGGCCGGGCGCGGTGGCTCACGCCTGTAATCCCAGCACTTTGGGAGGCCAAGGCGGGTGGATCACAAGGTCAGGAGTTTGAGGCCAGCCTGGCCAATATGGCGAAACCCTGTCTCTACTAAACACACACACACACACACACACACACACACACACACACACACACACACACACACACAAATTAGCTGGGCATGGTGGTGGGCACCTGTAGTCCCAGCTACTTGGGAGGCTGAGGCAGGAGAATCGCTTGAACCCGGGAGGCGGAGGTTGCAGTGAGCCGAGATTGCACTGCTGCACGCCAGCCTAGGCAACAGAGTGAGACACCATCTCAAATAATAATATTAATAAGAAGAATAAGATGGTCTTGTCAGGAAATCCTTCCATCTCTCCCTCCCTGTGTCTGGCTGTATTGAACACCCAGTCTGTGTGACACACACAGTGTGCACAGTATCAAACAAGCATTACAATGGACACAGCTTTTCTGTCTGAGCCCGGGGTCAAAGCATCCACAGCCTCCCCTCAGTCACCAATTATTGGCTGTCTTATTTTGTATCTGTTCTTCACAGGTATGATTTAAGCTTGGATGAAATGAGAGCTTTGACAGTTCAGAGAGTGAAGTTTGCCATGGACCTGCCTCTGTTAAAACGTGCAGGTCAGGATCTGGTAAGTGTCATTATTATTCTGGTATGGTTGTGTGTGTGTGTGTGTGTGTGAGAGAGAGAGAGAGAGAGAGAGAGTTTTTTTCTCTCCAGCTTTTATTTTATGTTTAGAGGGTATATGTGCAGGTTTGTTACATGGGTAAATTGCGTGTTATGGAGGTTTGATGTACAGAGTATTTCCTCACCCCAGTAGTGGGCACTGAACTCACGATAGGTAGTTTTTTGACCCTCACCCTTCTCCCACCCTCCTCTCTCAAGTAGGCCGCCGCGCCTATTGATTTCTTCTTTGTGTCTGCGTGTACTCAGTGTTTAGCTCTCACTTATAAGTAAGAACGTGCGGTATTTGGTTTTCTGTTCCTATGTTAATTTGCTTAGAGATTTTGTTTTGTTTGCTTTTGTGACTTGCTAAGCCTGTTGATCTCATGCTGAGGGCAGCTGACAGACAGGTCTCGGTGGAGGAGAGTGTCTTCCTCAGGCCCCTTTTCTGCCCCACTCCCACTAACCTAACAAACCCTTTCCTCGGCCCACACATTCACTTCTCCAATCTCACAGGCGAGGGAATAGGAGTATCAGCAGAAGTAATAAAATATTTGTACACAAAACCCATATAATTTTAGGGATAAAGTTAAATAGCTGGGAAATAGAAATAACTCATTTTAAGGGCTTTTAAAGTACTTTAGACTTATCCAAAGTTTATGTCTTATTTGTCTAAAAACTGTCATTCTAAATTTAGTGGTATTATTTTAGTCAATTTAGCCTCATGAAAAAAGAAAGAAAGAAAGAAAGAAAGAAAGAAAGAAAGAAAAAAATACATGATTAGTGAGTTCCTTTGTGTCAGTATTAGGAGTGATGTATTTTAGCCAAGTTCATTCAGCTTCATGGTATATAGGAAAAAATATACCTCAGCAGGGTGTGGTGGCTCACATCTGTAATCCCAGTACTTTGGGAGGCCAAGGTGGGCTGATACTGGGTAGAGCCCAGGAGTTCAAGACTGGCCTGGGCAACATGGTGAAACCCTGTCTCCACAAAAAAAAAAATACAAAACTGGCCAGGCACAGTGGCTCATGCCTGTAATCCTAGCACTTTGGGAGGGAAGCAGGTGGATCACTTGAGGCCAGGAGTTTGAGACCAGCCTGGCCTCAACATGGCGAAACATGGCCTGGGCAACATGGTGAAACACTGTTTCTACTAAAACAAAACAAAACAAAACAAAACAAAACAAAAATTAGCCAGGTGTGGTGGTGCACGCCTGTAGTCCCAGCTACTTGGGAGGCTGAGGCACGAGAATCCCTTGAACCAGGAGGCGGAGGTTGCGGTGAGCTGAGATTGCGCCACTGCACTCCAGCCTGGGCAACAAAGCGAGACTCTGTCTCAAAAAATAAAATAAAATAAAATAAAAAACCCCAAAAACCCCAAAACACTAAACAAATACTAGCCAGGCATGGTGGCCCACACCTGTAGTACCAGCTACTTGGGACGCTGAGGTGGGAGGATCGTTTGAGGCTCCAGAGGTCGAGGCTGCAGTGAGCTATGATCGCACCACCGCACTCCAGCCTGGGCAACCGGAGTGAGACCCTGTCTCAAAATGAACAAACAAACAAACAAAAAACCCAACACCACCCGCCCTCTGAGACCCCCTAAGGGAGGAGCCTGAACTAGGGTAGCTGCAGCTCAGCGGCATGCTGAGGAGCCGACCCTATCCTGCAGCAGCCCAGCCCTTTCCCCACCCAGCATGGTCTGGGAGGGAGAGTCTGAGGACTGAGGGATGGAGTCCTCCCAGTTCAGGAGACCACAGGGGCGCCTTTCTTTGTGGAGCGTAGAATGGAGCTAGTGGGGGCCTGGGATCCATGCTTGAAAGTAGATCCCTCTCCCTTCCCCACAATCCCACCAACCTTTGGTAGGTTGTCTAAGGAGACAAGGACCAATCCTGGAGTCTTCTCAGGAAGGAATTACAGGCAGAGCCTTGGCACCACCTGCGCTGCGATACTGCAGGCACCTCCACGCTGACAAGGGCGCTGCAGTGTCAGCTGAGCTGGAGAACGTGCAGATGGATGTTCACTTGGCACAGGAAAACTCCCATGTGACAAAGTGGAGCGTGCTTGCGAAGCGTAAAAAATCATTTCATACCAAGTAGTTTGGCAGAGATTTTCAAGCTAGGAAATTGCCTCTTGATGGAGCATCCATTTAGAGCTGTGAATACAACCAAAAAAGAAAAAAAACACAAAAACAACCAACCTCTTTGCTGCCAACCACTCTCTCTGTCAGAGTCGCCTCCAAGTGCGTTCGGCATGGGGCTGGTTGGAAGGTGAAATCTTGGCCTGTGGCCAGCTTCTTGCTCCCTTAATCAGCCCAACATGTCTGTGGCTTAACTTAGTGTCAATACTCAAGACCCGGATGTGAGAGCTGATCCCTTAATGAGGCTTGCTAATTGCAGCCCGACCCGCTGAGTCTGAAGGATTAGCCTCTGTAATCTCGCTCCTGATGAAGCGTGTTGAGCTCTGGATCCAATTATCTTCCTGTTTTCCTGGCTCACTTAGTGGCCTTAGGCAGCCTGGACAACTCTCTGTCCTGGGTGATTAGATATAATTCCTCCAGGAGGCACAGGATTGGCCCTAGACCATCCCTCCAGTCATTTCTGTGAATTATCTCGGCCTGTTTGGCACCTCTCTCTGTATGAATTCACAAAAGCCAATAAACCTGAAGGAAATGAAACTGGCCATCAGTGCGGCAGGCTCATCTCGCTGGGCGGATGTCATGAGACTCGGCAGCACATCTGTGTTTGAAGGCTCTCAAATTCCGCCCTGTAAACAGCTGGAGGAGCTGTCCACATCCAGTAATTCTAGAAGTGTTACATGATTCATCCTGCCTCTTAATAAAATGATTGAGTCATGGCTGTCCTGCCTGCTCAGGGAGCATGCCAGGCCCGTCTGTGTTTCCCTGGACCCCCCTTTCATGTTGCTCTCCACTTTTGTGGATGATCCGATGAGCTCTGAGGCAGAACGCGGTGTATAATGTGTAATGATGATGTTCTAGGGGACAAATAAGAAGGGAGTCTCATTCACTCCAGGTCTCTATGGACAGTCCGCAGGCCAAGAATAAACCATTAAAATATTTCCACGCTGTGTTTTCCCCTCTGCCATCTGTAATAGATTTGAGATGTTTCAATAATTTTAAAGCGAAAAAACAATATGAGTCTGATTGCAGAGTGTGCACGCACACACACACAGACACACACACAGTGTGAACACCATCATTGTTCTCTGTGCCAACTTCTCCTGCACCTGTTTCTAGTGACATCACCTTTGTGCACCTCAGCCAAGAGCTCTCTTGTTCCCCTGAAGTTTCCAGAATTGGATCCTGGGCTGGGGGAGTCACCAACTGCCTCTATTTCCAGATGCAGAGACCTTCTGTCTCTAAGACCCAGGTCTTATCATCTACTTTGTGGCAGTGTCTTGTCCTGCATGGGGGACAGCTTCCTCAGAGATGCTCATCCCTGGAAGCTGACAGAGTCTGACAGCCTGCACTGATCTTCACCATAGCAGACAGTGACAGCTCAAGTTGACTGAGTACATGTTCTGGTACAGTCCCAACACTAAGAACTTTAAATAGATGATGTCATTCAGTATTCACAACATCCCTCATGGCATTCCCATTTTACAGATAAGTAAACTGAAGCTGAGTAATTGGCCTGAGGTTAGTTATACAATTAGTGAGTTGTATATATAAATGACTAGTGAACCAGGGATTCAAACCCAGGTGCTCTGCTTCCTGAGCCCACGTCAAACAGGTGGTGCTTGCCCCTGTCTGCACAATAGAAGCAGCCAGACAACTTTCAAAACTCCTGCTGTGAAGGCTTTTGCTCAGGCTAATCAAGTCAGCATTTACATCTCCCAGGTGACCCACTGTGCATCTGGGGTTGCGGACTGCTGCACTATGCCTCCTTTCCTGCACCCTGTCTCCCCAAAATTGTTCCCATTAAGCATTTGGTCCCTACCAATCAGGGCTTGTGGGTGGCTCATAGGGAAACCGCATCTCAACATTACCTTTCCCCAGGAGGGAGCCAGCTGGGATCAGGCTTCTTTCAGCCAAGTGTAGTGTGGGTTGGGGACAGATACCTGGATGATGAAGATCCTACCCCTGACTCCTTCTTCCCCTCCCCCAACCAGCCTACAACCGTTCTCTCTCTCACCCAGAGCTCTGGTTTTTATCCCCATGATCCACACGAGTGAGGGGCATAGTTGCACCATCGTTATCTAAACCAGTGGTTCTCAAAGTAAGGCCCGAGGACCCGTGTGTGTCCCCAATACCCTTTCAGGTGCTATGTGGAAAGTATATGTCCAACTACCTGCATGTGAGACACTGGATATTCATCATAAACTTCAACCAAAACAACATATCACAACAGATGGCACAAAAGCAGTTATGAAAGGGCAGCTATCTTTTATTGAGCCAGATACTAAAACAATGTGAAACAATGCCATTCTTCTCATGAGTTTTTTGAAATTATGACTATTTTTCATAAAAATTATGCAATATGGTAAATTGACAGCTGTAGCCTGGACAAACAAAACCTCTTTGGAATCCTCAGAAAAGGTCCAGGGACCATAAAGGTTGAGAGTCACTGATCTAAATCGTCTACTATTTTCTCAGGAAGCTCAGTCTCAGCAGATCAGAGGGGAACTAGTAGAACATTGGTTGCATTATATTTATATTACATATATTATGACTATTATTTTTATCAGAATTTTAGGTAATCTCCGTTTGAGGTATTTTTGTATTTGGAGAAATATCAGGTGGGTGATCAGATCTAAAATGGAAGAATGTTCTAAGGTCAGCTCACCTTAGAAGGTGTTTGGGAATGCCGGGGAGGGTGGTTACTTTTCTACTCAGACCTTGAGAGAAGAAACAGCCTTTCCTGGGAAGCGTTTACATTTAAGCCCTGAGTGTGTTGTGCAAAAGGAGCTGAGCCAGGAATCTGCCAAGAGGCTGAGATGTCTGTCCTGTCCCAGTCCCAACTCACCCAGGCCCCACCCTGTTGCCCACAACTTCCAGTGCCAGCCCCAGCGAGTGCTGCAGACTGTGACCGCTGTACTCCCCCACCCATCCCAGGACTGGCTCCTGACCGACGGACAGACTCTGAGCTCTTGGCTCTGCCGCCCTGGCCTTGGCTCCCTCTTGGGCCTCTGGCTTCTGTTTGTACTGGAACCCAGGCTTCTCCTAGTGGGCTGTGACAGGCTCCCCTGGCTCTTAGTCCTATATACTGTCTTTGGCAGGAGTCCCTGTCCCAGCTCCAGCTCCACAGACTTGGACATTGGCCACTTGGCCAGCACTTTGGTCAGGCCAGCCCTGGCCGCCTGGGATATCTTGGAGGATTTGGGCAGAGACAACAGGACAGAGAGGTCTGTTTACAGAAGTCCCTCTATGTAGATTGGCACCTGAATGCAGTTGTCATCTGTGATAGCCACAGGGATTACTTGAAAGCGGGGCATGGCAGGGAGTGAGCTGGACCTGCCCTGGGATTCCAGTGCAGCTGGAATCATGGTGCTATTTGTTTTTTGACACTGCAACCATTCTGCATTAAAAAACACCCTTTTCAATCTAAGCCTTCATTATTACTCGTGCAGTGAAATACTATGTAAAAAACCAATAATTATTTCTCGCTACCTTTTGCTAAGTCCCTTCCGTGTGCCAGGTGAGGTGATTCGTTCATTTTATAATTGTTTATTGAGCACCTACAGTGAGCCAGGCATTGCTCAAGGGGCAGTGAACAAAGCAGGCAGAAATTACCTGTCTCGATGGAGCTTACATTTTTGTCTGGGAGGAGTCAGACTATAAACTAATAAACAAAGTAAATTTCTGGTATGTCAGATGGTGATGGATGCTGGGGATAAAAATCAAGTGTGGTAAATTGGAAAAGAAGAAGTAAAATAGTCTCTCTGAGCAGATGACAGGATCTTTTATGTAGAAAACCCCAAGATTCCACAAAAAATCTGTTAGAACTAATAAATTCAGCAAAGCTACAGGATAAAAATCAACATGTAGAAGTCAGTTGCATTTCTATGCATTAATAATGAAGAATCCAAAATGAAATTGAGAAAACAATTCTACTTATCATAGCATCAAAAAGAATAAAATACTCAGGAATAGACTTAACCAAGGAGGTAAAGACTGTACATGGAAAACTACAAAATTGCTGAAAGTAATAAAAGGAGATACAAATACATTGAAAGGCATCCTATGTTCATGAATTGGAAGACCTCATATTGTTAAAATGTCAATACTACTAAAGCAATCCACAGTTTCAGTGCAATTCCTATCAAAATCCCAAAGATGATTTTTGCGGAAATAGAAAAACTCATCCTAAAATTCACATGGAATCTCAAGGGACTCTGAATAGCCAAAGCAATCTTGGAAAAGAAGAATAAAGTTGGAGGCCTCTCACTTCCTGATTTCAAAATTTACTGCAAAGCTACTATAATCAAAACTGTGGAACTGGCATAAAGACAGGCGTAGAGACCAATGGAATGGAATAAAGAGCCCCTAGAAATAAAACCTCACATAGGTGGTCAATGATTTCTGGCAAGGGTGCCAAGACCATTCAGTGAGGAAAGAGCAATCTTCTCAACAAATGATGCTGGGATAACTGGATATCTACAAGCCAAGTATGACGTTGGAAGCTTACCTTACAGCATATCCAAAATTTAACTCAAAATGGATTAAAGACCTAAATGTAAGAGCAAAAACTAATAAAAAATTCAAAGAAAGCATAAAGAAAGGGCTTCTTAACATTGGATTTGACAATGATTTCTTGGATAGAACACCAAAAACACAGGCTTTTGAAAAACGTAGATACATTTTTGGAATAAAAATGATCTAATTATTAAAAACAATTTTAAAAAGCATTTAAGTAAAAATTTATATAAAAATAAACTGGACTACATCAACATCAAAATCTTTTGTGCATCAAGGGACACTATCAACAGAGTGAAAAGGCAACACATGGAATGGGAGAAAATATTTGCATGTTATATGTCTGATAAGGGATTGATATCCCCAGAATAGATAAAAACTCCTACAACTCAACAAGAAAAAAACCAAACAACTAGATTAAAAAATGGTCAAAGAGTTGAAGATATAGTTCTTCAAAGATAAACAAATGGCCAATAAACACATAGAAAGATGCCCAACGTCACTAATCATTAGGCAAATACAAATCACAACCACAATGAGATACCACCTTACACCCATTAGGATGGTTATTATCAAAAAAAACAAAAAACCAGAAAAGAACAAGTGTTGGAGAGGATATGGAGAAACTGGAACCCATGTGCATTGTCGGTGGTGATGTGGGAATGTGAACTGATGTAGCCACTGGGGAACACAATATGGCATTTCCTTAAAGAATTAAATGTAGAATTACAATGCGATCCAGAAATTCCACTTCTTGGTATATACCCCACAGAAGTGAAAGCAAGGGCTCAGAGAGCTATTTGCATGTCCATGTTAACAGTGGCATTATTCCCAATAGCCAAAAGGTAGAAACAACCCAAATGTCAATTGGCAGGTGAATGGCATAACAAAACATACAAAACATGTTGTAATACATACAATGGGATGTTATTCAGCCTTAAAAGGGAAGGGAATTTTAATACATGCTATAACACGTATGAACCTGGAAGACGTTATGCTGAGTGAAACAAGCCAGTCACAAAAAGATAAATACGGTACACTGTTACATGAAGTATTTAGAGTGGTCAAATTCATAGAGATTGGAAGTGGAATGGTGGTTTCCTGGGTCTGGGGGAAAGGGGAAATGGGAGTTAGTGTTTAATGGGTGTAGATTTTCAGTTTGGGAAGATTAAGAAGTTCTGGAGATGGATGGTGATGATGGTTGCCAAACACTGTGAATATACTTAGTGCCAGAGAATTGTACACCTAAAAATAGTTGAAATAGTAAATTTTATGTTGTGTGTATGTTAATTTTTTTAAGTGAAGATGTAAAGGTGCTCAGAAGAGTCAGAGGGACAGGTGGGGGCCTCATGATGAGGTGACATTGGAGCAGATGCCTAAGAGGTGGGGGAGCGAGACAGCTGGAGGTCGGTGAACAGCATCCAGGCAGAGGGAACAGCAGTCATGAAGGGCCTAAGGTGGGAGTGTCCTGGGCTTGTTAATGGAATGTCAGTCACCATGTGGTGTGAGCAGAGTGAGAGAGGAGGAGAGAGGTGGTGACAACCAGGGAGATGGTGAGTCCCTGGAGTATGAAGGGCCTTATGAGGCATTTGATTTTCTTCAGACCGGATAAAATGGGAGGACTTGGAGGGACTGAGTGGAGCAGGACCTGTCTGACTGGGTCTCCGGGCTGCTGGCTTAGAAATATACTATATGAGAGGCAGGACTGCAAACAGGGAGCTGAGCAGTCACCAGGGAGAGAGGTGGTGCTAGCTGGGACCAGAGTGACTGCAGTCAAGGTGATGAGAAGTGGCAGGAATGGGGATTCTACTGAAGGTCAAGCAGTAGACAGACACTGATACATGGAAGTGGAGTGAGAGAGGGGAAAGAAAATGCGATTCCCTGGTATTTGGTCTGAGCAACTCAACTAGAAGGATAGGGTCACCGTATACTGGGTGGGAAGCCTAGAAGAGATGTTAGGTTAAATCTGGAGCTAGTCTTTAGATGTGATCATCTAAACATGTTTGCGATGTTTAGGGTCAAGGTATGGGGAAGCCATCAACATAGAGATGAATTTAGAGCCATAAGGCTGGAGGGATCCCCATGGCATGGGTGTTGACAGAGAAGGGGAGGCCCAAGGGTGGAGCCTGGTGGGAAGGACCAGAAAGGAGACTGGAGAGAAGTGGCCATAGAGGTAGGGACAAGTGTAAGAGGGCTCATAAGCATTTTACATACATTACTCCATTAAATTATCATAGCAAATCGGAAAGTAAATATGGTGCTCATTTTACAAGTCAGGGGACTAAGATGTAGAGAGAAAAGGTAACTTGTCTAAAGTTCATAGTAAATGAAGCAGAGGCAGGATTCAAGCCAGTTGGCCCAACTCCACAGCTGTGTATGGTGCAACTCCACCCTGCAGAGTCTTTCTGTTGTGATGGGGACAGAACAGAGGGATGGGAGAATTGAATCTTGTAACTCAAGATGAGTAGGAGACCATCTCTGTCTTCCAAGTGTGCACTGTCTCGTGGGCCAGGGGCTAGAGTGCATCCATCACAGGACAGTGGCTCAGACAGGGGCCATCAGCGCGGGCAGCCCTCCTGGGTGAGCCGGGGTTGACACTGGCCACGGAGGCTGCACAGAGCCCAGCACTGACCTCCTGTGTGTATGTGGGGTTGAGGGAGGCTGTCCTCATGATAGCACCTGGGGAGAGGCCACACCACTTCAAGGAGTCGGGGCAGGTGTCCTATTTTAGGGCTGTCCAAACATAGAATGTGGGTAGCATTAGTGGTTTCCAGTGGCTGCCTTCCTGCCACAAGACAAAGCTGGTCTTGGGCATGTGAGCCGAGTTCAACTATTGGAAGCTCGCATTGGGACCAGCCAGCAGGCAGGAGTTTTGTGCAGTTGGAGAAGGCAGGGTTAGCATTCATGTTGGCAGCAGCGGCCATGCCCAGTTGGCGCTGTGACTTCTGGGCCACATTGAACCTGAAACCCTGCAGTGTTTTTCCCTTTGGTTCCTGGCACGGGGGCCAACTTGGCTCTTACTAGTTTTCCAAGTCTGCTTTTCTACCTTCTACTGACGCTGTGAGGCTTGGATAGATGAGTCAGTTACAGACAGACACTATAAAAAGATGCACAAACCATAACTGGGAAAAATGCTGACAAATTTCTCATTATCAAAAATGATGCATGTTCATTACAGGAAAGTTAAAAATGCAGACAGGTAAAGACACATACACAATTGCAAAATTCTATTGTCCAAAAATAATGCATATCCCAATCTGGTCTTTGAAATGTATCATATATGAATTTATACTTATATTGTTTTGAAAAGGGGATATGGGATGGTCATAGTACAATTTTCTCACCATCATGCAGTGGTTATGGGTTTCTGATTTTGGAGTCAGATAGAACAGGGTTCATGACTGGCTGCTCCTTCACTGAGGAGCCATGTGGCCTTGGGCTAGTTTTTGAATTCTTTGCATCTCAGTTTCTTTCTCTGTGAAGTGTGGACGATAACATTCTTACCTTAAAGGGTTGATGGGAGGCTCAAATGGCATAACACGTGGTAAGTTGTCCAGACAGTGTTTGGGCACATAGGAAGTGCTGAATGAATGCTCAGTGGTAGTACTGCTTGACAATCCAGTTTTTAAGTAGTCATGTGGTATATTTATCTCTCACAATGTAGAATAATGGGAACAATATTTGCTCATGGGCCAAAAATTATAAGCAACCATTAATTTCCATTAAAATGAATGTAGAATGCTGCATAAAAAAAGTAAGCTTGTACATCAAGCTGGTAATGTCAATAAGATACGTTCATTATTACCTGCCACCAATATCAATCGATTCTGTAATTACACTAATAATCAGAAACATTTTCGAAGTAACTAGGAATTGTAGTAAGCATGTGCTGCCAGGGGAAGAGGTATTACATTTGTGGCAATAATTTGGAAAATCCTACACTGTCAGGGTCCTGCAATAATGTCGTGAAAAGAGAAAAATATCTTTAGACAGAGCCATGGGAATGTCACCTTTCATCAATCCTGCACTGGGCTTTCCTGGAGTAGTCAAAGGCCCTTGGAGAGAACAGAAGTACGTGGCTACAGCCTTTGTTACAGAATGCTCCCAGGATCTGTGCAGCTGGCCTACTATGTGGCCCCTGGAACCAGCAAGAAGTAAGAAGGGCTAGACATGGAGGATGTGGTCAGAGGGTTAGATTTTCTTGCAGTGGTAACTGGAGTCATTGGAGGTGTTCACTATGGTTGGGGGAGAGAGGAGGGAGGAAGGAACACAATGTGATACTTAGTTTAAAAATGTTGTAGTACCTTGATCCAAATTTACAGGTTGCTTCAAAACATATATGGAAATGCAAAAGACCTAGAAGAGTTAAAACAATTCTAAAAAAGGACAAAGTTAGAAGACTCACTACATGACTTCAGCCCTTATATTATAAAGCTGCTCAAGGTCATGGGGTATTGGCATAAGGAAAGACAATGAGATCAATGGAATGGAATGGCAGGTTCTGAAAGAAACTCACACATATATGACCAATTGAGTTGCCAAGGCAATTCAATGGGAAAAGCAATGTCTTGGCAGTAAACGATGCTGGAACAACTAGATAAGCATATGGGAAGAAAGTTAACTTTCATCCCTACCTCATGCTACACACAAAACTAATTTGAGACACATTAGATGCCTAAACAGAGACTCAAAAATTACTACATTTGTAGAATAATAGAGGAGAATGTCCTATTAGGATAGGCAGGGGTTCTTAGAGGAGACTCAAAAATCACTTGAACATATAAACGAAAATATACTAATGAACTGGTCTACAATAAAATTAAGAACTGCTGTTCATTAAAAGACATCATTAAGAGAATAAAAAGGCAATGTACAAAGTAGGAAAAAATCTGTAATGCATATATCTGACAAAAACTTGTGTCCAGATATAAAGGATTTGTTCCCATACTATATAAAAATCCCTAGAACTTGACAATAAAAAGACAAACAGCCCAATTTTAAAAATGTGGCCAAAGACTTGAACACTTACAAATGGCCATTAAGCATATGCAAATGTGCTCATATCTCTAGTCATCTGAGAAATACATCTTTAAACTATAGTGATATAACATTACACTCCCTCCAGAGTAGCTAAAATTGGAAAAGACTGACAATGCTGGTAGGATGTGGAGAAACTAGAACTCTCATTCATTGTTGCGAGGAGTGTAAAATGGTACAACCATTTTCAAAAACTGTTTGGCTGTTCCTTACAACACTAAAACTACACTTTAACCACACAGTTGCATTCCTAAGGATTTACAAAAGAGAAACAGACACATGTCCCCAAAAAGGTTTGTACACAAATGTTTATGTCAACTTTGTTCATAAGAGCCTGAAACTGGAAGCAACCCAGTTTCACTAAAGAGTTTTGTTTAGACAAATTATAAACTATTCATAGATGGAAACCATTCTAATAATGAACTATGGATATCCTTAGTTTAACATAGATGCCTCATTTGCATGGAAGAAGGCAGACCCTGAAGAGCACATACTGTTTCCTGCTTGTGTGACTTCAAGAACAAGCCAAACTAGTGGATGGTGATACAAAAAGAAGTGTTAGGCTGGGGACGATCGTGGCTCATGCCTGTAATCCCAGCACTTTGAGAGGCCGAGGCAGGAGGATTGCTTGAGACTAGGAGTTTAAGACCATCCTGGGCAACATGGTGAGACCCTAGTTTCCAGAAAAAAAAAAATTAGCTGGCTGTGATGGCAGACCTGTCATCCCAGCTACTCAAGAGGCTGAGGCAGGAGGATTCCTTGAGCCCAGGAGTTTGAGGCTACAGTGAGCTACGATCACACCACTGCACTCCAGCTTCAGCTATGAAGCAAGACTCCATCTTTAAGAAACAAAGAAAGAAAAGAGAACAGTGGTTGCCTTTGAAGGTGGGTACTAACTGTAGAGGGGCATGGGGATGCCTGCTGGGGGAAGGGAATGCCCTGTGCTCTTGATTGATATGATGGTTACACAGGTAGATAATTGAACATAACTCATGCGCTTAAGCTCTGTGCATTTCACTGGCTGTAAATTTTACCTTAGTAATTACTCATAATAAAAAGCTCATGGTGCCTGATATTTGGGGCTGGGTGGACAGAGGAGGCCTGTCAAGAGGCTGTTACTATAGTCCAGGGCACAAGAGTCTGGTGAAGAGATGTAAAAAGTGGCCAGACTTGGCCAGGCACAGTCGTTCACGCCTGTAATCCCAGCACTTTGGGAGGTGGAGGCGGGCGGATCATGAGGTCAGGAGTTTGAGACCAGACTGGCCAGCATGGTGAAACCCCATCTCTACTAAAAATACAAAAAAATTAGCCAGGCATGGTGGCGCGCACCTGTAATCCCAGCTACTCGGGAAGCTGAGGCAGGAGAATCGCTTCACCCTGGGAGGTGGAGGTTGCAGTGAGCCGAGATCGCACCATGCACTCCAGCCTGGGTGACAGAATGATACTCCATCTCAAAAATAAATAAATAAATAAATAAATATAAAAAAAGAAAAAAAAGAAGTGGCCAGACTTGGGGTCTTTTGGAGGGAAGGTCAGGGCTGGTTAGCCCAGGAGGTGAGAGTCTTGCTTAGAGCTGGCAAAGGAGGCCGTGTGGGTTAACATCAGAGGAAAGACAGCTCAGACTACACATCCAACCTATTCTGAATCATGGCGGTTTTAGTTGAGGAGTATATATGTCTTTTACAGACTACTCTGTGAAAACATACATTTTTTCAGAGTTTATAACAGATTATTACATCACAATGATCTGTTACATCAAGTGCTCTACAAAGAAAGGGGAGTATTTTAAGAAAAGCTATCTTCCTCTGTTTGAGGCTGAATTTATTAAGTATTCATGTGAATAGCATGGACTGTAATTTAGGATAAACTATAAGCTGGGGTATAGTACTCATAAATTTATGGAATTATTATTATTTAAAATCACTACAAACTTACATGCTACTACGGAGATTGAATTTGGTTTGAATATATTAAGTGTAAATGAAGGCAGCTATTGATACAGTAGAATTGCTGCAATTCTACTGCTGCAATGTAGAAGAGCACATAACTATTGATTGATCATTATCATCGTAGCCCATTCAGTTAGTGCTGCCATTTCAATGAGAGGTGAAACTTGTCAATATTAGACATTCTTTAATTAAGAACAATTAATCAGAAATAAAATAAGAATTGAAGAAGATAGGGAATTTGTGTGTGAAGAAGATGTTAAAATATATACCAGTAAGGCAGTCATTCTTATTAAGCTTATTCTCAGTTCTGGAACTTTGGTTTGGCATCTGGAGATGGATGAGTACAAATATATGCTTAAATCAACATCAGAGAATTAATAGCAAACTCCTATTGTCATTTCCCATGAGATCTAATAGCAAAGGTCACTATCTCCTGCAGAGACAAGGGAAGGGAAGTAATTGTCATAGGCAATTTATAATGCTCTATGATGGCTAAATTTTGGATTGATTCTTCAGTAAATGTCCTTGCAATTAATTTCAAAGTGGTGAGTAAAAATGACCGCAGTTGGACACCATTAATGGCAAAGTCATACTCCTGCACTGACAGTGTTCGTGAAGAGAATGAAATATGAAGAAAGCTATGAATAGTTGGAAATTCGGGGGGCTGTGCTTACTCCTGATTATTTCAGTTTGGCTAAAACAGAGCTGGCATCAAGGAAGGGTTTGTTGTGATGATTCCAGAGAGGGTGACTCTCAGGAAGATGAACTGGGGGCCCAGGACAGGTTGATGTCAGGTGCTCTCTGGGAACAAGGCTGGTGGTGAAAAATAGGGGTGGACCGATGAGGAAGGCTGGGCCACTCAGGGTCCCAAGACTTCTTCTGGCTTAATAATGAGGAGCAGGGAGGGCTGGTGGCAAGATGTCCAGATGAGAAACCTGAAGCTCCGGATTCTGATAAAGGATACTGCTCTCCACTTCCCAGGTGACTCTGGTGGGACAAGTCATTTGACCTCCCTGAGCCTGGGATTTCCTGTCTGTTACATGGGGTCAGTCTTTCCTGTCCTGTTAGCCTCCCGTGTAGGGTTGTTGTGAGGATCTGTGCAACAAAGGACACTTAGGCCCTCTAAAAGAGTCTGCAACTATCTGCTTTAGTTGTCTTTTATTATTTGTTGGTAATAACTTCAGCAGTGTGAGCTGAAGCTGGAGCCATGCAGTGGTTTATATACTCAAGCCTGGAGATATTTTAGGAAATAATCAATACAAGATGCATTGGGTTGGAGCCATGGTAAGAGTCATAAATCTTGACAGCCTGCTGTTTGTTCAAATTAATAATGGTTGAGAGAAACATTGTAAAAACCTATGGGAGGGAAAAATCTAGAGTGTGTTTGGGGTGAGAGCTTTAGCCAGTGTGGAAACTGAAAGTCATTCAAGGAAGGTTAGTTATCATCCTGCTGCTGGTGGAGCAGTGTAGAAACACAGACACACACACACACTTGCACACACACGTGTGCATACAGATGCACACGCACATATAGACACACACATGCATACATGGACACATGTGCACACAGGCACATGCACACACATGTACATACACATACACATGGGTAACAAGCACCAGTTTTTTTGGGTGGATCTCAGAAGAGACTGGCAAACAAGGACAACTAGCACTGATTTCAACAATGGACAGCTGCACTTTGCCCACTCAAGGGCCTATCACCTTCTAAGAAAATGCTGGCTGCCTCTGAATTTTTAAAATGAAACATGTACAGTGTTTTTGCCATGCCTCATTTGTCACTGGTGGAGAAGAGTGTGTTCGTATAGCCTTGGGATTTGTGGCTGTTGTGTACAGTGAGTGAGGAGAGGGGATTGGGACCTCATGATTTTTAAATCATCAAAGCCTTGATATGGTCTATAGTTACAAAGTAAACATACTGCTTTTCCTGTGTCCAGGGTGCTCCCAGACTTCCCAATCCTCCACCCTCACATCAAGATGGTCACTGAAGCTGGGTACCATGGCGCATGCCTGTAGTCCCAGCTTCTTGGGAGGCTGAGCCAGGATGATCGTTTGAGCCCAGAAGTTCATGTACAGCCTGGGCAACATAGCGAGACCCTGTCTGTACAAAAAAAAAAAAGATTGTCAACAGAGCTCCAGCCAGGCATTCTTTGTTGGTTGGGGCATCAGTGCAGAGAGGCTGCAGGCTGTGGCACACATTGGAGGAGCTGGGCAGAACCGTGGGGGTGCCGGCCTGTAAAGTGAACACCAGGAGCTGGGAGGGACAAACCTGGAGAAAGCAAAGCAAGGCACGAGGCGAGTCGGTCGCAGGGTTGCAGGCTGGCCTCCATGCGGATGCAGTTGACTATTGTATAAGAAGAGTCTTTAACACTAACAAGGTTAGAGACCAGAAAGCCACATTAAAAAAAGATGAAAACATTTACTTTAGTAGAATGATGGAATTGTTTCTTAATTTAAAAACTGCTTTTACTGTGTTTATTTTTTATTATAAAAGTAACATGCATTTCTTATAAAAACTGTGAATTTAACAAGTCAGAAAACCATAAGGAAACCTTGATACTGAGTCTATCATATTTTCAGGCAGAGAAAACAAAGAATTTTGTCAGCCGAAGCCTTGTCATAGGAGAAGTCCTCTCCATGGCGGACATGGCCACAGGAGTGAAGGTGAGAGGCGCCGGGCACCTGCCCTTCATGAATGCATGCTCGCTTTGCATGCCAAGGAATGAAAACTATAACCCCGTGAGCTCTCTCAGTCTATGTAGTGGCACAGGTGTTGGTAAAATTGCATACCTCAAAACCTGTGCCTGACTTCCCTTTTAACTATCATATCCTATCCTGTTTTTGTTTCTAATTTGCTTTTCTTCTTTGTATAGTTTTGTTACATTTGTATCAATTGGTTATTTTCCTTTGTCTTAGTTTTATGAAAACAGTATCATAATCCTTTGTGATTTTCTTTCTTCACTTAAATATTATTGCTAAGATCGATTCATATTGTGTGTTCCTGTATTCATTAAATTTTAAAATAAAAACCTTTTCATTTTGAAATAATAATGCTCACAGAAAGTTACAAAAATAGTACATAGGGTCATGAGAACCCTTTAGTCATGGTGACATCTTATGTAGCAGTAATGCAATGTAAAATCAGGAAATCAATATTAGTACAGCACTGTTAGGACATAGACCCTATTCAGATTTCACGAGTTTTTACATGCACTCAGTTGTGTGTGTGTGTGTGTGTGTGTGTGTGTGGTTTTATGCAGTTTGACCCTATATGTAGATTCATGTAACCACCACCACAATCAAGATATAGAACTGTTCCATCATCAGAAAGAAACTTCCGGGTCCTACCCGGAAGTTTCATTTGGCCTCCATTCCACCCCTGTCCTTTGGCAAGCACTAATCTGTTGTTCTCCATCTCTATAGTTTTGTCATTTGGGGAATGACATAGCAATGGAAGATCATTCATTTTTGACTGCTGTATAATATTCCTTTGTGTGAATATACCACAGCATTTATTCATCCACTTTCTCATGTTGTTTCCAGGATTTTGCTAATGTGAAAAGTGCTGCTGTGAATACTCTTGTCCATGTCTGGTGTTGAACATGGGTAAAATCTTCCCTTAGGTATTCAACTAGGAATGGAATTGCTAGTTACAGGATGAATGAATGCTTAACTTTAAAGAGTAGTGTTAATCTATTCTCCAAAGTTAGTGCATCAATTCACATTCCCACCAACAGCATGTAATCGGATCCTGTGGACCCATATCCTCTTCCATACTTGGAATTCTTAGACTTCTCCATTTTTTTGCAAATGGTTATAAAATGGCATCTTATTGTCTTGAGGGAAGACAATTATCTTGCATGTTCCTGCTTACCAAGGAAGGCGAACAAAATAGCTCAGGTGGGCGTGTCTGCTGCAGCCACTCGTGCTGCCCAAGCCTTCCAGCAGAGAGTCCTTCATGGGGCCCTCCTTTCCCTCCCTGGACACCACTGGATCTCAGAATGATTCCTCATATCCAAACACCCAGTCGTGATGTCCCCAAAGAGGAGAAATTACAACTAGAACATGAAGACAGAATGATCAGACAAGAAGCCAGGTCAGTTGGCAGTGAGTCCAATATGGTGGTGATTTCAGTTTGGTGTGGACATTGTCTATTGGTAGGTAGGAATTAAAAACAAAGATATCTGTGAGTGCCATCTTGTCGTGAGGGTGTCCACCATCAGATTTTTCCAGGAAGACTGGGCTCCCTGTGATTTCAGCCAGGCACGATCTCTTCCCTCTTGGATGGGTTGGCTGTGGCTTTCAGAGAGAGCAGCTAGCTGAGATGCAACAGATAAATAAATAAATCCTGTCTCAGAAATACCGGAGGATCCTGGTCCAGACTCTCATGATCCCCAGTTTGTGCTTTTACCATGTTGCACCCCCACCCTACTCTGCCATCTACTTTCTCTTCAGCAAGCCTCCGTGGATTGTGACCATGAGGACAGCTCCACAGGTGGTGGCAGCTCTCTGGGTGGGGAGCCCTCTCCTCTGGTCTCCAGGGTCTTGCACTGAGCCTAGTCCATGGAGTTTCACAGGGATCGTCTGAATGAATGAGGGAAGGGGCAGCCTGTAGCATAAAGCAGACTTAAGAAGCATTTTAACCAATTGCAATATGTGTGTCTTATTTACATCTTGGTTCAAACAACAAACTATTTGTAATGAAAAATTATGTATCAGTTGGGGAAATCTGAGCATTGGACATCTGATGATATTAGAGAATGATCATTATATTTTTAGGTGGGATAATGGTTTTAGGGCTATGTTTTTAAAAAGAATCTGTATCTTTTACATATGTATTGGAAATATTCAGGGAAGACATGATATGATGTCAGGGATAAACATCAAGATAACCTGGGATGTAGGAAGGGAAAGTAGGTAGGGGTGGCGGGGGGAGGGAGATGAAGGAAAATGGACCATGAGCTGACCATCCTTGAGTTCATTAGATGCTTCTATTTCATTGAATTTTTCCATAATAAAATTTTTTTCTGAAAACTCCTGAGTATCCTAGAAGGAAATTGGCATAGACTTAAAGAAAATGTCCTTTGAAATACTTCTCTGAGGCCGGGTGCGGTGACTCACGCTTGTAATCCCAGCACTTTGGGAGGCCAAGGCAGGCGGATCACAAGGTCAGGAGATTGAGACCATTCTGGCTAACATGGTTAAACCCTGTCTCCACTAAAAATACAAAAAATTAGCCGGGCGTGGTGGCAGACGCCTGTAGTCCCAGCTACTCGGGAGGCTGAGGCAGGAGAATGGCGTGGACCCGGGAGGCGGAGCTTGCAGTGGGCTGAGATGGCACCACTGCATTCCAGCCTGGGTGACAGAGCAAGACTCCGTCTCAAAAAAAAAAAAAAAAAAAGAAAAAGAAAAAAAAGAAATACTTCTCTGATCACTCCAGTCTCCTGCTTAAAACCCCTTCCTTCCCATTATGCTTTAGAAACATCCTCTAATCCTTGATGTTGCCCATGGGTCCTTGCAGGTGTGGCCCTGGTCACATCTGTTCCACTCTCCTCTTCTTCTGGTTCCTTTTACCCACCTTTGGACCACTTGCTTCTAGCCCTAGCTTGGTCTTTCCCCTCCTTCTCCTGGCTGACAACTATTCATTCTTCATGTTCCAGCTAACGTGTCCTTCCCGCAGGGATGCCCCTCTCAAGCCTTCAACTTGAGTCCCATCCACTCGCTGTCACCTGTCTTTGCTTCTTACAGTTTTCTGCCATAACGTGTACCCATTTTGAATCTATATATTTATTCATGGAATTACTTTATGTCTCTTACTACCACAAGAGGGAAAACTCCTTGAAAACTATAACCCCTACATTCTTGGTACATAATAGGTGTCAATACTTGAGTATTAAATAAATATATAAAATCAAAACGATATGGTTGTTTCTCAAAAAGTAGGACATAAAAATTACCATACAGCCCAGCATTCCACTAACTGGATATATACCCCAAATAATTGAAAGTAGGGACTGAAATAGATACTTGTGTGCCAGTGTTCATTGCAGCATGATTCACAATAGCTAAAAGCTGGAAACAAGCCACATTTCCGTCAACAGAGGAGTGGGTAAACAAAATGTGGTATAAACTCAAAATGGAATATTGTTCAGCCACAAAAAATAGTGAAGTTCTGACACATGCCACCATGTGGATGAACCTTGAAATTATTAAGTGAAGTAAGCCAGACATAAGAGGACAAATATTGTATGAGCCTACTTATATAAAATATCTAGAATAGACAAATTCATAAAGACAGAAGGTAGATTAGAGGTAACAAGAGGTTGGAGGGAGGGGAGAATGGGAGTTATTGCTTAATGGGTACAGAGTTTTTTTTTGGGATGATGAAAAAGTTTTGGAAATAGTGGTGATGGTTGTACAACATTATGACTGTACTTCATGCCACTGAATTGTATGCTTAAAAGTGGCTAAAATGGCAAACCTTATGCTGTATGTATTTTACCAGAAATAAAAATGACAATTAAAAATTATTATTAACTATGCTGTCCCACACATCAGTAATTGTGGGAGATTTTTCTTTTCCTGGAGCTTGGAAATCCTAGACAATTAGAGGAAACTATAGACTGTGCAGCCCCCAAGTCCTGACCAGGAGGACCATGGCTGTCTTTTCTATTGGTGGTGGAGGAGATGCCAGGAGGGCATGTGGTGTGCTGGGAACAGTTCCTGTGAGCTCTGGGTCAGTCAGGGGTTCCCCAGATCCCCCTGCCAGCTCAAGAGCCACTGGTGGTCCCTGCCTTTCACATGAGCTGGCTGTCAACCTGAGGAAGGGACGTCAGCATCAATTCATCAAAATCAGCTGTGCCCTGCATGTTCAAGTCCCTTTTCTCTCTCTCTCCAGGTCTGTTTATCCAGTGGATTTGCATTTCCCTGAGCACCTTGGACAAACTCATTTGTACTCACACAGCCAAGTGCTGGCAGGGCTGGGGGCTGGCTCTGAGAGTGGCTCACAGCGACAGGGGTGGGCATATTAGCAAAGTGCCAGGGAAAAAGATTGTCTTTATTGGTGCTTTGAATCCCCACTCTAGCTTGTGAGCCAGCCCAAGTTTCCTGCCAAAAGCATGGGTGCAATCTGGAAGGACTCTAACTAAAGCTGAAAGAAATGAGACATGCTTCCTTTTCTGCTTCTCCATGGCTGTTCTATTTTGCCTTATTTGAACCATCCTATTATCTGTCTTAGCCTGCTTGGACTGCTATAACAAAATACCATGGGCTGGATGAGTTAAACAGCAGAAATTTATTTTTCCACCTTTCTGGAGGCTGTAAAGTCTAAGATCATGGTGCCAGCATGGTCAGGTTCCAGTGAGGGCCCTTTTCCTGGCTTGCAGACAGCCACCTTCTCATTGTGTCCTCATTGGTGAAGAGAGGTGCTGCTTTTTCTTCCTCTTCTTTAAAGGCACCAATCCCATTATTGGAGTCCCACCCTCATGAGCTCATCTAACTTTGATCATTGCCCAAAGTTTCCATCTCCAAATACCATCACACAGCGGGTAGGGCTTTAACATATGAATTTTGGGAGGACAAAATTCAGTCCATTTCTGGAGTCCCCGTTGTCTCAAAAAACACTTCCAGTTTTCCATTTGTGGAAATTTGCTCTTGGAATTAGGAAATCCTGAATACACTTGAAGTCTCTTTAGGAGGCCCTTGTTGGGCTGTTGTTTAGGAATGGCCTGGCCTATTGCAGCCGGGGAGCCGGCAGGCTTCCTGCCCATGGGACAGACCTCACGGGTCCACTGGGACAGGGGCACACTCAGAACAACAGAGTTGTACATGCTACCTCTAGGACTTCCCAGCCACACTTTTGGCATGTTCCTTTGTACATATGTACCTTAGCTTTCTCCTCCCTAAAGATGGCATTGCTAAAGCCCATTCACAGGCTGTGTGTAGATTTAAATCAGTAATGCCTACAAGGATCCCCGTGCCAAACCTGGCAGGTAGCAGGAGCTCCATAAATGGTGGGGACTGTAACCTCCTGGGACGTGGCTGGGGGCCCAGCCCCACAGTCTTCCAGGTAGTGGCTCCGTTGGTGGGTTGAGGTGATACCAGCCTGCCTTCCCAGCTCTAACCCACCAGATTTCCCTTCCACTTCAGGATGTCTCCTTTTAGTCTTTATTTAGAAGCTAAGAAGCCCTGCCATAGCCCCATCCTTTGGTCCCTGTGACCTGTCCTGGCTACACCTCCCAGCCCTCAGCTGTCTCACACTGTGGCCTCTGGAAGCTGCCGACCCTCATTGGGCATGTTATGATCATTACCTCGTGTGCTCGATGTCATAGCTGTCCTTTTTCTTCTCCTGATAAGTGGGAAAAGAGAGAGGAGGCTTTCTCAAGCAAGGTGGGTGCATGTTTGAAGTTCGAGTTTTCATTAGGTATCCCCCAACCAACTCTACTTTTTCTCTCTTACCACTGCTTTTCGCAGTCTCTCTCAGAGCAAATGGTCCTCTCTGTGTCCTGTTCCCTGAGGTCTGCCAGGGGCAGGACGCTGGGTAGTCTGACAGGAGAACCACAGTGTCCTCTCGGAGGACACTCTGCGACATTCCCACGTGATCGGTTGATGCCTACCTCCCATTAGCCTCAGGATTTCTGTTTTAAGGAGTCCATACCCTCCTCCTGGCTCCTCCCAGCCCCTCCTCCAAGCTGTTCCACTGCAGTCAGTGGGTCTCCATCTTCTTGGAAACTCAGGCCACACACCCAGGTGTCTCTCAGAGTCCTCTTTTTCCTTCTCCTCCCAAATCCATCCCAACAACTCTGTCTCCAGAATCTACCCTGAATCCCTCTACTTCCCCACTTCCCTGTCTGCCTCCTTCCTGGCCTGTGGGCTGGGGCCCATGCCCCTCCCAGAAGGCACCTGCTGAAAGCATGTCAGGCCAGGGAGCCCTCCACTTCCAATCCCCAGGAGCTCCACCTGCATTTGGCCCAGCTTGGTTGGATTAGCTGCCCTTCAGAGAATGTGGCTTTTGTGGGAAATGAACCCCACACTTTACCTGACTGTGTGGATTGAGGTCATGCAGACACTGCCTCTGTCAACTGCTGCAGTTTCCTGCAAACTTACAGGTTCACTTCCACAGCCCAGGGTGCCTACTAAGACATTTAGTGAATGGGGGCTTTCAAAATGTGGATAAAACACTCTAGGTTTTTTTTCCTCTTCCTAAAGAGGAGGAAAGGATTTAAAACCTAGAAGAGGAATTTATTGTCAAGAGTGCATTAGGCACCAGCCAAAGAGATTTAGAGGTGGAAAACCTAACTTGTTTGAGTTTTAGAAAAATATTTTTTTAAACTTAACTCCCAAGATGGTTTAGGGAAAAAACACGTACCATTTGGGTTGCTTCCATTTCCCATGTTGGAATTAGTAATGCAATTTGCAGTGCCTGCGATGATTCTGTAGAGAAGTGAGCTGAGTCTTCAGGGTGTGAATCATCTTCCCAGGATACTTTATGATTCTCCAAATGAAAAGCACTTCACATGTCAGATGTGATTAGTGAAATTCATCTGTCCTGATGCCAGAGTGTGTTAGCTGGTCCGAGCTGCTAGAGTTGATCAAGTACCATTTCACAAAGTTAATACCAGGTTGTTCATACACGTGGGGTATGAACAGAGAGCTCATCCAGATGCAGTGACCCCAGGAAAAAAGTCGACTCTAAACTTGCCTAAGCAAAAATGGTACTTATTGGCTGCTGTAATTCAGGAGTCTAGGATGCAGCAGGCTTCAGGTCTGGGTGTGCAGGACCTGGTCTCTGCCATCTCTCAACTCTGCCTCCTTCCCCCAACCGGGTCCTCATACATTGGCTTCATTCCCCAGCTCATGGCTGTATGGCCCCAGGCTTCCATCCCTCCAGATTTCATAGCCTCACAAAAGAGGGCTTCTCTTCCACAGTAGCTTAGCCTTGTGTCCTGGCTTCTACTCCAAATGGACACACCCAGATCATGAATCCATCCTGAGAGCCATTGTCTGGCCAGATGAGCCAGTCCTGGGCTCCCAACTCATCCTAAAGCTGGGATGGGGTGGGGTCAACATCACCCACAAACCACTTGGACAGATTCTAGGGGAGGAGGGCTCCCCAGATGAAAACTGGGGTTGTATAGCTAGGAGGGGGAAGGAACTCTGACCTGCAGGCACAGCAATGTCCCTACATTCAAGTTCTTCTGTCTTTGCAGTCAGTCACCCTGCTCCTTCCAAACGGCCCTGCTCAAGCCACTCTGCCTCTTCCTGTTTCTTCTCCTTCTCCTTCTCATCCTCATCCTCTTTGTCTTCCTCCTTCTCTTTGTCAGCAACACTTTTCCAGGGTTTACAAAAGACCAGGCAGGCTGGGCATGGTGGCTCATGCCTGTAATCCCAGCACTTCAGGAGGCCAAGGTGGGAGGATTGCTTGAGCTCAGTAGTTTGAGACCAGCCTGGGCAACATAGCAAGACCTCATCTCTACTAAAAATAAAAAAAACTTAGCCAGGTGTGGTAGTGTGTGCCTGTAGTCCCTAGTCCCAGCTACTCAGGAGGCTAAGGCAGGAGGATCGCTTGAGCCTGAGAGTTTGACAATGCAGTGAGCTATGATCATGCCACTGTCCTCCAGCCTGGGTGAAAGAGTGAGACCCTGTCTCTTAAGAAAAACAAAAACAAAAAACCCACAAAAGGCCAAGCAAAGGCTTGGTGGTTGACTCTCACTGAATCCTCATGGTCACTATATGAAGTATTATAAGGCATTAGGTAGCTTGGGTTTCAGCCTCAGCCCTTCCCACTTTCTTAGGATGTGGGTGAGACACTTTCCCTCTATGAATCCCAATTTCCCATGTTAAATGGGGATGATGATGCTTTCTCTCCAGGGTTGTTGTGAGAGTCAGTGAGCTTGTAAGCTCAGTAGCTCAGTAAATGGGTACTCTCACCATTCATTTATCAGATGAGGAAGCTGAGGCTACAATGTCATTTGTCCAAGATCCTGCAGCCGGTGGGTAGCTGAAGTGGGATTGAAACCCAGGGTGCTCATCCCAAGCTGCATGCTTGCTCCTTTTGCAGCGTTGCCTCTTCCATCCACCTTCCTGTAAGGAAACACTTTCTCATGGCAGGACTCACCTCCACAGACGGGTCAGCATCGAGGGTCATTGCACACACACTTTGTTACATGTCTTCTGCATCAGGACCTAAGCTAGATCCTGAGAGGACAAAGCAGAATGAGCTTTCAGAGCATTCATTTGTTGGGGGGATCTGGGAGGCCTGAGGATGGAGGATTGACTTTCTGTGTCAGTCCTGAGCGACTCATGAGCCATGTCTGCAGAGAGAAACTGGAGCTCACCAGGCAGTGAAGAGGAAGGGCAAAGAAGCATGCCACTTGCAGGGCTTAGGTCAAGCACAGGGGGCTGAATAGCTGCTCCCTGATTGGAGTTTGGCCGTGGATTTAATTGTCTTTAGATTGCTGACTGTTGCTAATGATGGTTTGTATTGTCCTTGTTTCCAGTGCGGAATAATTTATTGGCTATTTGGTGGTGCTATCAGGAATCTCGGAAGCCCTGAACATGTTACTAAGTGGTTTCAGCCACTCCAGGTATGGTATTTTCCTCAACATTGGTCTTCTATGGAGAGCCTTAAAAATCTGTAGTAGATAGATATGCATGTGTGTATGTGTTTGAAGAAAAATAAAATAAAACAGAATTTGTATCAGCAAAAATCTTGTTGAAAATGAGAATTCCAAGACTATCTTTTTTATGTTGCATTGGGCCTGTCATGTTGTTAAGCTCACATTCGCTGTCATCAGACTGCATTTTTATAATTTTCTCCAACCCACCTGTCCCTCTCTCACCACCATTCTTAATGGTCCGAGGGGTCTGCATTTGGAGCAACTGCCTGACCAGCTAATTCCCTTCTAACATCTGGTAAACTCCAGGAGCAGAAATACACTGGGATGTTTGCAATGACCGAGAGGGGCCATGGGAGCAACGCGAGAGGGATCCAGACCGAAGCCACCTTTGACCTCTCTGCCCAGGTGAGGAATCCATCCTTCTCCTGCCGTGCAGGGGAGCTGGAAACCTGGACAGAAACAGATCTCCTTCTTTCTGTGTCCAGCTTCACACCCTCTGTGTGTGCTCTCTGGCCCAGGGAGCTGAGATTCAGATCAAATGCCTAAGTGTTTTAATAGAGGTGGATATGTGCTCAGCCTTCGTGTACCCAACATCAGCCAGCATGTTGCCTTTGAGGCAATATGGTGCCTTTGAGGCACTGAACACTGCTTCAAGCACTTTGTGTGCACTTGTGAATTTAATCCCTTGTCATAACTCCAAGAGAACAACACTAAAACCATTTTGTAGTCGTCCCTAGCAGTAGCAGGAACAGACTGGAGGAGACGCCTTTGTTGGTCCTCTCCACTGTGCCCTGTGTCAGGAGGGCACTATGCTGGGGCCACCTTATCAGGAGCTGAGTCTTCTGTACTGGGATCATGTGCTGTCCCTTACCGTGACCTGCACTGACATTTTACATGACAACAGAAACAAGAGTGTCACCAAACGGTCTGACTCTTCTACCTTTACTCTATATGGTCAATGCTGAGGTTTTTCCTTTTCATTCTTTTCTTTGTCTTCCTTTTCCTTTCTTTTCCTTCTCTGTTTTTCTTCCTTTCCATTCCCTTCTTGCTAACTAAAAAGATGTTGGCTAAGTCTCTCTACATTGCTATCTCTGTCCATAGTGGGTCATAACATACCCTCGGGACGCTGCTTTGTAACCCTCATGCCCATCTCTTTAACTCCTACACGCACCCCGCCCCCGCCCCTCACCAAAAAAGAAAGCAACTGTGTACTTATCTCACTCTCCTTTATAGTTGCTTGCTTGATATTGGGTGTTCCTAAGAACTACAAAGGGATAAACAAATGTTGAGGTACTTTCTAGAAATGAAGCTATGTCAGTCAGTGTGTGCAAGCACGTGCCCGAGCGTGGCTGCGGGTGCTGCCTGGCCGTGTGGCTGCTCTGCTTCGTCTATTCTTTATTTTTGCAGTTTGTCCTTGAGCAGGTGGATTTTTGTTAGCGGGGTTTCCTGACCCAGGGTTGCTGGTTGGAGGTGGCCAATGTCTGGAATGACAGATGCAGGGGCGGGGTGTATTGGAGGATGCCCTGCTTTTCCTTCTGCCCTGATGTTAGTTCTCTCCAGCAGCAAATGATGTCCAAGATCATAGTAAGAACAAGTACTACCCTATACTGACCACTCGTAAAGTGCCATGCTGTGTATCAAACTCCCTCTGTGTAGTATTCTATGTTTCCCCCCAGCAACAGTCCCAGGAACGCAACATTAAACTGGTCCTTTTAACTAAGCATGGCTGTGCCATGTACCAGGCTAAGCAGTCTACTTGTAACATCATTTCATTTCAAATGTTCTGTAACCTTACGAAAATGTATTATTGTCCCTACTTTACAGATGGGGAAACAGAGGCTCACGGAGGTTAAGCAGCTGACTCTGGCTATGCAGTTAATGAGTGAGTTAGGTTCGGGTGAGACTGCCCTCAGCAGCTTGGCTTTTCTGCCAGTGGTGGCATGCTGACCTAACATCCTTTGGCTTTTGGCTGGCCGATTTTTTTCCTCTCCCGAAGCCATCGTATTAAGGTCACCTTGCTGTCGTTGATGGGGGGAAAACACCCACAGCTCTTATTTATTTGTTTCTTCTTACAATTATTACTTTTTTACAAAAATAATTTCCTGTGTTGGTCCCATTTTCCCCAAACAGCATAAATGACTTAGCTACCTGGCGTGCCTCGGCAGCTACCACTGTCTGATAGGGGACCTGCAAAGTTGCAATCATAATGACGAGGGGCCTCTGGTGAACACTGTCTCCCGTGGGGCTGGGAGAGAGAACAATCCCATCATAAACTCATACCACCGAGAACTGACATAGCAGGAATGTATTTCTCCCTTCACTGGGTTCTGTGTTTTCCCCTTCATTTCCCTTTCAAAATGCTAGAGCTTATTAAATAAGTGTTCTCTCCCCAAGGACCATTTAAATCTCTTACATGTTTTGGTTATTCATTCCTGTGGGTTGGTTGTTTTACATTTATTTTTGGGAGGTGGATTGGGTAGTGGTATGGATAGTTAAGAGATAAGAGAGAGTTTTATTTTTATACTTTATTCTAAATAGCAAAAATAAATGAGGTTATGAAGTCTCTGGCCAAAGGCATCATTTTTAGTTCCTACAACACTGACCATTTTGCTGGCCTTCAAACAAATAATGATTACAGAAACTGACACAATGGTGTGTGTTATTTAGATGCAGCTTTAATGCCCGAGTTTGGGCTGATGCAAACTTTCCAAATCAAGCATTTTGCCAGAAGTGACAAACCTCCTTTCCCAGAGTGTAGCAAATGTTTATGGGGACGGGTGGCCTTCTGCTCCCTTCCCCACCCCACCAGATCGTTTCTGCCAGGCCAATGTTTCCTCTGCCACTTCACTTTCTTACCCTGAGTGTAAGCATGCGCCCACCCACATGGGTTGTATTTTTGTTGCTGTTATTTTTCTCTGCACTCAGCCTCAAGCAATGCCTCTCCTTGAGAAGCCCTGGCTACCCTGATAAGACAAGGGTGGCCTCCAGAGACATCTCTTAAAAAGATCCAGCATGTCCGTTTATGTTTCTGAAAAGCTCTTGCACAAGTTAAAAGTTTCCCTGTGCAAACATATGTCAGAGAATGTTTTCTTAGGCTTCAAGACTGTATTTCTTGGCCAGCGGGAAAGTGTTGTCTATATACTTTATAGTCTGAAATCTGAGATAATCTTTGCACGATCAATAGCTTGTTGGTTTAGTTCAGTCACATCTTCAATACTGTCAACTCCAATTAAATGTGCAGTTCCACTCTCTGCCATTTCTCCTGGGCTCCCAACTTGCCCCAGGTGCCCTGTATTCAGAGCTGGCACCAGGGCCAGTTCCTTTTTGGCAAGAGGCTTAAAGGTAACCCAGGTGGCAGTGGAGACTGGGGAGAGCCAAGAAGTGAGGGGAGCATTTCCACTATCGGCTTCCAGAGAGTAGGACAGAGAAGACGGAGTTTTGAGCCGAGCCTGAGAACAAAACCCCTGCGTTTTCTTCCTGCTTCTTCATGACCAGTGTTAGTTTCAGACTGTTTTGAGCTGAAATCCTTGGACATATTCAGAGACAAACTGCATGGTACATTCTAAGATTTTTCCCTCCTAAGAAAGAGACTCATTTACAAGTTCTTCCATTTTAGGAGCTTGAACATATGAACCTCTTTTGGGAAACTTTATTATATGCATTGATCAGGGAAATAGAGAGACATTTTCAAAGGTTGAAATGAGGGATTTCTTTTTATAAAAATAAAAATTGGGCTGCTACTCTAAGCAGTGGTGGGAATAGGTCATGGCTGTCTATCAGTCTTGCTTTATCCAAGCGTACGGTTTTGGCCTTCAGTTCCCTGGCTTTCATTTAAACCAAGATCCATGTCATGGAGGCAGGAAGGTTCAGGGCCTGGGAAACAGCGAGGAACCAAGTGATTTGCCCAGAAGGAGTGAACACCAGCAGACAAAGTGCGACTCACAGATGCGGACCCTGGGACAAGCCATCTAAGGGCCCAGATCGTTGGATATTCCATCCTTTCTTAGAAATCTTGCAGGTGGGATATTTGGAGATGAGGGGCATGGAGAGCTGAGCATATACCACCAGGGCTTTTAGAGGTTTTGGTGTTGGATGAGTTAAAGGTCAAAACTTTGCTATGAAGTAGTCTAGCGAGATAATTGAAGAAAGCCTTTATACATTAAAGCCAGGCAGGCTCAGCCAAACAGCACACATGTCAGCCTGGCATTATAAAGAGGAGAGACTGGGAGGGAGAGAACAAACACCTTTTAAAGATTGAAAACTGGCAACTTATTTTCTGGATCAGATTATTCCTTGAAAAATCACTTTAATCTCAGCCATTTTCAAAGCTGAGGTGGAGGTGAAATAAATGAATTGAGGTGATAGCACAGCCATGTTGGTTTCAAGACGTGGAGCCAGGTGACCTTCCCATTGTCTTCTCTTCTGCTGTGAAATCCCCTGGAAACGGAACCCTGCACTGTGTGGTTCTGTTTTTCACAGTATTCATTGCTTTTTTTTTTTTTTTTGAGATGGAGTCTCGCTCTGTCGCCCAGGCTGGAGTGCAGTGGCGCAATCACGGCTCACTGCAAGCTCTGCCTCCCAGGTTCACGCCATTCTCCTGCCTCAGCCTCCCGAGTAGCTGGGACTACAGGCACCCGCCACCATGCCTGGCTAATTTTTTGTATTTTTAGTAGAGACGGGGTTTCACCATGTTAGCCAGGATGGTCTCGATCTCCTGACCTCGTGATCCACCCACCTCGGCCCCCCAAAGTGCTGGGATTACAGTATTCATTGCTTTGAGCCAGGGAGTTGAAATGAGCCATGGGAAGGGAAACACTGTTGCTCTGCTTTTTCTGTGTAGGAGTTTGTAATTGACACGCCGTGTGAAAATGCGGAGAAGATGTATATTGGAAATGCCATGTACGGGAATTATGCAGCTGTCTTTGCCCAGCTCATCATAGATGGAAGATCTCAAGGTTTGTTACCAATACAGACAACTAGAATAATTCTCTTCATTAGTACTATTTACCAGTGAAAAACCATTTCACAGAGCTGCTTTTATCTTGTAAATAATTCAGTACTAACTTTATCTCCTAATATGCATGAAGAAATTTATCATTACATTTTGACATTATATGCTCTCATGCTTGGTGCACAGTTGTAGAACTGAATGAGTTTGAGGATCACAGAAATGTTATACTATTCCAGGACATGAGTAAAGCTATAGGAAGGAGAGCTTAATAATGATCTCGATGCCTTCCTTAGGGCCCCACTGTTTCATCGTTCCTGTCCGGGATGAAAACGGAAGCTTGTACCCAGGAGTCACAGCTATTGATATGATGTACAAGGAGGGTGAGTCCCCAGGTGCCCTTTTCCTGTGCTCACTCTTCCTACCTGCTCCCCACCTGACTCAAGGAGAATCTAACCTACGTTATATTACCGAAGCACTGAGGGTGGAGAAAACTTCCCCAGAGAAGATGTCCAGATTTTGAAGCCTCATGAAGTCTTTTATGTAGAACTGTTCAGGAATGTCGTAGATTGCCTTTTATGAATGTGCATTGGTCTCAGTTTCTTCCAGCTTCTCAAATTTTCCAGTAATGAGGTAGTTTTGCCCACAATCCTGTTTTGTCTTCTCTCATCTGAGACTTGGGGGCTCTCAGGGGGCAGGCTGTAGCTCTCTTCTTTGTACCCCTGGCCACCTGTCTGCTCTCTGTGCTCTTGAGGCCCTTAATGAGTCCTGAGGACTGACTCAGTGCCCTAGTTTGCTAGGGCTGCCATACCGCTAACTGTGGGGCTTAAACAACAGAAGTGTATTGTCTCACAGTTCTGGAGGCTGGAAGTCCAAGATGACGGTATCAGCAGTGTTGGCTCCTTCTAAGAGTGGTGATGAGAGGTGAAGCCAGCTGAACTTCCTGGTTCCAGAGGGGACTTGGAGAACTTTTCTGTCTTACAAGAGGATTGTAAAATGCACCAATCAGCACTCTGTAGCTAGGATTGTGAAACGCACCAGTCAGTGCTCTGTAGCTAGCAAGGGGATTGTAAAATGCACCAATCAGTGCTCTGTAAAAATGCACCAATCAGTGCTGTGTAACTAGCAAGAAGATTGTGAAATGCACCAATCAGTGCTCTGTAAAACTCACCAATCAGCGCTCTGTAAAATGCACCAATCAGCGCCCTCTAAAATGCACTAACCAGCGCCCTCTAAAATGCACCAATCAGCAGGAGTCTAAAAGTAGCCAATCGCGGGGAGGATTGTAAAAAGGGCACTCTGATAGGACAGAAACGGAACATGGGAGGGGACAAATAAGCAAAGAAAAGCTGGCCACCCCAGCCAGCAGTGGCAACCCGCGCTACTTGCTGTGGAAGCTTTGTTCTTTCACTCTTCACAATAAATCTGGATGCTGCTCACTCTTTCGGTCTGTGCCACCTTTAAGAGCTGTAACACTCACCATGAAGGTCTGTGGCTTCATTCTTGAAGTCAGCAAGACCACGAATCCACCAGCAGGAACCAACTCCAGACACAGTGAGGGAAGGATTTGTTCTAGGACTGTGTCTTTGGCCTGTAAATGGTTGTGTTCATGTTAACCTGGTGTTCTCCCTGTGTTCATGCCTGTCTCCAAATTGCCCCATCTTACAGAGAACAGAAGCCATTTAGATTAGAGCCTACCCCAATGACCTCATTTTAATTTGATCACATCTGTAAAGACTATCTTCAAATAAGGTCACATACACAGGTATAAGGATTAGGGCTTTGATACATGAATTTTTTTTTTTTTTGTGGGGAGGACACAATTTAACCCATAAGATTTGGTGAGATCAGGACATGCCTGTATGCTCCAGTGACCACTCAGGGCCAAGATCATGCCAAGCCAAGGAAGGGAGACTGGGAGAGAAGAAAAAAAAGAAGGAAGAGAAGAGGGAAGAAGTGGCCCATCCTTTAGTGGAGGGGACAGTCCATCCTGGCCCCTTAGTGTTTACTGTGCACTGCCATGGCTGCAGGCATGGCCGCAGGTGGGTTTGTGAGGGTTTTAGATGTATCTCCCGGGGGTGACCGAGGCCCTGGCTGGGCTGGGCTCCTTGAAAGTTCCTTGCATGTCAGATGTTGCTGAGAGCAGAGGGGTAGACTGAGCTCTGTGAAGTCGTGCCAGGCATTGAAAACACTGGCAATGGCAGAAAGTCTGCTCTGGTGCCCTTGTAAGCTGCTACATGCAAGTGTGTCCTTGTCAAGGGGTGAAGTTCTAAATAAAGACATTTACTAAAGACAGATTGTTTTCCCCTAGGTTAAATCTCTCTAAGTTTTCACAAAGAGAAGACCCCAGACTCTGGCAGGTGTCTTTAGGAAATGTGTCTGCCAGATTTCAGGACCACCCCTCCCCACTCCGCACTGCTTCCCCCACTTCCTGCTGTCCTTGTGGCTATTTTCCCTTGTCTTGTAGGCATTTGCTGTCAACAGTTTGCCCTGTGTGCAGACGAGAGAGCACTGGGAAGGAGGAGGGATTTGAGCACTGCATTCCTGGGGAGAGCAATCCTGCTACCCTGCCTCTGTGTTCAGCTTCCCATTCTTGCAGTTGCTTAGAACTCTCCCTTTCTTAATCACAGTCACTGCTCGGGAGGTAGGTGTGCATCCACTACATGCCCAAAGCATGCACATGCAGGCTGCACAGAAGGAGAGTCCATTCTCCTCCACTCTCGCTAAGGAGGAAGGGGCCAGGCTGGTGGAAGAAACAGGCACAGCTCATCAAGGAAACAACAGACAACATCCCCATGTCCACCCCCAAGGAAAAAGCACCAACAATTCTGGAAGTAAAATAAGGGGCTTTGTATTTTAGTGGCGACAGGCCTGGGAAGTAGCAGGGAAAATACTTCTGATGCTGCATCCATTTCCCCTTTCTATTCTTGCCAGGTCTGCATGGTGTGGACAATGGGATATTAATATTTGACAAGGTTCGGATACCCAGGGAGAACCTGCTGGATAAGTGAGTAGTTTCTCCTTAACTCAGGTCAATGGTGCAGATGATCTCACTGCTCTCCAAAGTTGGCTTGGGTCTTGGGTCTCATGGGCTGCATGTCTGGGCATTCTTCCCCTAACCACCCGTACAGGTTTGTTGACAACTAATTGGAAAAGATACGTCTGCAGATAGAAAAAAGAAAGTAAAATTATTCAGCATGCTGTTGTCCAGGCATAATGACTGTTACACTTCAATATACATCTTTCCAGACTTTTCTCTATGCCCATATGTCTAAAGAGAGAGAGGTGTCAGATTTTTACTAAGCGAGATCCACTTCTAGATTCTATGTTCAAAATAACCTGTAATTCCCATTTATCATTATATAGCAAATGTTTTTATGTAATGCTAAGCACACACATGCATTATCATCTTTAATATCACTATAATGGACTGTTAAATAAATGGTTTATAAGTTATGTAATCAATTTCTTATTGTTGGGCATTTAGTTTTTTTTCCTTCCCCCCCCTGCCATTACAAACAGATGGGTGCTATTGCTTCCTTTGTGAGTGGCAGAGGATAAGGCACCATCTTTCAGCTTCCAGGTGTGTTCTGGGGGTGGAGCTCTAGGGGTTAATGATGCTTTTCACAGAAGCTGAGAAACACCAATTACTTTTAATTTTCTCAGCAGCGTTTCACGCATCCAGTAAAGATCCTGAGCCATAGTCATGTTAAATCTGTGACAAAGCCAGCAATCAGGGTACACACAACCAGCTGTTTTCCCACCTCCCCATGGGTTTCCCTTGAATGCTTTACTCCTTTTTGTTGCCAGCAGATAAATGTAGTGGATGCCAAAAGCTTAAGAAAATTATATGGGAAAAAACCTTAAAAATGATTGGTATGACAAACCCCCATGACACAAGTTTACCTATGTAACAAACTTGTACTTGTACCCCTGAACTTAAAATAAAAGTTAAAAAAAAATGGAGGGATAAGGAAGTAGAGGATAGAATAGTGGTTACCAGGGGCTGGGAAAGGTAGGGAGGAGGAGGGGATGGGGAGAGGTTGGTCAATGGATACTGTTACAGTTGTATGGAAGAAATAAGTTCTGGTGTGATATTGTACAGCGTGATAATAGTTAACAATAATGTGTTGTATATTTCAAAATAGTTACAAGTTTTGAATGTCCTCATTCCAAAAAATTGATAAATGCTTCAGATGATGAATATGCCAATTACCCTGATTTTATTATTATACAATATATAATGTATCAAAACATCACACTGTATTCCATCAATATGTACAATTATTATATGTCAATTAACAAAATAAAGCAAAAAGAAAAAGAAAAAAACTTAAAATGGACCAAATTCTGCTTAACATTTTCCTCCTGTGAATTGATAGGAAATAAAATGGAAACAATAAAAGCATCTTCACAGTTATCCTGGTGGGTGCTAAAGTCCCCCAGGCCCCCTCAGGACCACCAGCATTCATATGGAAATGCAGGAAACTTAGAATAGCCAAAACAATCTTGATAAAGAAGAACAAAGTAGGAGGACTCATACCTGTGATTTGAAAACTTACTACAAAGTAATCAAGACAGTGTGGTATTTGAATAAGGATAGATATATGTACAATGGAATAGAATGAAGAATCTAGAAATAAATCCTTACAGTTACAATCAATTAATATTCCACTGCAGAGCCAAGACAATTCAATGGGGAAAGAATAGTCTTTTTGACAAATGGTGCTGGGACAAACTAGATAGCCACATGCAAAAGCATGAAGTTGGACCTTTACTGCCTACCATATACAAAAATCAACTCAAAATGGATCACAGACCTAAATGTAAGAGCTAAAACTACACAAATCTTAGAAGAAAACACAGGTGTGAATTTTTGTGACCTGGGTTTAAGCAGTCTATTAGACGTGGCACCAAAAGCACAACTAACCAAAGAAAAAATAGATAAATTGGACTTCATCGAAGTTATAAAAAACTTTTTGCATCAAAGAACACTATGAATAAAGTGAAAACCTACAGAGTGGGAGAAAATATTTGTAAGTCATATATATTAATATAAGGGTATAGTATCCACAATATAGAAATAACTATTACAGCTCAAGAATAAAAAGACAACCCAATTTTAAAATGAGCAAAAATCTGAATAGACATTTCACTAAAGATTTACAAATGACTGCTAAGCATATGAAAAGATGCTCAATGTCGTTGCCATTAGGAAGATACGAATCAAAACCACTGTGAATACCACTCTGCACCTACTAGGATGTCTTTTTTTTTTTTTTTTTTTGAGATGGAGTCTTGCTGTGTCGCCCAGGCTGAAGTGCAGTGGTGTAATCTTGGCTCTCTGCAACCTCTGCCTCCTGGGTTCAAGTGATTCTTTTGCCTCAACCTCCTGAGTACCTGGGATTACAGGCATGCGCCACCATGCCTGGCTCATTTTTGTGTTTTTAGTAGAGATGGGGTTTTGCCATGTTGACCAGGCTGGTCTTGAAATCCTGACTTCGGATGATCCTCCCACCTCAGCCTCCCGAAGTGCTAGGATTACAGGCATAAGTCACCATGCCCAACTGATGTCCCTTATTAAAGGGGCAGACGATAACAAGTGTTGGGGAGGATGTAGAGAAATTAGGACTGTTTGTTATACATTGCTGGTGGGGCTGCAAAATGGTGGCACCAACTAGGAAATCAGTTTGGCCGTTCCTCAAAAGTGTAAAGTTATCATCTTATGACCCAGCAATTCTACTCCTAGGTATGTGTGAAAACGTTGTCTACAAGAGAAATGCAAACCTATATCCACACAATAAATTATACACAAATGTCCATAGCATAATTATTCACAATAGCAAAAAGGGGAAGATAATCCAAATATCCATCGACTGAGGAAACAGGAAATAAAATGTGGTATATCCATACAATGGAATACTATTCAACCATGAAAAGAAATGGAGTACTAACACGTGCTACAACACAGGTGAACCCTGAAAACATTATGCAAGTGAAAGAAGCCAGACATAAAGACCAAATGTGATATGATTCCATCTATGTGAATTTTTTCCCAGAACAGGCACCATAGAGAGAGAAAGTAGGTGAATGGTTGCCAGGGACTGGAGGGAGGGGAGTATGGGGAGGGACTGCTAGTGGGGTGGGGTTTCTTTTTGGGGTGGTGAAATGATTTGGAATAGGATCATGGTGATGGTTGTACAATTTCGTGACTATACTCAAATCCATCAAATTGTACATGAATTTTATGGCATGTGAATTACATCTCAGTTTTTAAAAAGTGGGTCAGTGTGCGGTCTGCACAGTCAGGCTCCGGTGCTGGTTTAATGTCTCAGGAAACCACTACCTCCCATGAGTCAAGCCTTTCTCAGCATCTCTTGGAGAGGGACTCCCCCTGCCCTTATCGGCGCTCTGTCTCAAGGGGGAAGTTCCACGATGGGGAAATCCGAGTGCTTCCCTGTGTATGCACATGGGAGCCACCTGACTTCGTTTCTGGTGGTGCTATGTCCTGCTTTTTTGTGAAACCCCACCTCTCTTTTCCACAGGTTTGGTTCCGTGGCTCCAGATGGACAGTACCATTCGCCTATTAGGAACAAGAGTGCAAGATTCAATGCCATGCTGGCAGCACTGACCCCTTCGAGATTAGCTGTGGCTTTCCAAGCTATGGGTGCCATGAAGGTAATTGACTCTGATTTTAACTTAATTATCTACTGTGAATTCTCTCACGACTCAGGGATGAGTAACAATTCCAGGAGCTGAGCTTCTGGAGCCACAGTTGGTATAATATGGCCAGGGTTCCCGGTTAGATGCTGGGGAGTGCCAGGTGGCCATCCACAGGGAACTTTTCTCCACCCTTCTTAAGAGGGGCTCCCACCCATCTACATCCCAGATGTGTGCTGCTAATCGTGGGGGTGGAGCACAGGCATTGTGGTAAGAGAGCCAGGAGAGATGACCAGGGAGAACGGGATGTTCAGAGCAAACACATCTGCTGGAGAAGCAGCTAAGGGTTGGCCCATGTGGGCAAAGGTCGGCATGTCTTGGCTGAATTCACCTGGGAGTGTTGATCCTCATGTGTCTGTATAGGGTGTAACGTTCTCCATCACAGTCTGGAGGCCATGAGACCAGACCTCCAGGAGCCATCTCTGCCTCCCTGCCCTGCCTCTCCCGTGTATTGGTTGGACAGAGGAGCCTGGAGAGCAAAGCTCTGGAAGGGCCTCCTTCTCCCCAGGGCCCCAGTCTACTTTGTTCTCTGGGCCTTCTCTGTCTCTTTGCCTGAAGGAAAAGCCTGCTTTAAACTCCACTGAGCTTGGTGAAGCTAGAAGAAAAATTAAGTCTCCCCAGGAATATACATCTGGGGCTTGAGTCCAGCTTTTCCATGAAGAAGGAATAAATTTCATTCCCTTGACTCCAGGCCTGACATCAGTCCGGAGTCGTCTGAATAGCAGGAAAGCCCTGCTTTACTTGCTTCGGGGTCGGCCACGCTTCACAGATGGCCTGTCCTGACCCGGGCTTCCCCTTATGATGCTTCCTGTGAGGGGGCACAGCTGTGGCCATCAACACGCGTACGCGGCCTGGCCTCGTGCCCGCCCGTGCACCCCAGTTCCTGTGCTTGTTTTGTGGTGGTTCTTTCAGTGGGGCCGGGTGGGTGTTCAGGTCTGAAGTCCCAGGTCAGGAGGGGCTCAGGTCCCTTGGCTGAACTGTCTGATATTGAATGAGGCCCCAGAAAGCCTTGTGGTGAAGGCACCAGCACAGACAGCATCAGAGTGCCGAGGAAAACTGGTTCCTCAGGTCTGCAACAGAAGCCATTTCAGCCATCCTCAGGACTCCAGAGAGAGGCAAAAATAGAAAAGCCAGACGAGCCTAGGATTGCATGAAAGGGAAGATTGGTTAAACATCGGATGCAGGGTTAGCTGAAGCTGTGATAGCAGTCTCTGCACAATATCCCCTCTAATTGCAGTAGCCTGCAGACCATCCTGACTCAGGGGCCCTCTGAGGAGAGTGCTGGGCGCATATAAAAAACGCAAGGTGGTCAGCGGCCAGGCAGGCTCCTGGGAAACCTTGCACTCTTGCTGGTTTTGATGGGGTGATGATGTGTGAAGGACGTCCATGCCGCCAGCAGCCCTGCAGGCTCATTGGGGTCCACAGTGGGGTTGTGTGGGGCAAGGTGTGGGGTGGTGCAGACCAGACCAGGCAGAGGTGGGAGCCTTCCAGGAGGGCCTTGGTTTTAAATATCACCAGATCTGGAGCGGGGTGGGGGTGGTGTCCCAGGGAGAGGAGCCACAGTGGGTGATTCCTAAAAGGTTCCTGTTCTCCGTTCTACTGGATGTTATCATGGACCAGCCCCTGCCAGGCCCAGGAGGGTCTTGGGGGCCACATTCGCATCAGTTCCTTTATTGGTTGTCTCATGTGCAGACTTCATTCCCGGCAACACGGAGACGTGATCATGATCGTGGGCAGGAAAGCCCTGGGCTCAGCCCTCATCCTGCCCATGACCAGCACTGGGGCCGTGAACAGGCCATAGCGCTCTCTAGGGCTCAGTTTCTTCATGTGTGAAATGGGTCTTAGGATGGTGGTGAGCCATGAGTGAAGGGTGTGTGTGCAGCGCTGGCCCAGAGCGATGCTCCATAGCTGACAGCTGTTATTTGTGTGATGGTTGTTGTTGTTGTTTTTGTTGCTGCTGCTGCCGTTACTGGGAAGACAGGAGTTGGCTAAAGGAAAGGAAGACATGGGCATTCCCATGAAACAAATGCTGGGTACCCTCGCCTCCAAGTAACAAGGCAATGTGCAATGTTTTGCAGAGATGCATAGTGTCCTTTGAATTCCCAGGTGTCTGAAGCAAACCACAGTAACCCGGAGTTAGCACCTGCCCTGCCTATCCAGACCTTGCCAGGCAATGGGATTGTCAGGCAGTGGGAAGACCCCGCACAGAGCCAGCAGGGTCCAGGCACCCTGCCGGACAGTGACCCGGGCCGCTGTGATCTCATCTCCAGCGTCTCTGGTGAGGATGATCTCACCGGCCCTCTTGGCAGCTCTTCCTCTCCTATGGCTCAAACACATGACATATGTTTTCCCGGCTGAAACCTAAGATGGTCCTTCTCCTTCTGCTCTTGCTGATGAGTGGAAAAATGGATCCGTTTCTCCTACGTGCGTTCCTTGTGTATTAAAAAACTGTCACCGCAGCTCCCCACAGTGACATTCACTCAAGGCTGAGCGTGCCCGGTCATTTTAAACTTTGCCCAAATGTCATATTTTTCATGGTTCTCTTTCATTTCCATGGCATTCCTTGGAACTTTCAGGTTTTCTCTTAAAGCCTTGCCATATTGACCATCATCTAATTTGTGTCAGAAATGCCACACCAAATTAAGTGATTACCAAGAACACGAGGAGAAGGAAGCAAATGTGTTTGGGAGGGGAGGGAGTGGGGGCTTGGGAGACCTCTGCAGCCTGTGCTGGGAGGCTGGGAAACCTTTTCAGAAGGAGGAAGCTGGGCACCTGAAAGAGTGAGAAGTGTAAATGAGGTCTGGCCCATTCTCTTGGGTTGATTTTGCGCAGAGGTAAATATTTTAGCTAAGACAAGCTCATCTTGTAAATTAGGTGCTGCACAGTAGCTAGGTCCTACCCCCAGGATGTGTGATTCTGCAGCTCTGGGGTGGGGTGGAGAGTCTGCATTTCTGGGTTCCCGGGTGACACTGCTGCCATGGGCTCTGCTCCTTGAGACCCCTGCACAGAACACATGGATGTGGTTGTGAAATATCAGCACTGTCTCAGCCCCCTTGTCACTCCCTGGGTCCCCAGGATCAAGGCCCAAGTTCTGTTTCTGTATCCAGGATCCTTCATGACTCCTCACTGTACCCCCTCTCTCCACTGGGCCTCTGTCCCTCTGGCCTCATTTCTGTCTCTCCCCTGTGCCACTGTGGGAGGGGGCTTACATGTGCTACCATCCAGCTGGGGATGCCCCCCTTTTGCATGGGTTGTTTTCATGTACATTTCAGAGCTTGTATGACTGTCCCTTCTTCAGAAAGGCCTCAGCCTGCATGTGGTTCCTCTGACACCTGTTCCCAAGGCACTGGACTCCCCACTTGCAGCATGTATTACAACTCATGAGTGTAGCAACTCATGTGCAATAGGTGGGTTCTGTCTCCTTCACTAGCCTAAAAGCTCCACGCAGCTGGGGCCCTGCCAGCCTCATCCACTGCTGTGTGTTCAGCTTCACACACAGGGCTGGGCACATAGCAGACAAACAGCAAATAGGAGTGGAAAGAGTGAATGAGGTCTGAATCAGGATTCACATCCAAAGCCCCTGGCTTATCTCTTAGCAGAGGGAAGCCCTCAGTGCATGTTGGTTCTTGTGCTCCCACATACCAGCCCCCACTGCCGGGTCCATGTTGAGTGGGAAGGAGGATGTTGCTGCCTCTTTGATCTAACTCCACGTGGCCCTTCTGTCCAGAACCAGGAGTCTTCTTTCTTTCTTCCTCTCTGTCGCAGACACTGCTCCCCATAGTATGTGCTTCATGTGTACACACTCGTGCATTGTGCTGTAAGCAGGCACTGGGGTCGTGCTCACCTACACTTGGCAGTGTGGCCCTGGTGGTCTGGGAGTGTGCCCAGGGCTGGGGCTGCAGAGTCACATGCAGCAGCTGAGCTGCGGGGCTGCATGCTGAGTGCAACCAGCATTCTGGGCTGTTTTTTCAGGCACGTGGGTGCTGGGCGGCAGACAACTCAGCCAGTCCTGAGAGCCTGAACGATGATCTCCAAGTTGTACAGCGTGCCACATATGAGATGGGGGTAGCTTTTCCCAGCACCAGGAGCTTCAGGGAGAGCAAAGGGAAGAAACTGGCTTCAGGGGATTCTCAGAACCGGCGATAGACACACAATCTTTTCCTACGGTGTGCATTGTTGGGTATGAGTGAAGGGTCTCAGCAAGGCATGGGAGAGTCTCTCCCTGCTGTTGATGGGGGTTTGAAATGGGTTATTGCATCCTTGAGTAACCCTTTTGTGACCTTCTGACTGCAAGGGTTCATGGAAGACTTGAGCAATGAAGAGGAGGTTGAGGGCATCTGAGTCCCCTTGAGAGCCAGCCAGGGTTGGTCAGTGGCCAGTGTGGGCCCTTCTCACCGCACATGGAGTGGTGGTGTGGCTCTGTGGGCCTGTGCTGTGTTAGGTGAGCACAGCAGGCTGCATGCTGCCACTGCTGTGAGGTCTTGCTTGGGATTGCCCCTTCACCCAAGCTCTTCCACAGCTCCAGAGAGGTCCTGATGTCGATGTCCTCACCAGGGTGTCTGGCTCCTGGTCATCCGGCTCTCCACCACTCAGCCTGTCTGGTTCAGCTACTGGCTGGGGCTGGGGCAGATCAGCAGGTGTCAGAGTGTCACATTCTATCTGTCCTAATGGCCACAAACCAGGTGCCATGACACTTCCTCCTGAGCAGAAGGTTACTCAGCCTCCTCACATTAATAATCTCAATGTTTGTGGCTATTGCTGTAACACGATCAGGCCTTTGTCTGTTTTCTTTTTGCTTGGAGGTCATCTGCTTTTATTGTCTTCTGGAATCACTTTGTGTTCATCTATTCTTGTCACAGATTGATCTCATTTTGTATCATTACTAACACAATCTTTAATGGGCAGGGATTGTGTTTTTTTATTTAGTCCCTGCAAGGCCTAGTAGAGCCCTACATGTCATGGAAATCGTTTTACTCTTCTAACCTTCCTTCCATGTATTGCCTATTCATCCACCCACCTGTTCAACCACCTGTCCGTCTGTGTCCATCCACCTATCCACCCACTCACCCATTCACCCACCACCCATCCATCCACCCATCCATCATCCATTCATCATTCATCCATCATCTGTTCATCCATCCATCATTCATCATCCATGCATCATTCATCATCTGTTCATCCATCCATCATCCACCCATCCATCATCCATCCATCCATCCATCATCATTTATCCATCCAATAATCCATTCATCCCACCCATCCCACTACAAAGACTCTGAACACAAGAGTAATCAGCTCATGTATAATTTAGTAGTTAATGGGGAGTGTATTAGTCCATTCTCACACTGCTAATAAAGACATACCTGACACTGGTTAATTTATAAAGAAAAGATGTTTAATTGACTCAAACTTCAGCATGGCTGGGGAGGCCTTAGGAAACTTACAGTCATGGCAGAAGGGAAGCAAACACGTCCTTCTCCACATGGCAGCAGCAAGGAGAAGTGCTCAGCAAAAGGGGGAAAAGCCCCCTTATAAAACCATCAGATTTCATGAGACTCACCCACTATCACAAGAACAAGATGGGGGAAACTGCTCCAGTGATTTAATTATCTTCACCGGGTCCCTTCCATGACATGTGGAGATTATGGGAACTATGATTCAAGATGAGATTTGGGGGGAACACAGCCAAAGCGTATCAGGGAGTTATGGAATGTCCTAGAGAAAACCATTCGACTACCTGATGGACACCACACTTCACAGAAACTCCTCAGGCAGGAGTGTTCAAGGAAAGGACAGAGGCATTCACCATTCTCAGAGCCTGTCCTTCCTTCAGCAGCAAAGGGCAGAGTAAGGAGTGTCTCTGTAGGTCTTGCACGGTGGGGGGTCAGTGTGGGGACTGAGTTGAATGGGGTTGGTGGGAACGGAAACCCTCTGATGTTGAGCACAGTGGGACCTCTGCCTCCGCAGACAGTGTGGCATAACAGAGGGTGATGGAAGGGGAGGCTATGGGCTCTTTAAAGTAATGTCCTGAAAATGTGTGGTGCTCACAGGAGTGTGTTTCCCTGATATTAATAAGGCAAAGCTGACCGATGCTCATTCTGTTGACACTTTTGTGATGTGGTGGCCTTACTCATCTGCTCAGATGGAACATGGTGTTGGGGAGTTGAAAGCACAGCTCATCTGCTGCAGTTTTATGCCTTTTCAGGCACGTTGTATGTGCTTGGAGGAGGTGGGGTCACATTGCTCATCCTGTTCTGCTCAGACTGACGTTATCCTTTTTGTTTTTTTTGCATACACACACACACACACACACACACACACACACACACACACACACACACACACACACGCGGGGAGGAGAGAAGCAGGACCTACTTGGTTGCTGGGGAAGTCCAGTGGGATGAAGGCTTTAGCCTGAGTGATCCTCAGAGAGGCCATCTGTGAAATACACAGATTGTTTCCTGGTGTGGAGACTTCTTGGACTTGACCACCAGAGGGCAGAAAATACCAATAATGACTTGCAGGTTCTGTTTTCTTTGCGTTTATTTACTTTCGTATGTAAGAAGTGGGGAGGTTTTTGCTCTTGTCATCAGTTTATTTAGCTTCTCATCAGGCATCAGTGTTGATTTTTAAAAAGTGTCAACATAAGAAGAAGGATACATGAGCTGAGTAATTGTTGGACTCAAGACCAAGGTTGTAAATAGGATGTAGAGTTATTTTGACAACTCTTCAGGATATAATTTGACTCATAAACCTCTTTAAAAACATATGTTTGCAGCATTTTGGATGGGTATAAAATGGTTAAATAATGTTTTTTGGTTTTCTATAGCAGTTGTTTACATATTTAACAACCGAAATTTAAACATTTGTCCTTTTTGTAACCTTTTATTTTAGGTTGGGGAGTACATGAGAAGGTTTGTTACATAGGTAAACTCATGTTATGGTGGTTTGTTGTACAGATTATTTCATCACCCAAGTATTAAGCCCAGTACCCAATAGTTACCTTTTCTGCTCCTCTCCCTCCTCCCCACTCCCTCCTCAAGTAGACCCCACTGTCTGTTGTTTCCTTCTTTGTGTTCATAAGTTCTCATCCTTTAGCTCCCACTATAGGTGAGAACATGCCGTATTTGGTTTTCTGTTTCTGTGTTAGTTTGCTGAGGATAATGGCCTCCAGCTCCATTCATAAACATTTCTCCTTAAAAGATACATCTACTGCCCTTTTCCTCAAAGACCGAAGAGCTAGAGAGAAGTGCAGCCAGAGATAGTAAGTAGCACAGGACATGTGTATCTGAAATGGATATTTGAAAGAATTTCCATTTTGAATTTGCTTCGATTCCACGAAGACGTGTTGTACGCCTTCCTCTCAGCACTGTGAATCGTGCTAGGAGGTGACAGAGATGACCTGGAACAGGCGTGTGCCCTCTGGGGACTCATGGTGCATCCGGGTAGCTGAAACACTTGGTGCTGTGTGGAGCCTCTGTGGTTACACTGGCAGGAGGGACATGTGGCAGCGGGTACTGAGAGTAACATGCCATACAGAGACAGTTGTGGGGTTTTTATGGTCAGAGTCCAGTACATGTCCTTTATAGAAGCTTTTCCAAATGAGGCCTCTAGGTCTCTGGCACAAAGACCTAGGAGCTGACATCCAGCCCTTCCCCAATGAGTAGAGTATCTGCGTCACATTCACAGATGGGCAGCCAGAAAGCTCTTGGTAGGGTAAGGAGTTTCTCTCTGCTACAGGAGAGGAAAGTCCTTGGGCATCTCTCCCCATTTGATGTGGCCCATGAATGTTAGATGTTTGTGGCTGTGACATTTCAAGGAACAGAACTCCCTTTAAGTAAGTCATCAGAGGCTACACAGGCATTGTAGGAAACCCCAGCCTCCTCAAACCTTGGGTTGTGGCAGTGGCAGCTGTGAGGGGCAGTGTGATGCTGCCATAATTGTGACTGCTTCCCAGTGCTCCCAGCCAGGCCTCTGCTTGGGAGAGGCTTGCCTTCCTTGGCGCCAGCTGCCAGCTCATCTACTACCGGGAGAACGATGCCCAGGCTGCAGCTGTGAGGAGCTTCCCAGGCTTCACTCCATGGAAGTCCTTTTGGCCACCTCTGGGGAAAAGCATGACCTGTGCCACCTGGAAGGTCAGATATGGATGATTGACAACTGGCCTGCTGTCCCTAGGAGCTTTTCCACCTGAAACTTGATAGTCCATGTAGCATAGATGCTTGTACAGGTTACTGTCCTTTTCCCTCACTCCACAGCTCATTGCTCCATTCCTTTGTTCTATCCTGTAGTAGATTCCCATAGAGAAAGGCAACAACAGCTCAAGCCACAGTCAAATAGTAACTCACTTGTATTGAGTCCTTCCTGATCAGGGACAATTTTCTGAGCACCTCACATATAATTGTTTATTTCATCACCAGAGCAACCCTGTGAGCTGAGTGCTGTCCTGATTCCCATTTTCCACATGAGGAACCTGAGATGTAGGAAGATGTAACAGTTTGCCCAGAGCTTTCTGGGCCTTACACTCTGGTATTCCAGCACTGGGGTCCGGCCGTTACCCAATGCTGGAGTGGCTTTGTAGTCCTCAAGACAGATGTTCTTGGGATAAACTCTGCTCACTGGCGTTCCTGGAACACTTTATGCATGGTTGGATTTGCCTTGGTTAACCAAACCAAACCAAATATTTAAAAAATTTGGTGTCCACGTTGAAAATGTGGACATTTCACTCAGACTGGGATTTGGTAGATGTTAAATAGTTAGTGGCTGGGCCAGAATCCAGGCCTCCTTCTCCACTGTGACCTGAGGCCTGGTTTAATTTTTAGTGGCACTGCCGACTTTGCCTCACAGCTGTGTGTCACTGTGGTTCTGAGCTTTGTGTCCTGGGATCAGGAGTAAGAGGGGAAATGAGTTGATCCAGCCTTTTCATTGATGACTTTTTATGGGGAAAAGGGCCATTTAGAATGAACACTTATTAAGTGTGTCCAGTGGATTTTTTTTTTTTTAGCTTAGTTTAACGGAACAAGTTTGGATACCTTTGCCTACCATAATGAAATTTAGTAAGCCAAAAAAAGTTTACAATTCCTTAGATAAATTTTAAAAAGTGAACTGGGCCATTTAAATTTGCCACCACAAAACCCTTACAGGCTCTAAGAAGGGAAGCAAAATAATGGTTAGTAGAATATTTGTGGGTTATAACTTTATGTATTATTGTTATAAGTTTGTGTGTTATTAAGGCCAGGGCTACGAAGTATTGTTCACTGTAGAACTACATAGTATATGAGGATCATATTTCTTCTCTAGAAGTCTAATGTCAAAATATCTTTACAATTTGAACAACAATATTCCTAGCATCAAGGTCAAATGGAATCACTTTTCTTATACTCTATAAATTACTCAGAATTGTATCATGTTTTTATTTGCTTGATATTTTGATAATTGTAACTTTTTAAGGTTTTTAGTTTGTCCTGGAATTTCTAATTGCCTTTGTTTTTTTTCTTGTTAGGAGAAGAAACATATGCCTTCATCAATGTATTAGTTGGTTCTCATGTTGCTAATAAAGACATACCCGAGACTGGGTAATTTGTAAAGAAAGGTTTAATTAACTCACAGTTCTGCAGGGCTGGGGAGGCCTCAGAAAACTTACAATCATGGTGGAAGGGCGAGCAAATATGTCCTTCTTCATATGGTGGCAGCAAGGAGAAGTGCTGAGCAAAAGGGGTAAAAGCCCCTTATAAAACCATCAGATCTTGTGAGAACTCACTCACTATCATGAGAACAGCAACATGAGGGAAACTGCCCCCGTGATTCAATTACTTCCCAATGTGTCCCTCCTACAACACATGGAAATTATGGGAACTATAATTCAAGATGAGATTTGGGTGGAAACACAGCCAAACCATGTCAATCACTATAGTAGTAATATCTTCAAGCTTCTTGATCATTTTGTCTATTGTATGAAATCTATTTCATATTCTCCTTTGTTAATTTGTATTTTATTAATTTGGCCTCTATCTGATGCTTGTTGGTTTATTTCTCAATTTGTACAAAATCCAAGTGAGGTGCCTTGAAAACTTCAATACAGGGACCTTAGAAGGAGGGGATGTTTTTCATATTTAAAATGTATGTGCTGCCATGTCTGTAATAAGGAGCAAAGTCCCCTGCTTCTGTGAAGATATGTGGCTTTTCCAGATTATTACATGGTTTGCAGTGGGGAGAATGTTGCCTGCATCGTAGGGACTTCCCTCTGGATCAAGCTTGATCTGAGTTTGGAGAGGCAGGAACCGAAGGAGGTAAACTGAGGAGCAGGCATTCTCTGCCTACAAGGTTGGCCCTGAGTGGGGTGCCCAAGGGCTTCTGTGGAACTATATTTATTTGCCACTCAGCAAACTCAGGGGTAAGAAAGTCTTGCTTGGGGTGCCTCACCTGCAAGGCTGGTCACTAGGAATGTCAAGTCCAAGAGGACAGAACCTGTGTCTTCTTGGTCACCTCTGGATGAACAGGACCTGGTACTTAGTAAGCACTCAGTGAATGGACAGATGGATGATGGGTGAGTGGATGAATGGATGGAAAAATGCATGTATAGATGGATGAATAGATAGATTAATTGATGGATGGAGGGATGGATGGGTAGATGAATAGATGGATGAATGGATAGATGGGTGGGTAGATGAATGGATGGGTGGGTGGATGGATGAATGGATGGATAGACAGATGTATAAATGGATGCATGGATGGACGGATGGATGGATAGATGGATGAATGGATGGGTAGATGGATAAATGATGGATGGATGGATGGATGGATGGATGAATGGATGGATGAATGGATGTGTGGGTGGATGGATAGAGAGATAGATGAATAAATATAGTGGCAAAGGGGAAGGCTTATTTGGTAGAGAATAAGTCAGTCCAGATCACAGCTCTGTGGAGATTGGGTTTGGGTCATCTGGTGGCATTTAAATGTATTATTGGCCCTGGAATCATGAATTAAATCTTTAGAAAAAGAAAAACAAGCACTTTCTGTTTCTAATGTGTATATGGAGATCTTTTGGACTTGTGCACCCCAGGGTATTTTCAGCTGAGGCAGGTGTGTATCTGGGCAATGACTGTTTTGTTTTTATTTCCTGCAGTGCTTACTTGCTCCTTGGCTCACCCTTGCAGATTGCTCATGGCTGAGTCTCCTGGGTCTGATGACATTGTCAGTGTGACTGGAGTGCTATTCTAGGTGGATGATACACAGGTCCGGGGATGGTCTCCTGTTCTCTAAAGACAGCTGTGTAATAGGATTAAAGCTTCAGAGAGCAGCCGTGGCCTAAAGTATAGAGGAACTGGGTTAAGGGGAATTCTATCCGGGTGAGAGAAATGAATCTTTTACTCCAGCAATACAGACCTGGTTGCAGCTCCTCAAACAGGCCACCCTGGTCACCTCTGGACTCAGCACAGATTGGCCTCTCTGCCCGTGACTGTCCCTGTCTTCCTCTCTTGCTCACCCGTTGCCTGGGCATGGATGTGGCTTCCCTGGGAAAGCTTCCTGCCTTTGGGGCTGTTCTTAGTGCCTGGCTTATTCCAGCCCCAGGTGTTAACAGTCTGCCTACTTCTCCCTTAGCTACGAAAGGGCAGGAACTTCACACAGTGCGAGGCACACAGGGGGCCCTCAGTAGCTGTCTGCGAACTGAATTCAGCCCTGCACCCAGCCCATCACAAGCATCTTTGTTCTAAGGCGGTCCAGGAGGAGAGAAGGAGCTGCCACGTGCTGATGGTCTCCCGTGGGCTAGGCTCTTGAGATTCCATGTGTGTGTTCTCATTCAGTGCTCACAGCAACTCCACCAGGATTCCAGTTTCACAGCCAAGAAAACAGAGGCTCTGTGAGGGGAGGCAGCTTGGCGAGGCAATCACCTCATGTGGGGCAGTGCAGGGTTGTACACATCTGTGTCCCACTTGGATGACTTGAGGAATGACTTGAGGATTACGGAATGACTTGAGGGTCCCACAGAACCCTTCTTGCGAAAGACCCTTCATCTGGAGGCTGCACTGGAGAAGGGATGCTGGACATGTTGGAGCCTCAAAGTGCAGCATCTTCAGTTTCTTGAAACTTCTGTGCTTCTTGCTTGGGTAACTGTGCTTCCTCTGATCTTTGGGCCAACCTGGCCCATGAGAGATTCCAAGGATTTGAGCTGTCTCTAGGGTCATGGGGCAGCCTACATCTTGTGCTTGATTTTTCTCCAGGGATATCCTAGGTCAGGTAGTTAGGGTGATGGACATTGGCTCCAGAGTCAGCCTGATGAGTTGTGTTTTTCTAAATTAACTTTTATCTGGCAAGAGTGTTGCAGAATCAAGTTTTAAAAAATATTTGCATATCTCATTTCTTTGTCTAATTAGTGTTGTGAGAATGATGTCACAGTTTTCATGCTTGAATAAATAGCTGATGGTGTAAGGCACTAAGGGCTGGCTCACTGTGGCGCGTTCCCTTTCTTCTATTTGCCGTCTCGTCCAAGTTTTGTTTCAATCCATGCTCCTGACTTTTTTTTTTTTTTTTTTTTAGGGACTGATCTCATCAGCCAAATTATACCTTTTACTGCCATAAAATGCCTCCTTAATTTAGAGGATATGTTTGTCAATGTTGCAAGATAATTCCGAGCATCAAATCACTAGAGGTGCTGAGAGTACAAAAAGTATACTTGGCCGGGTGCAGTGGGTCATGCCTGTAATCCCAGCACTTTGGGAGGTCAAGTCGGGGGGATCACCTGAGGTGAGGAGTTTGAGACCAGCCTGGTCAACATGAAACCCCATCTCTACTAAAATTACAAAAATTAGCCTGGTGTGGTATGGCATGCGCCTATATTCCCAGCTATTTGGGAGGCTGAGGCAGGAGAATCACTTGAACCCGGGAGGCAGAGGTTGCAGTGAGCCGAGATCGCACCACTGCACTCCAGCCTGGTTGACAGAGTGAGACTCTGTCTCAAAAAAAAAAAAAAAACATATATATATATATGTGTGTGTGTGTGTGTGTGTGTGTGTGTATATATATATATATGTATATGTGTATGTGTGTATATATATGTGTATGTGTATATATATATGTGTATGTGTGTATATATATATGTGTATAAGTAGGTATATATATGTATGTGTATATATATGTATGTATATATATACTCTATGCCTATGCTCCATTTTAAAGTGGAATTTTAAAAAGACGGGGGATGGGGGAGATTTAGGTTAAATGTGACATGACCCCATTTTTACGTATGACCTTAGAAATCCTCTGGTTTATTCACTCCAGCTGGACTAAAGACATCTAAGCATTGGAGGGTGGAACATAGAAATTCCTTCCCTTGAGGGGTTTTCAGTCCTATTGGAAAAGCAGAGCGTAAACCTGAAATGATTTCAGGTGCTGATGTCAGCACCCTGGGAGCACACGGAAGCTCGTGATCAGCCAAAGCTGACCTGGCTGCGATGCTGAAGCTAGAATTGGCCTGTTGGGCAGGCACAAAGAGGACAGGCTGCATTCTGAGAAGTAATTTTCAGAACACTGGAGAGCATAGTTCTATTCAGCACCTAAGGTACTGTCCGTTTCTGGGCTTCATTTTAAAAGAGACACCCAGGCAAATGAAGCCAGTCTGGAGATGATCTCCAGGACAGTCAAGGGTTTTGACATGATGCCACGCTAAGAATTGCTGGAGCATGTGTGGATGTTTAGCTGGGAAAGAGACTCTGGGGAGGAGAGGCATAATAGCAAATGTCCAATAGATTGGTGCAGTTGAAAGCAGCTGGGAAGGTGGTTTGGACCAGATAATGAAGGGATTTGGTTGCCTTGCTAAAGATTCTGCAGTTTATTCTGTTGGCAATAGGGGGCTACTGGAGGCTTCTAAGGAAGAAGCAATGAGATTTACTCATGGTTCAGGAGCACCTTGGTTAAACATGGAGAACGCAGAGGAGGAACAGGTTTAGGGAAGGAAGTGTGGGTTTGCTGAGGTGTCAGGCAGGGTGGAGGCTCTGGGAGGCACTGACCGAAGTTGGGGGAGAAGGTGACATTGTGCAGGAACAGGGAGCTATGAGGGACTCTGGACAAAGCCTACATTTAAAGGATGAGCCCAAGAGGATTATGGGGAATGCAAGAGGTGGGTTGGAGAGGCAGGAGGACAACTAGGAGATCATAGCTTCATGGAAGCGAAGAGGAGGGAATTCAAGTTGGAATGCGTGGTTGGTAATCCTATAGAAATCATCCCCATTTTTTGAACAATCCTCATTTGTTGAGTGCTGGACATTATGCTAAGTGCTCTGTGCACATCATTTTCTTTAATTCTTATAGGACCTTCACAAGGTAGCCAATAACACTGATATTCTCTAGAGAAGGGGCTGAGGATAAGAGCATTAGGCATCTAGGAGACAGTGGAGGATAGAATGTGGGCTTTGGTTTGATATAGGCCAGCTCTCCCTGGCTCCACCTCTGCCTCACTTGGCTATGTGAACTTGTACAAATTACTTAACCTCTCCAGGGCCCAGCTTCTTGTTCTCTGAACTAAATACAACATCCCTGTCTCCTGAGGATGCTGATGGGATTCTGTGAGCTTGATATCATTGTAAGTAAAGTCCCTTGCACCGTGCCTGACACTCAGGGGCTCCTCCATAGACTTCCGTGTGGTCGTGGTTATTTCCCAACATTCCCTAGTCAGTAAGAGGCAGATCTGAGATCTGAACCCAGGTCCATGTGGGACCATAGCCTGTGCCTGGTGCTGTAACAAGGGAGGTTATGTGGGACAGGAGTTTGAGTGCTGTGGGGTTGAGGAATAGTGTTTTAGTGGGAGGAACAACAGGAGCACGTCTGAGCCCAGATGGGAAAGAGGAAGTGAGAGGGAGAGACCGATGCTGCTAGGGAGAGGAAGTTAACTGAAGAGAAGGTCACAGGTGGCATGTAGGATGTGACATTAAACATAGGTGGAGAATGACCCTGAAACCAAAGCAAGTATTTTTTCCTCACAGACAGGAGGGACAGAAAGTCTGAAGAGAGGAGGAGATACAGAGGAAATTTCAAGCAGGTGCAAGAAAGTTGAGGGTGCCCCAGCAGATGACTTCTGTTCTCTGAGGAATGCAGAGATAGGGTCAAGGTCTGAGGAGAGGGAGTGGGGGTGGGGCTGGACACTTAGGAAGAAGAGGCTCAATCTCCACAGCCACTGAGAGCGATAGACTGAGGAGGAGAGAGGACAGAAGAAGAAGGCTTGTGGAGACTGTTATACCTCTGGTCTTGAGTGGCGTACCTTGTTCTAATTTGTATTTGTGGCAGTGCCAGGCAAGGTGAAGATGTGGTTTGTACCGGGGGACAGAGGTAGGAAATTAGATGGTTGGGTTGGCCCAGATTTGGAAATTCACCAATTGGGTTGCAGAAGGACAGGATGTGGCAGTGAAGTGACAGCTTCAGGGAAAACTCTAATCAAAAAAGCTCAGGAGATGAGGGTGGGAGAAGGTGTAGGGAGGGAGACTGGGATTGGGAATATGTCCTCCCTCCTGCTATTGTTGGATACCCAGAGTGTGGTTTGGACCTTCCAGTGAATAACATGTATGATTCACCTTCGGATCTCCTGTCCCAGCAAATATGAGGCATCTGTATGGAAAACTCTATGGCAAGAACGGCTGTTGTACCTCATAAGTTCTACCCAAACTTTGACCTCAAGCACAATCCACTAAAGCTGGGCTCTCAAAGCCCCTGGTTCCATGGTCGTGTGGCAGGGGAGGCCCTGCCCTTCCTCAGTTTGATGTCATTCTTTCCTGGATGGTGAAGGGGTATAAGCAAAAGATTTACAAGGATAAGCTCTCTTTTGAGGAGCCATTCAAAATACTTTCTCTCTCTCTCTCTTTTTTTTTAACATATTTCTGCTAGTTTCTATTCATTAATGAAGGTGCCAGCAGATCAGAAGGTCGAAGTCTTGAAGAGGCAGCCCCAAACAGGCTGGTCTGAGCTCCAAAGAAGAGCTGGACCCCTATATGCAGCGGGGCCCAGAGCTGCCTCCCACCTGGGTGGAGGGAGAACCCTTCTCTGTGTGTGGCTCAGAATTTGACACCTTTGAAGCTAAGAGGGACCATCACTGAGACCTTTGGGGCCGAGCAGGTGCCCTGTCCATCTCTTCACCTGTCCCAGGTCAAGTAATTGCTGACTTAAAGTGTCCAAAGTCGAACTTGTCAAGTTTCTGTACTCTAAAGTTACTCTTTTTCCCCCTTTTCATACGATCAGCCCACACTGAAGATGTGAGGAGTTATGTTCCACCTCCTCAAGGGTGGAGTATCTGCAGAAATTATTTGGAATTCTTTTGCATGGGAAATTTGTCTTTTCTCCCTCATTATTTATCCAATTACTTCTTTATGTAAGTATGTACTCATGGATATTTAATTTATACTTTGGGTTATAATCTAATACTACTTTCTTTTGTTGCTCAAATTGTTTCAGCTTTGGCTTTTGGAAGCTCTTTCAATTGGCTCTGTTACCCTTTGACATTCTTCTATCATTGTGTGTGTGTGTGTGCATGTGAGTGTGTGTGTGAGTGTGTGCGTGCGTGTGTGTATGTGCATGTATACATGCGGCTGTATACAAGATGCCCCAGGCTCATCTTGTATTTTGTCTGCCCTAGGCCCTTTTAATAAAAGGAACCTTTCCCTGGTTCCTTTTATTAAAGAATGTTTTGAGAAATGAAGATTAGGGTGCTAGGTGTTTCCTTCGTGGCTGGGATGTTGTTACTTCTAGGCCTTTCCAGTTGATAAGCCAAGGAAATATATGTGTGTAAAGCAACCTGTGTATATAACATATCTATAATATATATTCATTTGTATCTATGTTAAGCTAAACATGAGTTCACACTCACGTCTCAACTCTGATCCCTTTACAGTAGGGTCTTCTAGCCTTTCTCCTTGCTTGTCTGTAGCCTACTCCAACAGTGAGAAATATGGTTGCCACCATCTGCCATATGTTTACTTAATTATTCAGTTCCAGCCTTCACGTATGCCGGTTTCTGTATTTTTAACTCATATTCCATGCAAACAACTTTATCATCTAGAGTACAGTGCTGATGTACAGTTAGTTCACTTTGCCTTTAGTCTTACTACATTCGGCTCCAGAGTTACTTAGTTCAGCACCTTTATTTCTTACTCCCTTCAGTGAGGTTGCTTAATACATATGTCATACAGTTATGTTCTTTTATCACAGTCTACATTCCATTCTGAGAGCCCCTCAATGTTTAAATGTTTTTTAAAGTTACATACCTTAGATTTTACTCTCTGTGCTGTAAAGCTCTGTGGGTTTTGACAAATGTGTAGTTTCGTGTATCTCCCATTAAAGTATCATAGAGAGTAGCTTCACCACCCCCAAATAATACCCTGTGCTTTGTCTATTTAATCCTTCTCCCTCCCCATACCTTTGGCCACCCCAATCTGTTCACCATCTCTATAGTTTTTGCCTTTTTGAGAATGTCATATAAATAGCATCATACAGCAGGTAGCCTTTTCAGACTGGCTTCTTTCACTTAGTAAT